>NC_000010.11:100900671-101203701 GCF_000001405.40 Homo sapiens | reverse complement strand
AACAACATCAGTACATTGCTACTAACTAAACTTGCCACTTTATTTAATCAGATTTCACTAACATCCTTTCTCTAAAGGATGTTTTTCCACTAACATCCCTTTTCTGTTTCAGGATTCTATCCAGGATGCCACATTACATTTGGTCATCACATCGTCTTAGTCTGTGTCTGTGACAGTTTCTCAGGCTTTCCCTGTTTTTTATTCCCTTAACAGTTTAGAGGAGTACAGGTCAGGAATTCTGTAGAACGTCCCTCAATCTGGATTTTTCTGTGGTTTTCTCATGGTTATGTTACCCGAAAGGGGTCCCTACCCAGACCCCAAGAGAGGGTTTTTGGATCTTGCACAAGAAAGAATTTGAGGTGAATCCAGAAAGTGAAAGCAAGTTTATTAGGAAAGTAAAAGAATAAGAGAATGGTTACTCCATAGGCAGAGCAGCCCTGAGGGCTTCTGGTTTTTTTGTTTTATTTTTGAGACGAGTCTCGCTCTGTCGCCCAGGCTGGAGTGCAGTGGTGCGATCTTGGCTCACTGAAAACTCCATCTCTCGGGTTCAGCCATTCTCCTGCCTCAGCCTCCAGAGTAGCTGGGACTACAGGCGCCTGCCACCACGCCTGGCTATTTTTTTTGTATTTTTTTAGTAGAGATGGTGTTTCACCGTGTTAGCCAGGATGGGGGCTTCTGTTTTTTACGGTTATTTCTTGATTATATGCTAAACAAGTGGTGGATTATTCATGAGTCTTCCTGGAAAGGGATGGGCAATTCCTGGACCTGAGGGTTCCTCTCCTTTTTAGACCATATAGGGTAACTTCCAGACATTGCCATGGCATTTGTAAACTGTCATGGTGCTGGTGGGAGTGTCTTTTAGGATGCTAATGCATTATAATTAGCATGTAATGAGCAGTGAGGACAACTGGAGGTCACTCAGGATGATTCAGGAAATTGTATTTTACTCGAGTTGAAGGAGAACATTAGTGTTAGATTAGAGCGATGGGGAACCAGGTGTGGCAGCTCACACCTGCAATCCCAGCAGTTTGTGAGGCAGAGGTGGGAGGATGACTTGAGCCCAAGAGCTGGAGACCAGACTGGGCAACATGGTGAGACCTCTTCTCTACAAAAAATAAAAAATTAGCTTGGCATGATGGCACACACACACCTGTAGTCCCAGCTACCTGGGAGGCTGAGGTGGGAGGATGATTAGAGCCCAGGAAGTCAAGGCTGCAGTGAGCTGTGATGGTGCCACTGCACTCCAGCCTGGGCAACAAAGTGACATTCTGTCTCAAAAAAAAAAAAAAAAAAGTGCTGGGGAAGGGAACAGGGCTGTGCTGAATGTGTGAGGAGACACTACTCAGGTATGAAGAAGGCTTACTGTTTGTATTTTTTTTGTATTCATTTTAAATTCTGAATTATCCCTTTGTGTTAGTCTGTTCTTGTATTGATATAAAGAAATATCTGAGGCTGGGTAACTTATGAAGAAAAGACATTTAATTGTTCATGGTTCTGCAGGCTGTGCAAGAAGCATGGCACCAATATCTGCTCAGCTTCTGGTGAGGCCTCAGGAAGCTTCTAATCACGGCAGAAGGAGAATAGGAGGCTGGCCTATCACATGGTGAGAAAGTCAGTGGGGGACGGAGTGGGTGCCACACACACCCCTTTTTTTTTCTGAGACAGGGCTGTCCCCAGGCTGGAGTACAGTGGCACAGTCATACCTCACTGCAGTCTCCACCTTCCAGACTCAAGTGATCCTCCCCCATCAGCCTCCTGAGTAGCTGGGACCACAGGCTAACACCACCATGACCAGTAATTTTTTCATTTTTTACAGAGACGGAGTCTTGCCATGTTGCCCAGGCTGGTCTCAAACTCCTAGGCTCAAGTCATCCTCCTGCCTTGGCCTCCCAAAGTGCTGGGATTAAAAATGTGAGCCACTGTGCCTGGCCACCATACCCTTTTCAACAACCAGATCTCACGTGAACTCAGAGTGAGAACTCACTCATTATTGTGAGGACAGCACCAAGCTATTCATGAAGGATCCGCCCCCATGACCCAAACACCTCTCACCAGGCCCCACCTCCAACACTGGGGATTACATTTACTTACTTACTTTTATTCATTTACTTTTTGAGATGGAGTCTAGCTCTGTTGCGCAGGCTAAAGTGCAGTGGCACAATCTTGGCTCACTGCAACCTCTGCCTCCCGGGCTCAAGCAATTCTCCTGCCTCAACCTCCCAAGTAGCTGAGACTACAGGCGTGTGCCACTGTTAGGCCTCTGAGCCCAAGCCAAGCCGTGGCATCCCCCGTGACTTGCATGTATACGCCCAGATGGCCTGAAGTAACTGAAGAATCACAAAAGAAGTGAAAATACCCTGCCCTGCCTTAACTGATGACATTCCACCACAAAAATAAGTGAAAATGGCCGGTCCTTGCCTTAGGTGATGACATTACCTTGTGAAAGTCCTTTTCCTGGCTCATCCTGGCTCAAAAACTCCCCTACTGAGCATTTTGCGACCCCCACTCCTGCCCGCCAGAGAGCAAACCCCCTTTGACTGTAATTTTCCTTTACCTACCCAAATCTTATAAAACGGCCCCACCCCTGTCTCCCTTCGCTGACTCCCTTTTCAGACTCAGCCCGCCTGCACCCAGGTGATTAAAAGTTTTATTGCTCACACAAAGCCTGTTTGGTGGTCTCTTCACATGGGCGCGCATGAAAGCCACCATGCCTGGCTAATTTTTACATTTTTAGTAGATGGGATTTCACCATGTTGGCCAGGCTGGTCTTGAACTCCTGAGCTCAAGTGATCTGCCCGCCTCGGCCTCCCAAAGTGCTGGGATTACAGGCATGAGCCACCATGCCCGGCCTGGGGATTACATTTAAACATGAGATTTGAAAGGGACAAACACCCAAACACCTGTTCAATACAGGTAGTATATATATGTGCCTCTGCTTTAACAAGCCAGACATCCTTTCATTTTAGCATAGCAACATTGAATGGGAAACATCCCGTCTTTCCCACTTTTAGCCTTCAAGCTGCCTGTGCTCTGTGAGGCAGCCCCTGTCCCCACCCCAGATCTAGGAATGCCTGTTGCCAAATGAGGAGGAATGAGAACTTAGAGAGATTCCACAGGGGCTCTGCCAAGCAGACGTGATGCTCAAGAAAGAAAACTCTGGCCTCTGGGTGGACTCCATGTCTTTTGAGTCCTAAGTGCAGAAGGTGAAGAGGTGCCTAAGACTCTCACTGACCCGCCCACCTCTGCAGCACGACCTTCCAGCCCCAGTGAAATCTGTAGCACTATGTTCAACTTCCAGAATTCTGCCTTCAGTGTCAAGCGTGCAGGGTTCCAGGATTGTCCAGGCCTGGTGAAATATTGATATTCGTCTTCCCTGAAAGGATAAGTTGCGATCAACGTCATACATCTGTCAGATAGGAGTCAGCCCTTGGAACTTTCCGTAGGATTCTTTGCCACCCTCCACAGAATGCATGGTGGGTCAGATACTGTGACACTGGCCAATTCTCTCTCAGCAATGGTGGCAGGAGGTGGGTGAAGAGAGGGACAGTCGGTTGGCATCACCGTGAATTCTAGTTGTTTGCAGGGGATACAGCGTGGAAGAATATTCTCGGCCTCTGAGAAGAATTGGCCCTTCTATCCAGCTGGAGATACTCTTGAGGCACACAATTCCAACAGAGAGAGGGGCAACAGGTACCCCAAAGCTACCGGCAATTGCTTCAGTCAGCTCTGTTCAGTGGCAGGGAATGGGATCCTACCCAAAGTAGCTTGATATAACAGCTGCAGAGGATTCCTCTTTTTAGAAAAAGATTTTTATTTTCAATTTTTGTGGGTACCTAGTGGGTGTATATATTTACAGGGTACATGAGGTATTTTGACACAGGCATACAATGGGTAATAATTACATTAGGGTAAATGGGGTATCCATCACCTCAAGCATTTATCTTTTCTTTGTCTTATAAATAATCCACTTATATTCTTTTAGTTTTTTAAGTGTATAATAAATTATTGTTGACTGTAGTCACTCTGTTGTGCTATCAAATACTAGGTCTTAGTCATTCTTTCTATTATAACTAATATGTTTTTGTACCCATTAATCATTTCCTGCCTCCCTCAACCACTACTCTTCCCAGCCTCTGGTGACTATTGCTCCACTGTCTGTCTCCATGAGTTCAATTGTTTTAATTTTTAGCTCCCACAAATAAGTGAGAAGATGAGAAGTTTGTCTTTTTTTTTTTTTTTGTGAGATGGAGTCTCGCTCTGTTGCCCAGGCTGGAGTGCAGTGGCACAATCTCGGCTCACTGTAACCTCTGCCTCTCAGGTTCAAGTGATTTTCCTGCCTCAGCCTCCCAAGTAGCTGGGACTATAGGCATGCACCACCACGCCCGGTTAATTTTTTGTATTTTTAATAGAGACGGGGTTTCACCATGTTGGCCAGGCTGGTTTTGAACTTCTGTCCTCAAGTGATCTGCCCGCCTCGGCCTCCTGAAGTTCTAGGAATACAGGTGTGAGCCACCACGTCTGGCCAGAAGTTTGTCTTTCTGTGCCTGGCTTATTTCACCTAACATAATGATCACCAGTTCCATCCATGTTGTTGCAAATGACAGGATCTTTTTTTTTTTTTTTTTGAGATGGAGTGTTGCTCTGTCATTCAGGCTGAATTGCAGTGTCATGATCTCAGCTCACTGCAACCTCCACCTCCCAGGTTCAAGTGATACTCCTGCCTCAGCCTCCCAAGTAGCTGGGATTACAAGTGCATGCGACCATGTCTGGCTAATTTTTGTATTTTCAGTAGAGACAGGGTTTCACTGTATTGACGAGGCTGGTCTCAAACTCCTGACCTCAAGTGATCTGCCCGCCTCAGCCTCCCAAAATGCTAGGATTACAGGCATGAGCCACTGCGCCCAGCCAACAGGATCTCATTCTTTTTCATGGCTGAATAGTACTCCGCTGTGTATAAGTACCACATTTTCTTTATCTATTTGTCTGTTGATGGACACTTAGGTTGTTTCCAAATCCTGGCTATTGTGAATAGTACTGCAATAAACATGGCAGTGAAGATATCTCTTTGATAAGCTGATTTTCTTTCTTTTGGGTATATACCCAGCAGTGGGATTGCTGTGTCATATGGTAGCTCTATTTTTAGTTTTTTGAGGAACTTCCAAACTGTTCTCCATAGTGGTTGTATTACTTTACATTCCAACCAACAGCATACAAGGGTTCCCTTTTCTCCACATCCTCGTCAGCATTTGTTATTGCCTGTCTTTTGGATAAAAGCCATTTTCACTGGGGTGAGATGATATCACGTTATAGTTTTGATTTGCATTTCTCTGATGATCAGTGACTGAATACCTTTTCATACGCCTGTTTGCCATTTATATGTCTTCCTTGAGGACTCCTCTTTGACCCTTCCCTGGAGGTGGGCTGTAGCAGACAATGGGACCCCCACTCCACCAGACCTGGCTGGTTGGAGCAGGTAGGTACTGACCCAGACTGGGCCTGCCAGAGTCTTTCTCCTGGGCATTCGGACAAGGGCTAGACATCTCTGTGGCCGGACATCTCTGTGGCCACTTGAACTTGCATAATCTGGGGCTATTGACAGCCATGTTTAGCCTCATGCACATGGAGAATTGAAGGAAATTGGTCTCAAATAAGATACTTGAGACCATAGGCCCATTTAGAGAAGGTCTGCCTGGCTTTCAGGTCATCCTGAGACCCAGGTGTGCCACCTGTCCCAGGGTTCCAGGAGACACCTGCCATCCTTATAAGGACTACCCTTTTAAAGCCGGGTGTGGTGGCTCATGCCTGTAATCCCAGCACTTTGAGAGGCTGAGGCGGGTGGATCACCTAAGGTCAGGAGTTCAAGACCAGCCTGGACAACATGGTGAAACCCCGTCTCTACTAAAAATATAAAAATTAGCCAGATGTGGCAGCAGGTGCCTGTAATCCCAGCTACTCGGGAGGCTGAGGCAGGAGAATCTCTTGAACCTGGGAAGCGGAGGTTGCAGTGAGCTGAGATTGTGCCACTGCACCCCACTCTGGGTGACAAGAGCTAAACTCAATCTCAAAAAAAAAAAATAGACTACCCTTTTTGCGTAAGTTAGCCTGGGTGGGTTTCTATCAGTTATACCTCCAGAAAAGCCTAAGACAGGGTATATTATACGGGTTCAGAGAATGTCACAGAAAGAAGGGCAGGAAGCACACTGGGGCTCAGGAATTAGGAAAATTCTGTCTCTCTCTCTCTCTCAATTTGCTCATATGGTTCTCGTCTCTCCTATCTATCTCAGCAGGCTAGCTTTCTTCTTTTTTTCCACTAGTGAGTCCCCAACCAAATTGTTGTCCTAGTCCTGAATCTATACAACCTTCAGTTCCAGCCATCAGACTGTAATCCCTCCCTCTCAGTTGAAATATGAGGGAGAGGCCGGGCGTGGTGGCTCATGCCTGTAATCCTAGCACTTTGGGAGGCCGAGATGGGCAGATCACCTGAGGTCAGGAGTTCGAGACCAGCCTGTCCAACACGGTGAAACCCCATCTCTACTAAAAATACAAAAACTAGCCAGGCGTGGTGGCAGGCACCTGTAATCCCAGCTACTCGGGAGGCTGAGGGAAGAAAATCGCTTGAACCCAGGAGGTGGAGGTTGCAGTGAGCTGAGATCATGCCACTGCACTCCAGCCTGAGTGACAGAGCAAGAATCCATCTAAATAATAATAATAATAATAATAAAGAGGGGAAGAGGGCGAGAGAGAGAGGTTGATTCTGCCCTATGTCTTGGTTCCCCTTTGGGTCAAGTATCCACTCCTGCTCACACCGACCGTGACTGGAGGAGAAGGAGGCTCACACAGCACATTAATCAGTGCCCTCTCCCCGGCCTTTAAAGAAGAGACAGAAGTTTAACTCAAAGTAGCCCAAGGGGAAAGGCAGAAATGGCTTAGCTCCCATAAGTGATACGAACAGAGCAGGGAGGGCTTCTGGAACAACTGGGTCCAGAACACCAACCATGTCACTGGGGCTCGGCTCCTTTCGCTGTGCCGGCCTCATTTCCTCATGTTGGACCTTCGTGTGGGACATGGGAAGACTGACAACTCGAGGATTCTGTCACCTCAACTAGTGACTTTAGGGTCAAGAAAGACCCTCCGCCTCCTATGGCCTGTATGTAAAATCCCCGTTAAGGAGCTGATCAGCCGGTCTGAGTCAGGGACCCCTCCCTGGGCTGATCTTCCCTGAGCCAGGGGTGCAAGAATACGGTGATCAGCAGCCCCTCCGTGCCCACGTTGTGGTGGGGGGACTTTCTCAAAGAACGGAGCTGGTCGGGAGGGTCCTGGCCGCTGTGCTTGGTCTGTAGTGTGACACCCCTGTCAGGGGCTGGGGCTGTGGCAGAGAAACTAGCAGGGAAGCCAGGTGAGGAAGGTGGCAGTTAATGGCTCTGGAGGCTCCTCTTCTGTGGTCCTGATCAGCTCTTACTCCCAGGCCTGGCTTTGCAGACCTGAATTATTCTGCTGACAGCCCTTTGGCCTCCTTTATGTTCTTGTTCTCCCTGGAACTTTAGTGTCCTGCTAGGACTCATTCTGCCTGGCCTCAGCCGATGGGCTCCGGAGCCTGCTCCACTCTGGGGGAGGATTCCCAAAGCAGGACTCTGAGCCAGAGCCTGCCACTCCCCCGTCATGGGTTGGCACTGCCCATTGGGGCTGGAGGCCTTGGCTCCCAGGGGCCACTGGAGCCAGAAGAGGTCACTGTATGGAGTTGAAATGGTGTGCACCCGCTACGACATTACCAGCCCAGGCATTTGGCCTGGAGGATCCCAAACTGAGCTGGCTTCTGCCCCATGGAGGGAGGGTCTTACTAGCCCTTCTAGTAGCAATGATGAGCCCCTCTCTGTGTTGACTTCTGTCTTAAGCAAAGTTTTGTCAATTGCTAACAAGAATAGAAGGACGTTAGAGGTCAGAGGCCTGCAGGCAAAGCCTGCCTTCAAAACCGAGACATGGGGAGACGCCAGGATTACTTCACAACTCCAGCTGTCTCTCAAACAAGTCTGTTCAGACATCTTCAAATAAGCATCTAGCACTTCTCTCTGCCAGAATGTTGACACTCAGGCTTGCTTTCCCAGGGCTGAGTGATGCCTCCGTGGCTCTGGGTAGAACACCCTCCTGGGCTCGGAGGCGCAGCCATTGCCAAGAGGCAGGAGAGTAAAGCGGGGCATTCCTGCTTCTCAATCAGTACCTCTTCTGTCCACAGAATCCCTCAGCACAAATCACCTGATACATTGGACAAATCTGTCTGGACTCTTCAAAGATCCCATTCTTGGGAGTGAGGAAAGAGGAAGGACTGTTTTCCTTTCCCCCACCATCCCTTCCTATTCCCCACCTCTCAGCTCTGGCCGGGAGATCCCGAGAGTGGCTACAAAGGAGGCTGAAGCTTGGAGATTTCAATAGAGGCCTAGGATGGGGAAGGAACTTGACCCCTGTCTCACTGGGCAGCCTGGGGTGTACTGCTCCCGGGACCTACAGTCCTGCAGAGGTGGGAACTGGCCTCAGTTAAGGTCTAGTAAGTGCCAGGATGGACGTACCACTTGTGTGAATTCAGGAACTCCCTTTTAACAACCTTCTTATTTTGAAAAAATTTTAACGCACTGAAAAGCTAAAAGAATAGTATAATAAACTCTCAAATACCTTTTCACTGATAATGAATATTTTACTACATTTTATTCTCTCTTCTTTATAAAAACACATGCATTTCATGCATAGATGTAATCATTTTAGTTTTTGTGTATGAGCCATCATTTGAATATAAGTTTAAGTTTCAGACATCATAACCCTTTATCTGTGAATACTTTTTACCATATATTTAAGTTTTGTTTGTTTGTTTGTTTGTTTTTGAGGGTCTTGCTCTGTCATCCAGGCTGGAGTGCAGTGGTGCAATCACGGCTCACTGCAGCCTTGACTTGCTGGGCTCAAGCGATCCTCCTGCCTTAGCCTGCTGTGTAGCTGAGACCACAGGCACATGCTATCACACCCAGCTAATTTTTTAATTTTTTATTTTGTGGATACGAGGTCTTACTTTGTTGTCCAGGCTGGTCTCCAACTCCTGATTCTTGACTTCCTGGGCTCAACCTCCTCCCGCCTCAACCTCCCTAAGTGTTGGGATTTCAAGGCATAAGCCACCACACCTGGCCGGCCCATATCTCTTAAGAATAAATACATTCTCAGGCCGGGCTTGGTGGCTCAAGCCTGTAATCCCAACACTTTGGGAGGCCAAGGTGAGTGGATCACCTAAGGTCAGGAGTTCAAGACCAGCCTGGCCAACATGGTAAAACCCCATCTCTACTAAAAATACAAAAATTAGCTGGGCATGTGATGGTGAGCGCCTGTAATCCCAGCTACTCAGGAGGCTGAGGCAAGAGAATCGCTTGAACCTGGGAGGTGGAGGTTGCAGTGAGCTGAGATTGCGCCATTGCATTCCAGCCTGGGTGATAGAGCAAGACTTGGTCTCAAAAAAAAAAATAATAAATAATAAATATATTCTCTTACATTTCCTCAGAACAATTACCAAGTCACGGACATATCATTGATACAATATATTATTCATCTATTACATGATCCACATTCAAATTTTACCCTTTGTCCCAATACTGTCGTTTAAAGCATTTTTCTTTTGACCAGATCCAGGGTCTGGTCCAGGATTCTGCGTTGCAGTCAGTTGTCATATCTTTTTAGTTTTCTTTAACCTGGTAAAGTTATTCTCAATCTTTGTTGCCTTTCATTATATTGACATTTCTGAAGAGTTTGGCTGTCTGGCAGTTTTCTCATGATTAGATTCCGTTTACGCATTTTTGACAAGGATGCTGCATGAGCAATGCTGTGTCCTTCTCGGCGCATCAATGGGGAAGCACAGGATGTCGGTTTGCCCCATTATTGGTGATGCTACCTTTGATCACTTGGTTAACATGGTTCCTGCCAGATCTATCCATTGTAAAGGTTATTGTTTTTCCCCTTTGAAGTTAATCAGTGCTCTGTGGAAAAATACTTTGAGACTGTCCATTCCCCAGCAAATTTTTGCCCAATAGTTTTAGCATCCATTGATGATTCTTTTCAGAATCAATCACTACTGTAGTGGTTGCAAAATGGAGTTGACTCAACATCTAGAATTAGCTGCCATTATCTCACTTTCCACTTTAAGTAATTAAGGCTCAGAAAGGTCAAGAACTAGCCCAAGACCACAAAGCAGTGAGATTCAGACTCAGGCTTGTCTGACTCAAGAGCTTGCTGCAGCGATGACTCTCCAGCTATGGGACCTGGGATGTGATGAGATGTTCACCCACCAACATCTCCCCCACTGCACACTCCACCCCTTGCTCCCCTCCCTAAATGTGAGGCTGAGGCTCTGGTCACAGTTGGATGGAGAGAAATGGGCTGCAGGGTCAGCTTTGCAACTCCCCATCCTCCAGCCTTCCCTCTAGTCCCCGCCATGAATCTTCCAAAAACTGATATCCAGAGCAGAGGTCTCACCAAGAAGTCACCTCGATTATCCTGCCCTCTCCCCCAACACACACACACACACACACACACACACACACACACACACACACACACACACCCACACCCAGAGCTGAGAGGCTCTCTCTTCTCCTGACCTTGGAGAAGAGGGAGTATAGGGAGAGTATGTGCTTGTTATGGGTTGAGCTTTGTCAAGCAAGTAAGTGTGCATAATTGGAGCGGAGCCAGAACTCAGAGCTACAGGGCAACTGCACTTGGAAGAGATCCTGAGAATGCAGTTTGCACAGGTGTGTGAGTGTATGTGTACGTGTAGTTGAGAATTCTGTAAGGGAAAAAGAGGAGAGAGGGAGGGTGATAGGTAGTGCTTGAAAGTATGGACTTTTGCTGGGACCGGCAGTATCAACAGCACCTGGGAGCCAGTTAGAAAGGTGGAATTGAGGCCGGGCATGGTGGCTCATGCCTGTAATCCCAGCACTTTGGGAGGCCGAGGCGGGCGGATCACCTGAGGTCAGGAGTTTGAGATCAGCCTGGCCAACATGGTGAAACCCCATCTCTACTGAAAATACAAAAATTAGTTGGGCATTGTTGCACACGCCTGTACTCCCAGCTACTCGGAAGGCTGAGGCAGGAGAATCACTTGAACCCGGGTGGCGGAGGTTTCAGTCAGCCAAGATCGCGCCACTGTACTCCAGCCTGGGTGACAGAGTGAGACTCTGTCACACACACACACAAAAAAGTACGGACTCTCAGCCAGGCGTGGTGGCTCACACCTGTAATCCCAGTACTTTGGGAGGTCAAAGCAGGTGGATCACTTGAGCCGAGGAGCTTAAGACCTGCCTGGGTAACATAGTGAGACCCCATCTCTGTAATGATAGAAATAAATACAAATGTTTTTAAAACTACTGACCCAGGCTGGAAGCAGTGGCTCCTGCCTTGTAATCCCACCACTTTGGGAAGCCAAGGTGGGAGGATTGCTTAAGCCCAGGAGTTTGGACCAGCCTGGGCAACATGGTGAGACCTCATTCTACAAAAAAAAAAAAAATTAAAAAATCAGCTGGGCATGGTGGTGCATGCTTTTTGTTCTAGCTACTTGGGGTGGGAGGCTGAGGTGGGAGGCTTGCTTGAGCCCAAGAGGTCAAGGCTGCAGTGAGCTGTGATTGGGCCACTGTACTCCAGCCTGGGCAACAGAGCAAGACCCTGTCTCAAGAAAAGAAAAGAAATGGGAAGAGAAGGGGAGGGGAGGGGAAGTGGGGGCGGGGGAGTGATTCTGGAAACAGACTGCTGGAATTTTTTTTTTTTTTTGAGATGGAGTCTTGCTCTGTCGTCCAGGGTAGAGTGCAGTGGCACAATCTCAGCTCACTGCAACCTCTGCCTCCTGGGTTCAAGCAGTTCTTCTGTCTCAGCCTCCCAAGTAGCTGGGACCACAGCACCTGCCACCGCGCCTGACTAATTTTTGCATTTTTAGTAGAGATGGGGTTTTGCCATATTGGTCAGGCTGGTCTTGAAATCCTGGCCTCAGGCAATCCACCCGCCCCAGCTTCCCAAAGTGCTAGGATTACAGGGATGAGCCACCGCGCCCAGCCTGACTGCTGGAATTTGAACCTTGGGCCCACTACCAACCTGTGTAACCTTAGACAGATAAGTTACTTCACCTCTCTAGGCCTTGTTTTTGCCACCTGTAAAATGGACATAATAGTACCTACCTCATCAGGTTGTTGTGAGGAGTAAATGAATGAATCCGTGTCAAGTGCTTTGCTCAGGTGAGTTACCGCTTAGACAATGTTGGGGATGTGCTGAAGAGGAAGATGAGGTAGGTGATGTTGGCGGGCGGAGGAGCCTTGGAAGGCCTGGGCTCCAGGACAATCCCCACATTAGGAGAGAACCCAGGTTGGTTATTGCAGAGACTGTGGGTGAGAGAGAGGCAGGATGGATGACAGGAATATCCAGGCAGGGAGGGCCGGATGACTCACTCATTCACTTGTTTACACTTTTGTCTCTCACCTGCTTCCAGAAAGGCTTTGAAGTGGTTCATAATTAAAATGAAAGCCTCAGGTGCCTCAGCCTGCTGAGTCAGGAAAGACCGCGTCCTGGCTGGGGGGTGGCTTGGGCGAGGCTGGCACAGTGTGGCAGGTCCTGGGCTCACCTGGAGGGATCGGGGAGTGCAGAGTGAGGTGCAGAAGATGCCGGGGGAGAGGCCAAGGAAATAATGCAGACTGAGCCTTGACTCTGTGACCACCCAGCCCTGGGCCAGACAGAGAGGAGGTTTCATCTAAAGATTGGGCATCACCGGGTGCGGTGGCTCACGCCTGTAATCCCAGCACTTTGGGAGGCCGAGGCGGGTGGATCACCTGAGGTCAGGAATTCGAGACCAGCGTGGCCAACCTGGTGAAACCCAATCTCTATTAAAAATACAAAAATTAGCTGGGTGTGGTGGCGGATGCCTGTAATCCCAGCTACTCGGGAGGCTGAGGCAAGAGAATCACTTGAATCCTGGAGGCGGAGGTTGCAGTGAGCCGAGATCATGCCACTGCACTCCAACCTTGGCGACAAGGCAAGACGCCGTCTCAAAAAAAAAAAAAAAAAGAAAGAAAAAGAATAAAGATTGGGCATGTGTAGATTAAACCAGGGCATGTGGGAGAGAGGGGCACCAAGAAGTGGCCAGGAAAGGTCTATGGACTCTGGCTGGGCCATTGCCAGTATTTGCTCCATTGGCCGTCTTCGGGCACAGTTCATGCTGTTCAATATTGTTGGTGTCCAGGCCTGGGCCCTCCAGCTGCCAAGGCGCCAGTTTTCTCCTCCAGGAACCACCAACTTCTCTCCTCTGGAGGGAGAGCCTTTCCTCTCCAGGTCCGGATGCCTCTGGCCTCAGGCTGAAACACTTGGAGGAAATCCTGTCCAACCTCCTCCTCCCTACCCACCTTCTACCCCCACTCCTGTTCCAACAAGAGTTGGGCCCAACCTGGCCACCCTAATGCAGTCTGGGTGTCCTGGTGACCCATCTGCCTTTGTCTGGCAGCACAATGACGAGGAAGAAGTCCCCGGCCCCCACCCACTGGGAGTCCTTCTCAGGCCACCTGGGGGTCCAGCGCTTTGGCTGCCCCTCCCCCACACCACTTCCTGCCTCTTACCTTGAACATCCTGCCAGCCCCAGCCTCAGCTCAGCTCAGGTTTCCCTAGGAGCACGTTGACAGAGTCCCCACATCACACCAAGTTTTGGCAAGTCCAGCCCCACTCTGACAGACTTTCTGTCACACTTCCTTACAGCTACTTAAACTGCACTTTAGCATGTAATGGAATACCTTCCATTTAGGAAGGTGGAGGGGGTCTCCCCCAGGCAGGATTAAACATGATGACAGTTCCTAAAAGGAGGGGCTGGGATTTAGGCTAAAAAGGTAAGGCAGTCAGACCGGAGGGAGACGATCAGGAGCTTCAGGGCCAGCCTCTGCCAGCCTTGGGGGTGGGGCTGCTCAGGCAAGAGAGGAGGAACACAGGGCTTCTCTGCTGGGAGGACCCCGGCCTCCATCCCTGCTCTGCAGAAGGGAAACCCCACCTGAGGTCAAGGAAGGCGAGGTGGGAGGTAGCTGGACCAGAAAAGAAGGGAGCATCCGGGCTAGGAAGGCACTGGCCTGGGATCCTAAGCCCAGAGGCGGTCAGGCTGGGGAAGGAGAGGGAAGGGGAAAGGCAGGAGGTGCCTGGACAGATAACCATTGGGCCATAGGCTGGATAAAGGCGTTTGTATAGTCTGAGGTGCATCTATGTGGGTTGCAAAATTCCCTGTTATAAGGAGGAATCATGGGCTGCAAGGAGCAAAAACTTAGACTTGCTTAACAAAAAGCGGGGTGCTTCCTGGAAGGAAACAGGGTCTTGTCACAGTCTCGAAGTTGCAGAGTTAGAAGTGGACCTTCTAAGGGCCTAGATCTAGGAGCTTGACAGTGATAAACTGGAGTTGCTCTCCTCAACTCTCTTTCAAGCTTTCCCAGTTGCCTGCCATTCTCCTGTCTACCCTACCCCCATACTCCTGACTGGCTTCATTTGCCTCTGTCTGCATTGTGCAGTAGATAGTTGTCATTTTGAAGTGACTCAGCATCTATACCCCTTCCTAACAGCACCCAATTTCCGATGGAAGACTATTGTTAACTGTACCTGGGATTCTGTTTTTATTCAGGTATAGTGAGGCTAACAGATCAGGAGATGATTGCTGTTGAAAAGATAATTTGTGCGGGGCACAGTGACTCATGCCTGTAATCCCAGCACTTTGGGAGGCCGGGGTGGGCAGATCATGAGGCCAGGAGCCTCCTGGACCATCACAGACGCTTTGGATAACTCTTACAGTGGAAGGTAAGTCCATCCCCTTCTTAATCAATATGGAGGCTACCCACTCCACATTACCTTCTTTTCAAGGGCCTATTTCCTTGCCTCCATAACTGCTGTGGGTATTGACGGCCAGGCTGCTAAACCTCTTAAAACTCTCCAACTCTAGTGCCAACTTGGACAACATTCTTTTTTTTTTTTTTTTTTGAGACGGAGTCTCGCTCTGTTGCCCAGGTTGGAGTGCAGTGGCGGGGTCTTGGCTCACTGCAAGCTCCGCCTCCTAGGCTCATGCCATTCTCCTGCCTCAGCCTCCCGAGTAGCTGGGACTACAGGCGCCCACCACCATGCCTATTTTTTTTTTTTTTTTTGTATTTTTAGTAGAGACGGGGTTTCACCGTGTTAGCCAGGATGGTCTCCATCTCCTGACCTCGTGATCCAACTGCCTCGGCCTCCCAAAGTGTTGGGATTACAGGCGTGAGCCACAGCAGCCGGCCAGACAACATTCTTTTAAACACTCCTTTTTAGTTATCCCCACCTGCCCAGTTCCCTTATTAGGCCGAGACATCTTAACCAAATTATCTGCTTCCCTGACTATTCCTGGACTACAGCCACATTTCATTGCTGCCCTTCTTCACAACCCAAAGCCTCCTTCATGTCTTTCTCTTGTATCCTGCCACCTTAACCCACAGGTATGGGGACACCTCTACTCCCGTCCTGGCAACTGATCACATGCCCATTACTATCCCATTAAAACCTAATCACCCTTACCCTGCTCAACACCAGTATCCCATCCCACAACAGGCTTTAAGGGGATTGAAGCCTGTTATCACTCGCCTGCTACAGCATGGGCTACTAAAGCCTACAAACTCTCCTTACAATTCCCCCATCTTACCTGTCCAAAAACCGGACAAGTCTTACAGGTTGGTTCAGGATCTGTGCCTTATTAACCAAATTGTTTTGCCTATCCACCCTGTGGTGCCCAACCTGTACACTCTTTTGTCCTCAATACCTCCCTCCACAACTCACTATTCCATTCTTGATCTTAAAGACACTTTTTTCATGATTCCCGTGCACCCCTTGTCCCAGCCCCTCTTTGCTTTTACCTGGACTGACCCTGAAACCCATCAGTCCCAGCAACTTACCTGGGCTTTACTGCCACAAGGCTTCTGGGACAGCCCTCATTACTTCAGCCAAGCCCTTTCTCATGATTTACTTTCTTTCCACCTCTCTGCTTCCCACCTTATTCAATACATTGATGACTTTCTACTCTGTAGTCCCTCCTTTGAGTCTTCTCAACAAGATACCCTCCTGCTCCTTCAACATTTATTCTCCAAAGGACATCAGTTATCCCCCTCCAAAGCTCAAATTTCTTCCCCATCCATTACCTACCTCAGCATAATTCTTCATGAAAACACGCATGCTCTCCCTGCCAATCATGTCTGGCTGGTCTCTCAAACCCCAACCCCTTCTACAAAACAACAACTCCTTTCCTTCCTGGTCGTGGTCGGATACTTTCGCCTTTGGATACCTTGTTTTGCCATCTGATTAAACCATTATATAAACTCACAAAAGGAAACCTAGTTGACCCCATAGATCCTAAATTCTTTCCCCACTCCTCTTTACATTCCTTAAAAACAGCCCTAGCAGCTGCTCCCATACTAGCTCTCCCTAACTCATCCCAACCCTTTTTCATTACACACAGCTGAAGTGCAGGGCTGTGCAGTTGGAATTCTTACACAAGAGCCAGGACCACACCCTGTAGCCTTTCTGTCCAAACAATTTGACCTTACTGTTTTAGGCTGGCCCCCACATTATTCCAGATACCACACCTTACCCCCATGACTGTATCTCTCTGATCCCCCTGACATTCACTCCATTTCTGCATATTTCATTCTTTCCTGTTCCTCACCCTAATCACATTTGGTTTATTGATGGCAGTTCCACCAGGCCTGATTGCCACTCACCAGCAAAGGCAGGCTATGCTATAGTATATTCCATATCTCATTGAGGCTACTTCTCTGCCCACCTCCACTACCTCTCAGCAAGCTGAACTCATTTCCTTAACTTGGGCCTTCACTCTTGCAAAAGGACTATGCATCAATATTTATATTGACTCTAAATATGCCTCCCATATCTTGCACCACCATGCTGTCATATGTGTTGAAAGAGGTTTCCTCACTATGCAAGGGTTCTCCATCATTAATGCCTCTTTAATAAAAACTCTTCTCTAGGCCGCTTTACTTCCAAAGGAAGCTGGAGTCATTCACTCCAAGGGTCATCAAAAGGCGTCAGATCCCATCTCTCAGGGCAATGCTTATGCTGACAAGGTAGCTAAAGAAGCTGCTGGCGTTCCAACTTCTGTCCCTCATGGCCAGTTTTTCTCCTTCTCATTGGTCACTCCCACCTACTCTCCCACTGAAACTTCCACCTATCAATATCTTCCCACACAAGGCAAATGGTTCTTGGACCAAGGAAAATATCTCCTTCCAGCCTCACAGGCCCATTCTATTCTGTCGTCATTTCATAGCCTCTTCCATGTAGGTTACAAACCGCTAGCCTATCTCTTAGAACCTCTCATTTTCTTTCCATCGTGGAAATCTATCCTCAAGGAAATCACTTCTCAGTGTTCCATCTGCTATTCTACTACTCCTCAGGGATTGTTCAGGCCCCCTCCCTTCCCTCCACATCAAGCTCGGGGATTTGCCCCCGCCCAGGACTGGCAAATTGACTTTACTCACCTGCTTCGAGTCAGGAAACTAAAATACCTCTTGGTCTGAGTAGACGCTTTCATTGGATGGATAGACACTTTCACTTCACAGGGTCTGAGAAGGCCACCTCCGACATTTCTTCCCTTCTGTCAGACATAATTCCTTGGTTTGGCCTTCCCACCTCTGTACAGTCTGATAACAGACCAGCCTTTATAGTCAAATCACCCAAGCAGTTTCTCAGGCTCTTGGTATTCAGTGGAACCTTAATACCCTTTACCATCCTCAATCTTCAGGAAAGGTAGAATGGACTAATGGTCTTTTAAAGACACACCTCACCAAGCTCAGCCTCCAACTTAAAAAGGACTGGACAGTACTTTTACCTCTTGCCCTTCTCAGAATTAGAGCCTGTCCTCCAGATGCTACAGGGTACAGTCCATTTGAACTTTTATATGGATGCACCTTCTTGCTCGGCCCCAGCCTCATCCCAGACACCAGCCCTCTAGGCGACTATTTTCCTGTCCTTCAGCAGGCTAGACAGGAAATTCACCAGGCTGCTAATCTTCTCTTGCCTACTCCGGATTCCCAGCCATATAAAGACACCCTAGCTGGACGATCAGTTCTTGTTAAGAATCTGACCCCTTAAACTCTACAAGCTTGATGGACTGGACCCTACTTAGTCATCTATAGTACCCCAACTGCCGTCTGCCTGCAGGACCCTCCCCATTAGGTTCACTGATCCAGAATAAAGCTGTGTCCATCAGACAGACAGCCTGATCTCTCCTCTTCCTCCTGGAAGTCACAAGTTCTCTCCCCTACTTCCCTTAAGCTCACTCGCATTTCTGAAGAACAGTAATAACCCTTACGAGCCTAATACATCCCTTCATTCTATTAGGTCTATTCGTCCTTACCCTACTTTTTGCAACAGGGCTTTACACAGTCACCCCCAATACTTGGACTGTGCCCCAAAAACTTGTCATCCCTACTGTCTTCTGTCTAGTCATACTCTTATTCACCATTCTCAACTACTCATAAATGCCTTGCCCCTGTTTACACTGCCGGTTTACATTTTTCCTCCAAACCATCATAATGGACATCTTCTGGTACTATCCCCAAACTGCCACTTTAACTCCCTCTTGGAGTGGGTAGATGATCTTTGCTGGCAGGGCACCCTCCAATACTTTCACCCTGATGAAGTACTATTCTTTACTTTTATACTCACTCTTATTCTCTTTCCTGTTCTTATGCCACTCTCTACCTCTCCCCAGCTATCTCCACAACACTATCAGCCTCACTCACTCTCTGCAAGCCGTTTCTAATCCTTCTTTAACAAACAGTTGCTGGCTTTGCATTTCTCTTTCCTCCAAAACCACCAAGGCCTCGACTTACTCACTGCTAAAAAAAAAAAAAAAAAAAAAGGAGGACTCTATGTTTTTAAATGAAGAGTGTTGTTTTTACCTAAATCTGGCCTGGTATATGACAACATAAAAAAACTCAAGGACAGAGCCCAAAAACTCAGCAACCAAGCAAATAATTATGCTAAACTCTCTTGGACACTCTCTAATTGGATGTCCTGGGTACTCCCAATTCTTAGACCTTTAATACCTACTTTTCTCCTTCTTTTATTCAGACCTTGTGTTTTCTGTTTAGTTTCTCAATTCATACAAAACTGCACCCAGGCCATCACCAATCATTCTATACAACAAATGCTCCTGACAACCACACAATATCACCCCTTATCCCCAAAATCTTTCTTCAGTTTAATCTCTCCCACTGTAGGTTGCCACGCTGCCCCTAATCCCCTCAAAGCAGCCCTGAGAAACATCGCCCATTATCTCTCCATACCACCCCCAAAATTTTTGCTGCCCTAACACTTCACCACTATTTTGTTTTGTTTTTCATATTAATATAAGAAGATAGGAGTGTCAGGCCTCTGAGCCCAAGCTAAGCCATCATATCCCCTGTGACCTGCACATATACATCCAGATGGCCTGAAGCAACTGAAGATCCACAAAATAAGTGAAAATAGCCAGTTCCTGCCTTAACTGGTGACATTCCACCATTGTGATTTGTTCCTGCCCCACCCTAACTGATCAATTAACTTTGTGACAATACACCTTCCCCACCCTTGCAATAATGTACTTTGTGATATTCCCCTGCCCTTGTGAAGGTACTTTGTAGGATACACCCTCCCCACCCTTAAGAAGGTACTTTGTAATATTCTCCCCGCCCTTGAGAATGTACTTTGTAAGATCCAACCCCTGCCTGCAAAAAATTGCTCCTAACTTCACTGCCTATCCCAAACCTATAAGAACTAATGATAATCCCACCACCCTTTGCTGAGTCTCTTTTTGGACTCAGCCCACTTGCACCCAAGTGAAATAAACCGTCTTGTTGCTCACACAGAGCCTCTTGGTGGTCTCTTTACACGGACGTGCATGAAAGCCAGTGCATAGGCAGAACACCAGCATGGGCTGCTCACTGGCTATTTTTATGGTTATTTCTTCATTATACGCTAAACAAGGGGTGGATTATTCATGAATTTTCCAGGAAAGGGGTGGACAACTCCCAGAACTGAGGTTTCTTCTCCTTTTTAGACCATATAGGGGAACTTCCTGACGTTGCTATGGCATTTGTAAATTGTCATGGTGCTGGTGGGAGTGTCTTTTAGCAAGCTAATGCATTATAATTAGCATATAATGGGCAGTGAGGATGTCCAGAGGTCACTTTCATGGCCATCTTGGTTTTGGTGGGATGTGGCTGGCTTCTTTACCACATGCTGTTTTATCAGCAAGGTCTTTGTGACCTGTGTCTTGTGCCAACCTCCTCTCTCATCCTGTGACTAAGAATCCTACTGAGAATGTAGTCCAGGAGGCCTCAGCCTTATTTTACTCAGCCCCCATTCAAGATGGAGTTTCTCTGGTTCAAATGCCTCTGACAGTTGCCTGCTACCTGGCCCTGGAATGACTAAGGGAGAGGATTATTGCCCGATAGATTGTAAGAGTCAGACAGAAGAGGTGGTGAACAGTATGGGCTCTGGATTGGTTCATTTGCATATGAAAGGCATACTCCCCAGCTAGGTGAGTCCCTGGCTCTCTCTAAGAATCAGCTAGGCTGAGTAGGGGCACTCCATCTCCATTCAGCTAGGCCTCAGATGCCAGAGTATCAAGAACACAGAAAATAAGACAATATATTAATGCGGGGAGACCTGACCCTCTCACACTGGATGTGACCTGTGTGGGATGGTAAATCCAGGCATTTTCCTGCCTCCACAGAACCAGAGGGATGGGAACAAAGCTGGAGCTGTGAATGCTCTTCCTTTCCATGGTGTTTAAGATTTTATCTTTTTTTGCTTTTTTTGACAGAGTCTTGCTCTGTCACCCAGGCTGGAGTGCAGAGGTGTGATCATGGCTCACTGTAGCCTTGACCTCCTGGGCTCAGGTGATCCTCCCACCTTAGCCTCCTGAATAACTGGGACTACAAGTGTGCTACTGATACAGAACAGCTGGGCTCCCACCTAAACTGCACCCTCAAGCCTCAAACCTCGGCCCTAAGTGAAAACAGCTGACCCCGCTTTTCCATCCAAATGATTGCCTTTTTGGCCTGCCATGCCCCTATCCTGTGCCCATAAAAACCAGACCAGCTGGCAGAAGAAAAGAGCAACACAAGTGGCTGATGCATATTGTTGGGGATGCAAGCTGCTGAGCCTTGGGGATGTAAGTGGCTGAGTGGCAAGCAGAGGAGCAAGCAACTGAGCATCGGAGACTACAGATAGACACAGCTAACTTCAGACAGTGTGGCTTCAGGGAAAGATCACCTTCTTCTTTTCCAGCTCCCCTTCCATCAGGAGCCACTTCCACTGCTCAATAAAGCTTTCTGCATTCATCATCTTTCAAACAATTCGTGTGACCTGATTCTTCCCGGACACCGAGCCAGAACTTGGCTGTCAAAAAGGGCAGGTGCAGGAGGCTGTCACCCTGACCCTTCACTGAGCTGTTAACACTTAGCCATCCATGGACTGCAGGCTAAGTGAAAGGAGCCACTCCAGTTCCTGCCCATGAAGGGGGTCAAGGTCAAGGGAAAGAATCCTGTCTCACTACCATGCTTAGCTAATTTTTGTATTTTTTGTAGAGATGGAGTTTCACCATGTTGCTCAAGCTCGTCTCAAACTCCTGGGCTCAAGTGATCCACCAACCTCCCTAATCAGATTTGTTCTTAAGGAAATGAAAACTTAATTTTTCAAAATGTGAAAAAGACCATCTTGTGCCCTACCCCCCACCCCCTCAGCTCCTGCAGCACAAGTGCCCAGCACACCACTGTTTGTGGGATGCACTCCACACAGGCATCTCACCTACAGCTACAGGCTGGGAGGGAACCCCTGCACCAACAGCCCGGGTCATGGCATCCTCTAGTATTACTATTCCAAAACCCTCAAAGATAAGCCACTCTTACCCTACATGAGGTACAGCAGAAATGTCTGGGCCAGAGTCAAGGCTTCCAATACGGACCTGAAATTGATGGAAATTGGCAAGATTATTGGTGGAATGTGGGGAGTTGTCACTGATGAAGAAAAACAAGAATATTTAAATGAATATGAGGTAACAAAGATAGAGTACAATGACTCTATGAAGGTCTATCATAATTCCCCCACACATTTTGCTTACATAAATGCAAAAAATTTATGCAGAAGATATTTTATTTTATTTTATTTTTTGAGACAGTCTCACTCTGTCATTCAGGCTGGAGTGCAGTGGCAGGGTTAGGGCTCACTGCAACCTCCACCTCCTGGCTTCAAGCTATTCTCCTGCCTCAGCCTCCTGAGTAGCTGGGATTACAGGCATGCACCTGCATGCCCAGCTAATCTTTTGTATTTTTAGTAGAGATGGGGTTTTGCCATGTTGGCCAGGCTGGTCTTGAACTCCTGGCCTCAAGTGATCCACCCGCCTCGGCCTCCCAAAGCGCTGGGATAACAGATATGAGCCACCACATCTAGCCGTAGAAGCTGCTTTAGAGGAAAGAATTTGACAGAGGCCGTCTCACATGGAGAAAGGAGAAAGCTTCTCCTTTTGATAATACCAAATGCTGGCGAGGATACGGAGCAACAGGAACTCTCATTCATTGCTAGTGGGAATGCAAAATGGTTTGGCTACTTTGAAAGACAGTTTGGCAGTTTCTTGCAAAACTAAACATACTCTTACCATTCAATGCAGCAGTTGTACTCCTTGGTATTTACCCGAATGAGTTGAAAATTTATGTCCATACAAAAAATCTACACATGGATGTTTATAACAGCTTTATTCATAATTGCCAAAACTTAGAAGTAATGAAGATGTTTTTCAGTAGGTGAATAGATAAATAAACCTCCAGACAATGGACTACTACTTGGCAGTAAAAAGAAACACACTATCAAGACATGAAAAGACATGAAGGAAACATATTCATATCACTAAATGAGAGAAGGTGATCTGAAAAGGACTGCATCCTATATGATTCCAACCATATGACATTTTAGAAAAGGCAAGACCACGAAGACAGTAAGAAGATCAGTGGTCACCTGGGATCACCAGGGATTAGGAGGGTTGAAGGGATGAATAGAGCACAGAGGATGTTTAAGGCAGTGAAAATACTCCGCATGATACTATAATGATGTATACCTTTCATTACACATTTGTCCAAATCCATAGAATGTGCAATGCCAAGAGTGACCTTGATGAAAATTCTTGACTTTCAGTGATAATGGTGTGCTAATGTAGATTCATTCACTGTAACAAATGTACCACCATGGTACTGAATGTTGATAGTGGGAATGCTGGAGGGGACAGGAATGTGAGGGAACTCTGTACTTTCTGCTCAGTTTTGCTGAGAACCTAAAATTACTCTTTAAAAGTCTGTTAAACAGGCCGGGTGTGGCGGCTCATGCCTGTAATCCCAGCACTTTGGAAGGCCAAGGCGGGTGGATCACCTGAGGTCAGGAGTTCAAGACCAGCCTGGCCAACATGGCAAAACCCCGTCTCTACTAAAAAGACAAAAATTAGCCAGATATGATGGCATGTGCCTGTAATCCCAGCTACTTGGGAGGCTGAGGCAGGAGAATTGCTTGAACCCAGGAGGCAGAGGTTGCAGTGAGCCGAGATTGTGCCACTGTACTCCAGCACGGGTGACAGAGTGAGACTCCGTCTCAAAAAAAAAAAAAAAACCTGTTAAATAAATAAATAAGCCATCATCATAAACATCTAGATCTTCAGCAGGCTGAGAGCTCTACAAACAAAACAAAACAAAACAAAACAAAAACCCAAGGAGTACAATTGCTGAATTATGTGGTAAGAGTACATCTAATTTTGCAAGAAACTTTCAAACTGCCTTGCAGCCTCCTCAGGAGGCTGAGGCAGGAGAATCACTTGAAACCGGAAGGCGGAGATTGCAGTGAGCCAAGATCATGCCACTGCTCTCCAGCCTGGGCAAAAGAGCGAAACTCCGTCTAAAAAAAAAAAAGAGAGACAAGATCTTGCTCTAATGCCCAGGCTGGGGTGCAGTGGCATGATCTCAGCATGGGGAGCATGACATTGGCTCGCTGCAACCTCCGCCTCCCAGGTTCAAGTGATTCTCCTGCCTCAGCATCCTGAGTAGCTGGGATTACAGGCACGCGCCACCATGCCTGGCTAATTTTTGTATTTTTAGTAGAGACGGGGTTTCACCATTTTGGCCAGGCTGGTCTTGAACTCCTGACCTCAGGTGATCACCAGCCTTGGCCTCCCAAAGTGCTGGGATTACAGGCATGAGCCACCATGCCTAGCTAAAGTTGTCTAGTTTTATGTGTTCTAAATATGTTTATAAATGGAAAAAAAGTTTTTTGAGTGAAGGGAGAAAAATACAGGCAGACTCCTCTCACCATCGCCATATATCCAGGTTTGGGCACCTGAGTGAAGTTTGACTGGTCAGATGCTCTTGCCCAAGACTATGAGTCCCACAGGAAAGACACAGAAGAGGGAGAAATGGATGGAGGTCATTCACCCAGCAGTGGGGGCCTGACCAGACTATTCTGACTATTCTGGTGTGAGTCTGTTCCATTGCTCCTCCTCCTTTCTGGCCCCCTGGTTCTCTGGCTTTCAGAGACTACTTCCAATACATTCCATTTTGCTTAAGTTATCCATTTACATTAATATTGGTTTCTGTTGCTTGCAATCAGGAAACCTAACTGAAACATGTCAGCCACTATTCAACATTTTCTTCCAGTGCAATGATGACAAGCTGGAGTTGCTTATCCCAACTTCAAATTCCTGGGAGAACCAATCTGATTGGCCAGCTTGAGTGGGATCTCCACTGCTGGTCCAATCAGCCTGGCTTCCAAGGAAGGCAAGGTCACATGACGCTAATAAGGCTAATGGGAGGCTGGCAGGGCAGTATCCACATTTGGTTATGCAGGCTGTGCAGTGGATAACTCCAAGGGTCCCATTCACATGAGAGACACTGTAAATACCTGTATTCATAATGAAACCACTTTAGCAGATGGCAATAAAGTATGCTGAGAAAGTACACTTTTTCCTAACACTCATATAAGTATTCCACAGGATAGCGGTGACCCCAGGCTGGGCCCACTCCTCAGGAGGCTGAGGCAGGAGAATCACTTGAAACCGGAAGGCGGAGGTTGCAGTGAGCCGAGATCATGCCACTGCACTCCAGCCTGGGCAGGAAAGGTGTTTGGTAGGCAGTTCTTAGAGAAGATAGCAAAGGTTGGGTATGTCCCAATGCTGTGTTCCACATGTCACACATAGCGGGGTGGGTCTGGTGGCCTTGATGTCTGGAGCACACATACCATATCCTCTTAATGTGCAGTAACTGGCTATGAGGCACCCAATGTTTAGAAAGTAGCTCAAGGCTTTAAAATGAAAGAGCATAAGACATGGACAAGCCAGGCCCTGCTCAAGGAATTTAGAGCTGCTGTACAGACCAATCTCAGCCAAACCCACCAAAAGGTTTATCTTCTCTGTAGCTACCTTAAAAAAGGTTCATTCATTCAATGAATTGCTGTGTGTCAGTTCTGTGTTATGGGCTGGGAGGAGAACAGGAATAAGAGTCAGGGTTGGGGCCAGGTGCGGTGGCTTATGCCTGTAATCCCAGCACTTTGGGAGGCCAAGGTGGGCAGATCCACTGAGGTCAGGTGTTCAAGACCAGCCTGGTCAACATGGTAAAATGCCGTCTCTACTAAAAATACAAAAATTAGCCGGGTGTGGTAGCACATACCTGCAATCCCAGCTACTCGGGAGGCCGAGGCAGGAGAATCGCTTGAACCCGGGAGGCAGAGGTTGCAGTGAGCCAAGATTGTGCCACTGCACACAAGCCTGGGAGAAAGAGTGAGATTCCGTCTCAAAAACAAAACAAAACAAAACAAAACACAACAACAACAAACGAGTCAGGGTTGCTGGGCGCAGTGGTTCACACCTGTAATCCCAGCACTTTGGGAGCTGAGGCAGGAGGATCACCTGAGGTCAGGAGTTCAAGACCAGCCTGGCCCACATAGCAAAACCCCATCTGTACTAAAAATACAAAAAATAGCTGGGTGTGGTGGCACTTGCCTGTAATCCCAGCTACTCAGGAGGCTGAGGCACAAGAATTGCTTGAACCTGAGAGGTGGAGGTTGCAGTGAGCCAAGATTGTGCCACTGCACTCCAGCTTGGGTGACAGAGTGAAACTATATCTCAAAAAAACAAAAACAAAAACAAGGAAAAAAGAGTCAGGGTCTAGTCTAGTAGGGGAGACAGTCATGGAGCAAATATTTCCTAAGTGATGGGTGTTCTGCCCAGGGTATTGGGAGACTGCTGGCACAATAAAAGGATCAGACTTATCTAGACGTCAGGAAAAACCGAAGAGTGAGTAAAATACAGCCAAGTAAAAAGTGAGGTAGAGGAAGTGGGATTTACTTAAGCTATAAGGCAAGTTCCTGTTAGAAACTAAAAAATGCAATGTGTCAGATAAGGTAGAAGTTCTTTCTGTCTCCCATAATGGTCTAGAGGAGGATAGGGGTTCAAGACCAGTGGCGGCCTGGCTCCAGGAAGGCAGACCAAAATAACAGTGGATGACCCAAGACAGAGATGTACTTCTCTTTTCCACGTAGAGGTCCAGAGGTAGAGAGGGCAGGTTTGGTGCAGAAACTGCTCCATGAAGTTCTCAGGAACCGTATCTACCAGGGCTCAACCAGGGAAGTAGAACCACTGCAAATATCATGGAATGAATGATTATTATAGGAATGAGATTTTACACAATTGTTGGAGGAGACGGAGAAGTAGAGGTCACAAAGGGAGTTGTAGGATGGTGGGAAAATCACTTATCGGCCCTTGGAAAGCACTGGTTGGGGGTGGAGGGGAGACAAGCTGGAGCTTGCTGGAAAATGAGGAAGATAAGTTTATCTTGCTTCCTGCAGTGGAAGAGAGAAAGGGAGCCACTGTAAAAAGTCAACAGAAGATTGTTGCTTCTTCATAGATTCTACTTCTGTGAGTTCTCACCTGGTGTCTAGTGGTAGGCCTCTGCTGGTGATAAGAGATGTCAGTGAGGAAAAAGAGCTGATCACAGAGTCGGGAAGAAGAGTAAGAACGAAGTAGAGACCAGGTGCAGTGGCTTATGCCTGTAACACAGCACTTTGGGAGGCCGAGGTGGGAGGATCACTTGAGCCGAGAAGTTTGAGAACAGCATGGGCAACAAAGTGAGACCTCGTCTCTACCAAAATAAAAACAAAAAAATTAGCCAGGCATTTTGGTGCCCGCCTGTGGCCCCAGCTAAACAGAAGCCTGAGGCAAGAGGATCGCTTGAGCCCAGAAGGTCAAGGGTGCAGTGAGCCATGTTCATGCCCCTGCACCCCAGCCTGGGCAACAGAGTAAAACCCTGTCTCAAAACAAACAAACAAACAAACCAAAACAGTTGGAACTCTGGAACCTTTGCATTGCTCTCTCACTGCCTGTAGCCATGACAACCTTCAGAAGCATAAAACCTTCAGACTTGCTTTACTTCTAACTTCCAAATCTTGAGCAAATTTCCTTAGGCCAACTCCAACCCAGAACCATGCAGGGAAGGGTATTCTGGGAAAAGTAGTCTCAACTTAACCAAGGCGACACAATACAAAACCACCACGAGGACCCAGACCCTGTAGTTCACCACTTGACATCCCCTCCTCCTGCTAATTCCTCCACTTTGTGCCTACATAAGGGAGGAGTCAGCCTTGGGAAGTGGTATTTCAGGAGCAGCAGAACCTGGAGACCCAACAGGTTCATCCAAAGGCACATCCTCTTCTGCTTAAGTAAACTGGGAGGGAAGGGATAGGAGAGGAGGTTGAGGGTGTGGCAGAATTAGACCCAGATAGTAACTCTCTCCCCAGATACCTATCACCAGCCAAGAGAATGACACATCCAGAGTAATATGAGCTCAGAAAGAAAAATAATACATCCAAATAATGTAATCCTTTTAAAAGAGGACCCCGAAAATGAAGAACCTATATGAGAGGAAGCGGAATTAATGGACCAGTGAGAACAAGAATTTAAAATAATCCTTATAGGCTGAGCACGGTGGCTCACGCCTGTAATCCCAGCACTTTGGGCTACCAAGGCGGGCAGATTGCCTGAGCTAAGGAGTTTGAGACCTGCCTGGGCAACATGGTGAAAACCTGTCACTACAAAAAAATTTTAAAAAAATTAGCCGGGTGTGGTGGCACACCCCTGTAGTCCTAGCCACCTGGGGCTGAGGTGGGAGGATCACTTGAGCCTGGGAAGTTGAGGCTGCAGTAAGCTGAGATTGCACCACTGCAATCCAGCCTGAGTGACAGACCAAGCCCCCATCTCTGAAAAATAAATAAGTAAATAAAATAAAATAATCAAAATAAAATTCTTCTAGGAAATAATGGAGAATGTTACACATTTTAAAAAAATTATTATCTAATTTTTTTTATACAGAAAGGGTTTCTCTCTGTCATACAGGCAGGAATGCAGTGGCACAGTCATAGCTCACTGAAGCCTCAAACTCCTGGGCTTAAAGGATCCTCTTGCATCAGCCTCAAGTACCTGGGACTACAGGCAGGTGCCACCATGCCTGGCTAAAGTATATTGTAAATTTGAAATAGGATGAGACTGTATAAAAAAGTTAACAAGTGTAAAAAATATAATAGCTGAAAGAAGGAAGGCAATATACAAGTTGAATAGTGAAATAGATTCAGACTAAGAATGAATTCATAAACTAGAAGATAAGGATGGCGAACTCTCCCAGAAATTATCAGGAAGAGATAAGAAGATGAAAGATATAAGGCTAAAGTTATTAAATATGGAAGATATATAGTTAAAATGGGAGTTCCAGAAGAGAAGAGGGATGAGAAACCTGGAAGGAAATGCTTTAAAAAATAATGAAAAAAAGAATTCCGAAGAATCCTAAAATTTCCCAGAATTAGAGAAAAGTGTAAGATTTCAGACAGAATATCAACAAGATAGATTTGGAAAAATACTTAACACATTAAAGAAAAATTTAAGAGAGACAAAAATTCCAAAAGCTTCTCAAGAATTAAGACATACAAGCAAGAAAACAAACATAAAAAGAAATCCCCATATGCCATTCATTAGGAACAAGTATCATACTGATATTAGTTTTTTCAATAGCAATGCCTGATACAAGAAAAAGAACTTTAGAACTAGAATTTTTATATCCAGCTAAACTATAATTCTGGTACAAAACTAGAAAGAAAGATGTTCTCAAGCTTTCAAGTTCTCAGAAGATTTACTACCTAAAGACCCTCTTTGAAAAACACTTTCGGGCTGGGCATGGTGGCTCACGCCTATAATCCCAGCACCTTGGGAGGCTGAAGTGGGTGGATCTCTTGAGGCCAGGAGTTCAAGAGCAGCCTGGCCAACATAGTGAAACCCTGTCTCTACTAAAAATACGGGTGTGGTGGTGTGCACCTGTAATCCCAGCTACTCAGGAGGCTGAAGCACAAGAATCACTTGAACCTGGGAGGCGGAGTCTGCAGTAAGCCAATGCACTCCAGCCTGGGTAACAGAGCGAGACTCCATCTCAAAAAAAAAAAAAGAAAGAAAGAGAAACTAATAAGAAAGGAAAACACTTTTGGAGGAAGTTCATTAGCAAGAAGAGAATTAAATCTCAGACGACACTACAAGATATGGGAATGAAGGGTGACTAAAGTACTTAGAAACATATATGGTAGTATAAGTAAGTCTAAAAAAACCCTGTATTCATCATTAGCATTGAAATTCTAGATGAAACAACATGATAGAACTGTGTGTGTGGAAGTGAGTGGACTGAAGTCCAGTGGGAGGTGAGCACTTGCTTTTTTGGTTAGAAAGATATAGCTATAAATAAGCTCAAAATTGATGAGGATAAATATACATAAACATGGTTATAATAAGCTAGGAGTGACACCCAGAAGAATAAAAATAAAATGTATAATTTTCAAACCAACAAAAGAAAATTCTATTTATGCAATAAAAGTATGAAAGAAGAATAAAGGGAAAAATTAGATATTGAAAATAGGAAATAAGATGGTTGATAGGAGACTGACTATAACAGCAAATGAAATAAGTGTAAATGGGTTAAATTTATAAATAAAAAGAAAAAATAATCTCTTACATTAAAAAATGTATTGAATTAAAATATAGTATTATTTTAAAAGGGGATACAGAAAGGTTGCAAATAGACAAAAAAAAAAAAAGATAAACCAAAATATTAACCAAAAAAAGCCATTGTTGCAGCTTTCATGTCAGATCAAAAAGATTTTAAGGGTTGGGCACGGTGGCTCATGCCTGTATTCCCAACACTTTGCGAGGCCAAGGTGGGTGGATCACTTGAGGCCAGGAGTTCAAGACCAGCCTGGCCAATACGGTGAAACCCTGTCTTTACTAAAAATTAGCTGGATGTGGTGGTGGGCACCTGTAATTCCAGCCCCTTGGGAGGCTGAGGCAGGAGAATCGCTTGAACCTGGGAGGCAGAGGTTTCAGTGAACTGAGATGGCGCCACTGCACTCCAGCTTGTGTGACACAGCGAGATGCTGTCTCAAAAAACAAACAAACAAAATCAAACAGGACTTAGAGGAAAATTTCGGCTTCAAGTATATTTATCAGAAAATATAAAGAATAGTAACAAACGAGCTGAGTATTTAATGCAAGAAGCCAAAAAAGTAGCAGAAACATACACAAATGAAGAAAATAATAAAGATAAGAGAAAATCAATCAAATTGAAAATTACAACAAAAAATGTAAAAGGTTAATAAAACTAATACCTGCTTCTTTGAATAGATTGACAAGATATGGAATGTCTGAAAGACTGAACAAGAAAAAAGAACATGCCAATAAACTAAGAAAAAAGCAAGTAAACTAAATAAAAAACAAAGTAGGGGAAACAAGTACAATCACAGTAAAGATTACAAAAATAGTAAAACCAGTTAATACACTGTGGTATAGATTAGAGATGTAAATAATCTAGTGGGACAGAATAAAGAGCCTGGAAAAAGACCCATGTGTAAGTGGATACACACTAAATAACAGAGGTGACAGCAACAACAAAAAAGGAAAAACATTACTCAACTAATTTTACAACACGAGTATAACCTTGATTCTAAAACTGATAAGGGTAGTATAAGATAAAGAAAAGACAGACTCATTTTACTTATAAACACAGATACAAAAACTATATGTAAGTGCAAACCAAATCCAATATCGCATTTAAAAATATATCATGATCATATAAAAGAATCAAATGATGTTCTTTGCAGCAAGATGGATGCAGCTAGAGGCCATTATCCTAAGTGAATTAATGCAGACACAGAAAACCAAATACTGCATGTTCTCACTTATAAGTGGGAGCTAAACCCTGGATACATATGGACAAAAAGATGGAACAATAGACACTGGGGACTCAAAAAGGTGATCCACCTGCCTTGGCCTCCCAAAATGCTGGGATTATAGGCATGAGCCACCACACCCAGCCTCAGAATTTTTTTTTTTTTTTTTTGATCAAGATGGGCCGGAGGATGGGAGTTTGAGGTTTAAGGCTGCAGTGAGCTATGGTTACACCTCTGCATTCCAGCCTGGGTGACAGAGTGACACTGAGTCTCTTAAAAAAATAAAGGGGAGCCGGGCATAGTGGTTCATGCCTGTAATCCCAGCACTTTGGGGGGCCGAGGAGGGTGGATCACGAGGTCAAGAGATTGAGACCATCCTGGCCAATATGGTGAAAGCCCATCTCTACTAAAAATACAAAAAATAGCTGGGCGTGGTGGTATGAGCCTGTAGTCTCAGCTACTTGGGAGGCTGAGGCAGGAGAATTGCTTGAACCGGGGAGGCAGAGATTGCAGTGAGCTGAGATTGAGCCACTGCACTCCAGCCTAGAGACAGAGACTCTGTCTCAAAAAAAAAAAGCTGTAAAAGAATTTTTGGTAGAACCAGAGAAAACAGAAAACAGACTAGATAATATTATGGAATTATGGTGAATTTTCTTAGAAGTAATAATGGCATTGTGGCTATGTATAAGTTCCTTATTTCTAAGAGGTGCATAGTGACATATTTAGGGGTAAAGTGTCATGAGTATAAACTATTTATTTTTGAGACAGGGTCTTGCTCTGTTGCCCAGGCTGGAGAGTAGTGGCTCCATCTTGACTCACTGCAGCCTCGACCTCCCAGGTTCGAGCAATCCTCCTGCCTCAGCCCTCCAAGTAGCTGGGACTACAGGCGCGTGCCCCCACGCCCGGCTAATTTTTGTTTTTTTTTGTTTGTTTGTTTTGTTTTGTTTTTCAGTACAGATGGGGTTTTGCTGTATTGCCAAAGCTGGTCTTGAACTCCTGAGCTGAAGTGATCCATCCGCCTCTGCCTCCCAAAGTGCTGGGATTACAGGCATGAGCCACTGTGCACGGCTTAAACTTACTTTATATATGAATGTGGGTATATAGGCAGGAGGGAGAATGTGGCAAAATGTTAAAGTGTTGAATATAGGTGGAAGCGAAACAGGTGTTTATTGTATTATTCTTTCAATTTTTCTGAAGGTTTTCAAAATAAATATCTGGGGGAAAATTAAAACTAAGAAGCAAATTCAGCGAGGTTGTCAACTTACAAATTTGACAGTTCTTACCACAGTGTTCATCAGCTATAAATAATATACCTCCATGAGGCGGGCCTGGGGGCTCACACATGTAATCTCAGCACTTTGGGAGGCCAAGGAAGGAGGGTCACTTGAGCTCAGGAGTTCGAGACCAGCCTGACCAACATGGCAAAACCCGACCTCTACCAAAAATACAAAAAATTAGCCTGCGTGGTGGTGCATGCCTGTAGTCCTAGCTACTCAGGAGGTTGAGGCGGGAGGATCACTTGAGCCTGCGCTGGGAGGAGGAGGTTGTGGTGAGCCGTGATCCCGCCACTGCACTCCAGTCTGGACCCTGCCTCAAAAAAAAAAAAAAGTAATAATAATAATAATAATAATAAATTAATTTTTTAAAAAGTATACTTCCATGAAAACAACAGAAAATGTAAAGTATGTAGGGGCTGATTTAGAAAAGAATGCATAGATCCTTTATGCAGAAAAAAATTGTAATCTCTTAATGACTTCAAGGAAGACTTCAACAAACAGACACGGATGGGATAACTTAACATTGTAAAGTTAACAGTTCTTCCTAAATAAGTAAATTTGATTCAATTTCAACCAAATTGCAGAAGATTTTTTTTAGGAATTCAGCAAACTTATTCTAAAATGTAAATTGAAGAATAAGTGTTCATAAATAAATAAGTTTTAAAAAGATAAGGAAGTATAAGAGAGAGGACATACCCTTCCAGAGATAAGGATATACTAAAAAAAGTAATAAAAAATAATATAGTCCAGGCTCGGTGGCTCACGCCTGTAATCCCAGCACTTTGGGAGGCCAAGGCGGGTGGATCACCTGAGGTCAGGAGTTTGAGACCAGCCTGGTCAACATGGTGAAACCCTGTCTCTACTAAAGATACAAAAAAATTAGCTGGGAGTGGTGGTGCATGCCTGTAATCCCAGCTACTTGGGAGGCTGAGGCAGGAGAATCATTTGAACCCAGGAGGTGGAGGTTGCAGCGAGCCACGATCTTGCCACTGCACTCCAGGCTGGATGACAGAGCGAGACTCCGTCTAAAAAAAAAAAAAAAAAGGAATCCAGATAAATGTAAAGTTACCATAGTGATAGGACCTGGTGCAGTGACTCACGTCTGTACTCCCAGTGACTCGGGAGGCTGAGGCAGGAGGATTGCTTGAGCCCAGGAATTCAAGATCAACCTGGGCAATATAGCGAGGTCCCGTCTCTACAAAAAATACAGAAAAAAAAAAAACAAAAAAACTCAGCTGGGCGTGGTGACGCATACCTGTAATCCCAGCTATTCTGGAGGCTGAGGCACGAGAATCACTTGAACCCAGGAGGTGGAGGTTGCAGTGAGCTATGATCTTGCCACTACACTCCAGCCTGGGTGGCAGAGCACGACTCTGTCTCAAAAAAAAAAAAAAAAAAAATACAAATATAAGATTTTTAAAAATTGATGGATTTGACTGCATCAAATTTCAGGATTTTGTTCCTCTCTTATACTATATATATTTAACAGATAATAGATACAGACAGGGAGAAGATTTTTGCAGTGTCCAAAACTGACAAGGGACTGATAGCTAGAATATACAGGACACTCCTGCAAATCAACAACAAAAAGACAGAGAACTTAAGAGAAAAATGTGGAAAGGAAATGAACCAACAATTTACTGAAGAGAACAAAAGACTAACACATGAAGTGATGCTCAAGCTCACTTATAATCAGAAAGTGTTGAATTTGACTGGGTGTGGTGGCAGGTGCCTATAATCCCAGCTATTCAGGAGGCTGAGGCAGGAGAATCGCTTGGAGCCGGGAGGCGGAGGTTGCAATGAGCCGAGATTGTGCCACTGCACTCCAGCCTGGGCAACGAGAGTGAAGCTCCATCTCAAAAAAAAAAAGAAAAGTAAAGAAAGAAAAAATGTCAAATTTAAGCTGTACAATAGCATTCTGAATTCATAAGATTGGCACAGGTTCTAAGGTTGGGTAATAATAAGTGTTGGCAAGGGTGTGGGAAATGGGAGACCTCATACATGCTGGTAGGAGTGTAGATTGCGGAGTATCCCAAGTGTGACATTAAATACGTGGATACCCATGGCTCCTCCTAGTTATAAAGCTCAGAGCAACACAAACTGAGGTCCATGAGGGGACATGTATGATGTTCCTTCACTGCAGTGCTGTTAGCCACAGCAGAGAATTAGAGGCATCATAAGTATTCATCATCAGAATGGGTAAGCAAAACTTGATAGATTTATTCTGCGGAGTAAATAGGCAGCAGTTTAGAAACAATGGATTTGAGGTATCCATATTAATATGGGTAAATCTTAAAAAGTATTGAAAAAGTAAGGAATAGAAAGAGATCTAAAATGCCTCCATATACAATACACATTATATTTTTCAAAGATTCATATACAATCCTGCATCACTTAGTGACAGGGATACATTTTGAGAAATGCATCATTAGGTGATTTTGTCATTGTGCAAGCATCATAGAGTATACCCACAGAAACCCAGAGGGCATAGCCTCCTACACACCTAGACTATATGGTATATCCTATGGCAACTAGGCTACGAACATGTACCGTGTGTGACTGTGCCAAATACTGTAGGCAATGGTAACACAGTGGTTACTATTTGTGTATCTAATTATGTCTAAACATAATAATCTTATGAGACTTCCACTGTATATGTGATCTGTTGTTGACTGAACCATCATGATGTGGAACACAACTGCACACCCAAGGACATATGCCAAATACAAGATAGTAGGTGTCTATGGAGGAAAGGGGGAATATGAGCGATGATGGAGGTACAGGGAAGGATAATACACATGCCAGAAAGCAAGGGAAGGGTTTTTTTAAGTTTTATTTTATTTTAAGTACTGGGATACATGTGCAGAATGTGCAGGTTTGTTACATAGGTAAACGTGTTCCATGGTGGTTTGCTGCACCTGTCAACCCATCACCTAGGTATTAAGCCCTGCATGCATTAGCTATTTATCCTTATGCTCTCCCTCCTCCCACCCCCAACAAGCCCCAGTATGTGTTGTTCCTCTCCCCCGTCCATGTGTTTTCATTGTTCAGCTCCCACTTATGAGTGAGAACATGCAGCATTTGGTTTTCTGATCCTGTGTTAGCTTGCTGAGGATGATGGCTTCCAGCTTCATCCATGACCCTCGAAGAGACATGATCTCATTCCTCTTTATGGCTGCATAGTATTCCATGGTGTATATGTACCACATTTTCTTTATCCAGTCTATCATTGGTGGCTATTTGGGTTGATTCCATGTCTTTGCTATTGTGAATAGTGCTGCAATAAGCATACGTGTGCATGTATCTTTATAATAGAATGATTTATATTCCTTTGGTTATATACCCAGTAATGGGATTGCTGGGTCACATAGTAAGGAAGGTTTTATATGAGCCCAGCCAAAACAGACACCACACACAAAAGCTGCATCTTCTACCAGACCTATTGGGTTCCAAGGCAGCTAGCAGGAAAAGACTCACACCTGGCTGGGTGTGGTGGCTCATGTCTGTAATCTCGCCTTGGGAGGCTGAGGCAGGAGGATCATTTGAGCTCAGGAGTTCGAGACCAGCCTGGTCAACAAAGCAAGACCCCATCTCTACAAAAAAATAAAACAATTAGCCCAGTGCGCTGGCATGCACATTTAGTTCCCGCTACTTGGGAGACTGAGGCTGGAGGATCATTTGAGCCCAGGAGTTCAAGGTTGCAATGAGCTATAATTGCCAATGCACTCCAAGCCTGGACAACACTGAAAGACCCTGTCTCCAAAAAGCAAACAAACGAACAAATAAATGTATCAAAAGCCATTTCACACTTGCAGCCAATAAGATGTGTGTAGCAAGAGGAAGACGAGGTGTCTCACATCTTCCCCATCTCTACCCACTCACCCACAGTTCAGTTCAGGACTGAGGACCCATCCAGTCCTGGTGGCATCAGGAGAAGGATCTGGCTGCAGGGATCCTGGCAAGGGGGTATCTGGGTGTCACCTTCTGCAGTGTGAGGGCAGCATCCCCAACAGCAGCACGTTCTTGGGTAGAGGCCACTCTTAGAGCCTGAGCCTGACCTAGCAGCACTCAACCTTCCAGTCCATTGAAAACATCCCCGTTCTTCCCAGAGAGGATTACCAGCTTCAAGGCTGAAACAACTTCTGGCTTCATCTTCCGGTGCACCCAATCCAGAATCTTTGTATATTCAGAATTCTTTCTGTAGCAAGAGACAGAAATCCAACTCAAACTGGCTTAAATGAAAGTGAGAACTGATTGGCTCATGTGATTTCAAAGGCCAGACATAGAGCTAGCCTCAGGAATTCCAGGTCCAATTAAGCAATGAAAAGCTACTCGATCTCAAAAAATAACCTGGAAAGTGCAAAATAAAGCTATAATGAGATGTCATGACACACCCACCAATTAGGCTAGTACTAAAAAAACCCAACATGATTAATATTATACTCATGCAATAAAAAGTATGACAACATCAAGTGTTGGCAAGGATATGAAGCAATGGGAACTCTCATTTATTGCTTAGGAAAATAATTTGGCATCAGCTAAAGGATCTGAAGATATTCACTCCATGACCTGCGATTCTTCCCCTCATTACATATCCTAGAGAAGCATGTGCTTGTGTGTATTAGGACTCTGAACCCCAAACTGGAAATGTTTATCAATAATAAAATGAATAAACATAGTATATTCAATGGAATATTATACAATTAATGAAAAGAAATGAATGGCAACTACACACAACATAGGAGAATATTAAAACACAATGTTGACAACTTTACACCTATTAGGATGACTACTATATTTACTTTTTTTTTTAAGCTAGACAAGCTTGGTTATTGGGGGAAACAATGTTAATCAGCTTAATAATAACCCATAACCCTTGGACCAACTAAGATGGCTACTATATTTAAAACAAAACAAAACAGAAAATAAGTATTGGCAAGGATGTAGAGAAAGCATTGCTGGTGGGAATGTAAAATGGTGCAGCTACTTTGAAAAGTTAGGCAGTTCCTCAAAAAGTTAAACATAGAATTACCATTAGATCCAGCAATTTCACTTCTAGATAAATATCCAAAAGAATTGAAAGCAGTGACTCAAATAGATGTGTGTACTCCAATGTTCATAGCAGCATTATTCACAATAGCCGAAGGGTGGAAACAGCTCAAATGTCCATCAACAGATGAATGGACAAACAAAATGTTATACACATACAATGGAATATATTCAGCCTGAAAAAGGAAGGAAATTATGACTGGGCATGGCGGCTCATGCCTGTAATCCCAGCACTTTGGGATGCCAAGGCAGGCAGATCGCTTGGGGTCAGGAGTTCAAGACCAGCCTGGCTAACATGATGAAACCCCATCCCTACTAAAAATACAAAAATTAGCCGAGCATGGTGATGGGCACCTGTAATTCCAGCTACTCAGGAGGCTGAGGCAGGAGAATAGCTTGAACTCTGGAGGTGGAGGTTGCAGTGAGCCAAGATAGTACCACTGCACTCCAACCTTGGTGACAAAGTGAGACTCCGTCCCACCCCCAAAAAAGGAAGGAAATTCTGACACATGCTACACCATGGATGAACCTTGACAACATTGTATTAAGTGAAATAAACACTTCCCAAAGACACAAAAAGACAAACATTGCATGGTTCCACTTTTATGAGGTACCTAGAATAGGCAAATTCATAATGACAGAAAGTAGAATGGAACTTACTAGGAGGTGGGGGAGGGGAGAATGGGGAATTATTGTTTAATGGGTACAGAGTATCTGTTTGGGATAATGGAAAAGTTCTGGAAATGGATAGTGATGATTGTACAACATTGTGAATATACTTAATGCCACTAAATTGTACAACATTGTGAATATACTTAATGCTACCAAATTGTACAACTAAAAATGGTTCAAATGGGATTTTAAAAAATGTTATATATACATATATATAATATAATATACATATATATATGAATGTTATTTAACTTTAAACCAGAAGGAGAGCCTATCATTTGTGACAACATGGATGAACCTGGGGGACATTATACTAATGAAATAATTCAAGCACAGAAATAAAAATATGCTATGATCTCACCTACATGTGGAATTTAAAATAGTCAAATTCATGGCAGTAGAGTAGAAGGGTGGTTACAAGGGGCTGGGGGTGGGGGAAATGGGAAAATGTTGGTCAAGGGATACAAAGTTTGAGTTTTGCAAGATGAATAAGTTCTGGAGATCTAATGACAGCAACGTGACTATTCTTAACAATACTGTATTGTATACTTGAAATGTGCTAAGGGGCTAGATCTTAAGTATCCTCATCACTCACACATGGTAACTATGCCAGGTGATAGATATGTTAATAAACTTGATTGTGGTGATTATTTTACAATGTATATGAGAAATAGAAATGAAATCCTGCAGACCTCCTCTTGGCCAACCCCCTGTTGGCCAAGGGGACCCCAGAGAAAGCTTAAAAACTGAGTTCCTTTTCATGAGAGGCGGGGAGGTCAGATACACTTTGTTACACCCCTTCCCTCACTAATCAGCATTAGGTTTTCTTCCTTAAGGGTTAAACAGAAACCAGCCTGTTTGGAAGACTCCGCCAGCTGATATCAACTAACTGCCTGACGCTGCCCCTCACTTTCTGTGGTCTGACACAATAACCAACCAATATCCCTTCCTGATCAGAGACCACTGACCACAGAGTGGTTCTGGCCAGTCTGCGGAGGAAACAGTGAGGGTTTTCATGTCCTCTGCTTCATCTTTTGACATCAGAGAGCTGAAACTCCACCCTGGGATCATGCCGGTTTTTTTGAACATGGGATCCATGAAGCTCAATTGCACATGCACATGTTTCTCTTTTCGTAAATATTCATGACTCCTCCCAGAGCTTATTGAATATGTATATTTGGCCACCCTACTCAGCATAAATTCTTGTCTTATTCTTCCCATCCTTGACCCTTGAAGTGCCTGTTTCTGGCTTCTGGCCAGAGGCTACACTTCCCAGCCTGTCAGAACGGCTGGCAGGCTGCAATGCTCTATGAGAAATAAAGCACTCCTTTCCAAATGTCTGAACCTCTTCATTCTTCAGTTGACATATACATATATCAAAACTTCAAGTTGTACACCTTAAACATATACAATTTTTATTTGTCAATTATTCCTCAGTAAAGCTGGGAGAAAAAAGGTTCACATGGTAAGCTTATGTGGTGTCTAATTTTCCACAATAAAAAAAATAAAATCATCCCACAATGTCAAAGGAAAGGAGGAAGTCATAAAAGAATATATGTAGTATAATTCCTCTTGTAGGAATTTTGAAAACATACAAACACACTATATTCAAAAAGAATGCTTCCGCAAAGAGTAAAACTATAAAGAAAAACAAGGAAAACTTCACCATAAGTGAAGATCATAATTGTATGTAGGGAGAAAGGAGGGGCTGATGGGGAAGGGATATACAGAGAGATCCTGGGGTGCAGATAATGTTTTCCTTCCCTCCCTCCCTCCCTCCCTCCCTTCCTTCCTTCCTCCCTCCCTCCCTTCCTTCCTCCCTCCCTTCCTTCCTTCCTCTCTCCCTCCCTCCCTTCCTTCCTCCCTCCCTTCCTCCCTCCCTTCCTTCCTTCCTCTCGCTCTCTTTCTAAACAGGGTCTCACTCTGTCACCCAGGCTGCAGTGCAGTAGCATTATCATAGCTCACTACAACTTTGATGTTCTGTTTCTTGATCTGTCTGATAATGAAAATATTCATTTTTTAAAAATTTTAATTTATTTTTTATTTTTGAGAAGGGATCTTACCATGTTGCCCATGCTGGACTTGATCTTCTGGGCTCAAGTGACCGTCCCGCCTCAGCCTCCCTAGTAGCCGAGACTACAGGTGTGTGCCACCATGCACTGCTTGCAACTCAGTGAAGTAATTTTTACTGAGGGGCAAACTGCAGTTCATATAGGGCACCTTTGGGATGGCCTCAGTCCCCTTCTAAAGGTGGATAAATCATCAGTTGGTTGTAACGTGTTCCTGATGGAACCCATGCCAAGAAGATGAAGGCCCTGGTCACTCTTGGCCCAGGAGGCTGCCCTCTATCTGCCATGTACGGAGCTGGGCACACGGGAGGTCTTGATCCTGCTTCCTTGAGGGGGCAGATGGTGACCCAGTAAATGACTGGAGAAGCCCTCCAATGTCTGTGCTTCCCCACTGGAAATCCCTCCCCTGTCCCTTTTCTGACCTTGTCAGTTCTCAACCTCAGCCAGACTCCTCTAGGGAGAGAGTTAGAAAGGGAGTGCCTGACTTCCTGCCAGCCCTGCCTGAACCCAGGTTTATCTCTTTGGCTTGAAGCCATCTGTCAGGAAACAGATCCCTCTCCTTTTCGGAGTTACCTGTATGTCAGCCTCAGTATGCACTTAAAGATCTTCCATGGGTGAGGGGAGGAAAGGAATAAGGTCGTTTGTGAGTATTTTTTTTTTTCCTGGGACACTGGTCCTTTCAACCATCCCATCAAGTAAGATGGTAGATCTTTTAATCTTTATATTTCATGGATGACAGCCATGGAGGTTATGTGGCTTACACAAGGTCAACAACAGAGTGAGGACGGGACAAAAGGTCTGTCTCACTCCAAAGCACGTGGCCATCAGATCCTTTCTGGAAGCCACTGGGGCAGAGATCATGGGGTTCAAAATGACAAGAGCACATTCCTAACTCAGGAAAGACATTTGAGGGAGAATGCCCCTTTATCCCATCTTGGAAAGGACTAGGGGCTTGGCTGGGGGTTAGCAAGTGCAGAGAAATGAAGCCTTTCTGGCCTGGAGGGTCCAGACGTGTCAGTAGCCAGTGCTCCAACCCCATTGGTGCTGCTCTAGGGGATGGGCCCTGTGGATGCCCAGAAGGAATGGGAAGAACCAGGAAGGATTAAAAGGACATGATCGGTGGCTACTTGGGTAATTGGCTCTATTCCCGAGAATTTAGAGGAAAGAATCCTCGGCTTTACGAGAAAACACTAGGACAAGGCTATCAGAGCCACTTAGGCTCTGGAACACACTACGCTTAGCAGGGGCTGCAAATGTCCGGGAGACGCTTCCTAACAACTTTGTAAGATGCAAGTAACCGATCTTTAGTGGAAACAACTGGTACCTTGCGGCACACGGCACAGGCGCTGAAACACACAATTACAGGGCACGAGCTCCCCCTTGTGGCCATTCAGGGTGATAGCAGCCCTGAACTCAGGCATCTGGGGGAATTCCTTCCTCTGAACACTGGGAACCGATGGAGCACACACAATGTGTTGGGCCCTGGCTAAGCCATTTACATCCCACCTTCACAACAGCTCCTTTTCACCGGCGCTTGCCTTCCACTCTCCACTGTCAGGTGCTAGCTGAAGCTAGCTTACTTCCTCCCAGACGTCCCGCTGACCCCAGCCCCTGGGTCAAGTGCTTTGCACTTCTACAAAGGTTGGCTGTCTCTCCAGCACGTGTTGCACTTTAGTCTGATGAGTTTATTTAATTGTCTTCACCTATGGACCCTCGTTTCTTCAGGCAGCTTGGCTCTCCTTTACATACCTAGCAGAGAGAAGGGGCTGAATGAATGTTTGTCAAATGAATAAATGATGAATGAGAGAGCATTCCTGCATGCAGAGCTTGGTTACAGGGGCACCTAAATGAATAGCCCAGAGCATGCATTGCCCAAGGCTACACTCACTTTAGAGAGAATGTCTGCAAAGATCACTAACCTCACAATCACAAGCAGTTTCCCTTGGAAAATACCAAATGACTACAGGTTATATTCCTTCATATTTCTGCCCTTCCCTTACTGGTAAGATATAGAGAGAGTGGAAACATGGGGGAATTCTGTGCCCTGTGTGGTGAATTTTATGACATAACTGTCTGGAGTCCCTGCAGGTCTTGGGTGTGGTCACTGAAGTCAGGAAAGAGGGTCCATTGGATAACATCACCCAGCAAGTGAACCCTGAGAGGGTGTGTGAACCTGCTGGCTGACTTGGGGCCAACGTCAGTGGGGTCAGGGGTCACACTGTCTGTCTCTCAGTGTGTTACCTTCTGTGAGGTTTTAATGAGTGACCTTGGCCTCTCCCAGCCAGAGGTTTCTCCCCATTCATCATCTGGTGGAGATGGCAGCAGTACCAACAAAACTCCAGCTCCCCAAGTGCTACAGAAGCAACTTCTGCATCCTCTCAGGGCGCTGGGAAGACGTCCAGCAGTCATCGTTACAGAGGAAGATGGATGTGGCAGGGCTGGGATGGCAGTCCAAGTCTGCAGTTCCAAATGTGTGCTCTTAAGCTTTTTTGAATAAATAATATATTCATGCAATTCAAAATTCAAGCCATTCAAAACAGTAATGAGTAAGCCTTCCTTCCACCCCCTCTCTTAGGCACCCTATTTTCCTCCCAGAAAATGCCGTCATTTTCTTGGGTGTCCCTGCAGAGATATTCTATACAAACAGACATACATATTCTCCCCCCACCAACATACCAACACACCCTGTTCTGCATCTCATTCTTTTTTTTTTTTTTTTTTTTTTTTCGAGACAGAGCCTCACTCTGTTGCCCAGGCAGGAGTGCAGAGGCACAATCACAGCTCACTTCAGCCTCGACAACTCCCGGGCTCAGGTGATCCTCCCACCTCAACCTCCTGAGTAGCTGGGATTACAGGTGTGCACCACCATGCCCATTTAGTTTTTGTATTTTTTGTAGAGACAGTGGTTTACCAAGTTGCCCAGGCTGGTCTTGAACTCCTGGGCTCAAGCTATCCTCCTGCCTCAGCCTCCCAAAGTGTTGGAAGCATCAACACAGGCATGAGCCACATTGCCAGCACATCAACAGTATCTCAGAGTTTGTTCACATCAGTGTGGACTCATCCTTTTCATGGCTGCACACGATCACACTGATGGATTTATCTTCATGAATTTTCCCAGTCCTCTACTCATAGACATTTAAATTGTTTCCAATCTTGGCAAATATCTTTATAAATATTAAGTTGTTTCTAATCTTTACAACGAATGCTCCAAATGAATATGTTTTTACACAGGTCCTTTGACACACATGCATGTATATCTGGACCAAAGCCTCGTATGTGCTAAACCTTGTTGGTTTGCTCATTTTTTTGCCCATTCGTAGATGCAGGCTCTGAGGACACAGAGATGAATAGCACAGCCCCTCCCTGCAGGAGTGTGCACTTGGCAGAGATGGAGAGTGGGCCCAGGGAAGGGCTCTGACCTTGGGTGCTGGGACTCACATAGACCACGCTGTTCTTCATACTGCCCTGTGCCCTCCCCGTCTCTTGCTCTGTGCAGCCATCTTCTGTCCTGTCAGCGTCCTCTTGGGTAGCTTCTGGAAGGCCCGTTCAGAGATGCTAGCAACAGGTGCAGCATGGGGGGGTGCATTCTGTGGATCTCTGTGGGTGCAGTGTGGGAAGGCCCAGGTTGCCTGCCTCTGCTGGCCTCAAGACCCCCCCTTTACCTAAGATCTTGAAAGCAGAGGTGAAAAGTCCACCCAAATCCCACCATCCCTGACTAGAGAGTGGAGGCCCAATTTGGGGGGTACCCTGTGCCCTCAGCTTTAGAGTGTAAAATCAAGAGGAGTCAGAGAAATGAGAATCTGAAAAACAAAAACAAAAATGAAGGGAGGAATACAGATGGAGAAATGGGTCCACCAAAATGTGATGAGGCTACCTCCAGAGAAAATTACCAAGACCATTCTGTTAGTATTTTCCAGCTCCACAGGCCTCTGGAAGTTCCCAGACACCCTCCTCTTTGCAAGTAAGACAGTGATGCTCTTACCAGCACCAAGGCAAGGGGGTCTTAAACTCAGCCAAGTGGGGCAGGGCCAGCCCTTCAGGAGGGCCAACCCTGCAGCCTCTGCCCATTTGGGAAAGACCGTGAGTTGGATTTATGGTCTGGTGTGGCCTTGTCCCACTGACCAGCCCTAGTGATGCAAGGCATGTGAACCCCAAACTTGGGGCTTAGCCTAGGAGGGTTCTTGGCTTTGCAGAGCAAAGAATTCAAGGGTGAGCCAGTAGTGTTAGATAGCATTAGACAGCAACTGTTATTGAGATGGCAACGTACAGCAGCAGGAGAGGTACTGCCCCTTGCAGACCATGGCTACCCCATAGGCAGTGTGCCCAGAGTGGCAGCTCAGAGGCAGCTCTGCAGTCATATTTGTCCCCGCTTTTAACTATATGCAAATTAAGTGGTGAGTTCTGCAGAAATTTCTAGAAAAAGAATGTTAACTTCTGGGTCACTGGGTGGTTGCTACAGAAAGAGGTGGTAACTTCTGGGTGTTGCCATGGCAACACTGGTGGGTGTGTCTTATGGAAAGGTGCTTCTGCCCTGACCCTGTTTTAGCTAGTCCTCAATTTGGTCCAGTGTCCAAGCCCTGCCTCCAGAGTTGAGTCCTGTCTCCTTCCTCACTAAGACAGACAATGTCCCCAGGCTCTAGTCTGGCCCCAGGTTCTCCTCCATACCTAGCATGTCTGTTAGCTAAGGACAATGGCCAGACCCAGTACATCTATGCATTCCATGAGGCGGGGCTTCTGAGTTCTGGGTCTCTGTCTTCTGAGACTAATGTGCTTCTGAGGCTGTCCTGGATCCTCACTCGGGAAAGGCAGCCAGGCTGTGGCTTGCCTGGGCAGAGTCCTAGGGGAGAAAGTGGGGGTGGAGATGGGGAAAGGAAGGAGTTGCCCCTGCTGCTGGGGCTCCCATAGGTGAGGGGTGTGGTAGGCAGTCTCTGAGATGACCCCCCGTGACCCCTGGTTGCTGTGGAATTCCCAAGCCCTTGTGAAATCTCCTCCACTCGAGCGTGGGCTGTACCCAGAGACTTGCTGAGAATGAATGGCAGAAGTGATAAGATGTGACTTTGGAGATTAGGTGACTTAAAGACAGGACTTCTATCTTGCTTGTTTTCTCAGCCTCTCTTGAGTACATGCTCTGAAGCATTTGCCATGTTGTGAGCTGCCCTATTGGGAGATTCACATGGCAAGGAACTGGGTGAGGCCACCAGCTCACGGCCAGTGAGAAACTGAGAAACTGAATCCTGCTAGCAACCATGTAAATGAACTTGGAAGTAGATGCTTCCTTAGTCAAGCCTTAGATGAAACTGCAGTCCCAGTTGAAACCTTGATCATATCCTTGAGAGATCTGGAGGCAGAGACACCCAGCTAGGCGGCCCCAAGATTCCTGACTCACAGACACTGTGAGAAAATAAATGTTTGTTGTTTTAAGCTGCTAACTTTTAGAGTGATTTGCTATGCAGCAGGAGATAATGGAAGGGTGTTCCTTTCCCGAATTCTTGGAAGACCAAATCTTATTCATCACTAGTGGCCTTCACCAGAACCCTAATCCTGGTGTCAATCACCCTGGAGCTCCACACATAGAAGTTCCCTTGAAAAGCTGCTAGATAGCAAATCAGCACCTGCAAAGCAGCGCAGCTTCCCTTACAACTTTTGGTTTGGGGTTTGCATTTTAAGCCACTGTTGCTTTCTCTATCTACTGCCCCTCTGTAGGTGAGACATAACATGCCCCATGGGTGGACATACAGACCTGTCGTATGTCAGTTTGGGTCACTCTGGAGGATGACTTCCCATCTCTTTAAGGTATCTCCCCAGGGATCCCCCAAAATGAGTTTTATTCATGTCATATAACTGTTTTCGGTTACACCATCATACCGTCCAAATCCATGAAACCCTTCCAGCATCTTCGTGTAATATGGTGGCTGGCAGGTGGACAAAAGCTTGATTTTATTAATTTGAATTGCATCCTTGGTACTCAGTACAATGCCTGGCACGTAGTAGGCATTCAGGAAGTATTTGTCAAAGCATCAGTTTGCTTAAAATGTTCCAGACAAGGAAAATCTGAGAGTGTAGAAATGAGGGGGTAAGGAGGATAATTCACTACTTGGGAGGCCTGGGGATCCTCCGGTCAGACCCCAGGAACAGAAACGGGGGAAAATCCTGAGACATTCCCTCACCAGACCCATCGAAGTCTGTGGCTACCCTGATAGCAAGAACCTACATGCAATACCAACTTTTACAACAATCTGCACCGTTTTATTATTATTATTACATATTTATATAATTCTATCATTATGTTATTATTATTTACGGTCACTATTTTACTGATGAGGAAACTGAGGCACAGAAAGGCAAGTCACTTGTCCAAGGCCAGACAGTCACTAGGCAGAAGAGTTAGGAGTGGACCCAGGCCAGCTGAGTGAAGTCGGCCTGACTTCCACCCACCATACTGACTCTCAGAACTTAGCAAAAATAGGACTGAGTGTGGTGGCTCATGCCTGTAATCCCATCACTTTGGGAGGCCAAGGTAAGAGGATCCCTTGAGGCCAGGTGTTGAAGAGCAGCCTGGGCAATGTAGCAAGACCCCATCTGTACCAAAAAAAAGAACTTAGCAAAAATACAGTACTTCCGTCACAACTCCCCACGTGGACCCAGACTTGCAAGGACAGGGCATCCCTCAGTCAAGGAAGTCTCTGTGACCAGATGTCCACAGCTTGGATGGAACATGGCAGGAATGAAGGTGAACACAGATGTGGGAGTCGTGAGGGTGGCTGAGCCAGACAAAAACCAAATTGAGGCTTCCCAGAGCTCTCCCCATAGAGGAGGGAACTTCCACACTCAAGAGCAGCAAAAAGAAGCCACTGCAGACAAACCTGGAAAATACCCCATGAAAGGAGGAGGAGGTGGCTAAGGAGCTACCCCATGTATCAGTGAGGGTTTCAGTGAAGGCAGCAGAGACCATGTAGCTAGACAGGAAGGGGTATGTTACCATGTATTAAATGATGCTTCGTGCTGTACTCCTCTCTCCAGTTAACTGAGCCCTGAATCTAAGCCTTGCATAAATATGTCTTATGAGTGCAACCTAAAAGTCACATCTGGCACTCTAGCTGCAAGGAAGTCTGGGGAATGTAATTTTTAGCTTTCTAGCCCCTGCAGTACAGGAATGCATACCAGAAGAAGGTTGGATGAATGCTGAGTGGACCAATTCACGGTATTTCCTGCACATTCCAAGCAATAGTGGAGGTTCTATCTATCCTCCTTTCCAGAATTCCATCAACTCAGCCCAGCTAGCCACACCCACCACCACCCCCATCTTCCCCAGCCCCAGCCTGACTGTCTCAAGAGGAAGGAGCTTCCCTACCCCATCTACCGTAGAGGTGTCTTACCTGTTTTGGCCCAAATATGACCGTGTGGCAACTCTGGGCACACTGCCTATAGGGTAGCCTTGCTCTGCAGGGAGCAGTTGGAAAACAAAAAATTTCTCTCTATATAATTTTTTTAATGTGACCTTGTTTTCCAGGTAAAACTAGTGTTCAGTAATTCTCACTGCCTGCCCCTGAAATGCCAAGGCCAGGCTGGTGGGCTTGGGGTCATTATTATCCTTGTCCCTCACTTTACTTGTCAACATTCCTTTCCTCATCCAACAGGTCCCAGTGGAGAGAGTCTTGGCTCATTTTAGCTCAGAGGATCTCCCTTAATGTCAGTCAGCTTTGGAGAATCTCAGACTTCAGGTTTTTTCCAAGTCTTGTCTCCTGGTGTCCTGATGACCAAATAATGTGAGGAGGGCTATGTCCCTACATTTCTAACCCCCCAAGATGACCTTGATCTCTGTGGATGATAGAAGGAGCCCAGTAACAACTATTTATTTATTTATTATTATTTGAGAGACAGGATCTTACTCTGTCACCCAGGCTGGAGTGCAGTGGTGTAGTCACAGCTCATTGCAGCCTTGACCTCCTGAGCTCAAGTGATCCTCCCACCTCAGCCTCCCAAGTAGTTGGGACTACAGGCATGTGCCACCATGCTTGGCTATTTAAAAAAATTTTTTTTGTAGAGATGGGATCTCGCTACATGGCCCAGGCTGGTCTCGAACTCCTGAGCTCAAGTGATCCTCCCACCTCAGCCTCCTGAAGTGATGAGATTACAGGCGTGAGCCACCACAAAAATCCTTGATTAAGAACCACTCTGACTTTGCCCTGAGGTAGACGCTGGGACAAAGCTGGTTATAACTCGGCGGGTGGCCTCCAGAAGCTTGAAGTTTAGTGGGAGAAGAAGACAAGTAAATAAGCATTCATATTTCAATGGCAAACAGGAAAAAAAAAAGAGCACTCATAAAACTCCATGATGAATTAGCCGGGCGTGGTGGCGGGCGCCTGTAGCCCTAGCTACTCGGGAGGCTGAGGCAGGAGAATGGCGTGAACTCGGGAGGTGGAACTTGCAGTGAGCCATGATCGCACCACTACACTCCAGCCTGGGGGACAGAGTGAGACTCCACCTCAACAAAAAAACACAAAAAAAAACAAAACAAAAAAACCTCCATGAAGAGGCCAGGTGTGGTGGCTCACACCTGTAATCCTTCCCACTTTGAGAGGCTGAGGCAGAAGGATCACTTGAGGCCAGGAATTCAAAACCAGCCTGGGCAACATTGCAAGATCCTGTCTCTACAAAAAAAATTTTTTTAATTAGCTGGGTGTGGTGGTGTGTGCCTGTAGACCCAGCTACTCAGGAGGCTGAGGCGGGAGGATCGCTTGAGCCCAGGAGTTCAAGGCTACAGTGAGCTATGATCCCATCACTGCACTTCAGCCTGGGCAATAAAATGAGACCCTGTCTCTTGAAACTAACTAACAACTCCATGATAAGTATGATGAGAGGAATGGGCATTTTGGGAGCTGGGAAGAAAGCCTAATTTGGCCCCAAGCACAGGAAAGCTTTTACAGCAGATGAGTAAGAATTCATGGGTCCCATAAAAGAGAAGCTATTCCAGACAGAGGAAATGACATGTACATGGCCAAGGAGTTATGAGAGGGTACAGTGCACTTGGGTAGACACAGAACTCGAGGTGAGAGAGGAAGACAGGGGCCACCAAAGGATTTTTATCTTTACTCACATGGAAAGACATGAAAGATAGGTCATCAAATGAAAGGCACAAGTCACATGAGACTGTGTATAGGGTGATCCCTTTGTACTCTGTGTTAAGGTTATACCTGCATATGTACATGCATGTGAATGTCTGGGAGATGACTGGGAGAAAAATGCATGAAATTAACAACTGGGGCCGGGTACGGTGGCTCACACCTGTAATCCCAACAATTTGGGAGGCTGAGGAGGGTAGCTCACCTTGAGGTCAGGAGTTTGAGACCAGCCTGGTCAACATGATGAAACCCCGTCTCTACTAAAAATACAAAATTAGCTGGGCATGGTAGTGGGCATCTGTAACCCCAGCTGTGCAGGAGGCTAAGGCAGGAGAATCGCTTAGAATCCAGGAGGCAGAGGCGGCAGTGAGCCAAGATCGCGCCACTGCACTCCAGCCTGGGCGACAGAGCCAGACTCCATGTCAAAAAAACCACAAACAAACAAACAAAAAAACAATTGGCACTTCTTGGGAGGCAGCCTGAACCAGAAAGAAGAGGGGAGAATAAAAGGGAGAGCGGAAAAAGGGTGATCCCTGTTTTGACTCCAAACCACTTTGTACTGTTTGCATTTGCATATTTTACAGTATTTATATATTATAATAATTTTTTTGAGATGGAGTCTTGCTCTGTTACCCATGCTGGAGTGCAGTGGCACAATCTCCGTTCACTGCAAACTTCATCTCCTGGTGAAGCGATTCTCCTGCCTCAGCCTCCCAAGTGATTCTCCTGCCTCAGCCTCCCAAGTAGCTGGAATTACAGGCACCCACCACCAGGCCCAGCTATATTTTTGTGTTTTTCTTTTTTTTTTTTTTTTTTTTTTAGTAGATACAGGGTTTCACCATGTTGGCCAGGCTGATCTTGAACCCTTGACCTCAAGTGATCCGCCTGCCTTGGCCTCCCAAAGAGATGGGATTATAGGTGTGAGCCACTGAGTCCGGCAATATTTATATAATACTTTAATGAATGAAGTGATATAATTATATTTGCCTTACAGAAAGATCTCTTTCACAAGATTTGGGGAACAGGTTTGAATGTGGGCTGGATACTAGATGCTATTAAGTTACTATTCTGAATTTTAGCCATGTACAAAAAGGTTCTTGGTTTTTAGAGTTAATATTATGATATTTGACTTAAAAGGGTTTCTAAGCCCTGGTGAGGTTCAACAAAAGCTGGACCCCATGGGTTTACCTGTCCTGCCCCTGTGTGAATTTCTCCAGCAGTGCTCTGTGACTTGACCAAGAGAAAACGTGAGGTGGTGATGTGGCTCCACCGGGGTCTATTGGGGCATGAGGTGGATGAAAGGACAGGTGAGGGGTTCTAGGCTGTATGGAGAAAGAAAGGAAAGCCAGGAAGTCCCCAACTGTAGTGAACAGCTGTGTGTGTGTGTGTGTGTGTGTGTGTGTGTGTGTGTGTGTGTGTGGCCGCTCCACATCTAAACACCCTTACCATCCAGGAAGAATCTCCCGCGTTGTGTGTCTTGGAGGGAGGGAGAATCTCATCGGCCACCACAGAAGGAAAAGGCCCAGGGTTTCCTCTCTCCACCCCATCAGCAGCAGCTTATGGACACATGACCCAAGTTGAGCCAATGCGTGATCCTGCCCAGGATGACTCAAAAACACAGGGACAGCCAAAAATATTATTCAACATGGGGGCAATGGGGTTGGGATCACAGTGCCAGCAACACTGAGTGCTCAGTGGCAGAGACACCAGTGGAGACTCCTAGCCAGGATGGTCTTGTGATTTGACCTTGGCTGTATTTGCTGCCTTCCCAGTTCTGCACAGCGATTCTTTGGCATTTAGATTCTATGAGCTACTTAAAATCTTTCCCCAAAACTCCCTTTCTCTTTTATCTTTAGGTAAGCCAAGATTAATACTTTTTGTGCTTACTGCCAAGAATTCTAACTAGCATAAAAATTATACCAGAAAAACGATACCAGGTGAAAGATTATCAGAGAAATGGGGGAAATTGGAATTGGTTATTTGGCTTAGTTAGGGCTGTAGGTCTACTGGGATTCAAGAATGGGAATTTGGTAGCTTATTCCATAGGATGAAAACCTGGCTGGGTGCCTTTAATCCCAGCATCCCGGGAGGCTGAGGCAGGAGTCTGAGCCCAGGAGTCTGAGACCAGCCTGGGCAAGATGGTGAGACTCTGTTTCTACAAATAAAATTTTCTAAAAAATTAGCTGGGTGTAGTGGCGCATGCCTGTAGTCCCAGGCTACAGACACAAGGCTGAGGCAGGAGGATCCCTTGAGCCCAGGAGTTCAAGGATTTACTGAGCTGTAATCACGCTACTGCACTCCACTGCACCCCAGCCTGGTTGAGAGAGCTAGACTTTGTCTCTAAATAAATAAATAGGTAAAATAAAACGACATGTCCACTGAGGACCACGCTTTGGGAGACCATCTTGGATTAGAGTGCTGCTTCTAATGCTATAGGACAGCTTATAGAAATTGGATAACAAGCTCAAACTCTACATTAGCTCAAAGTAATGAATTAAACCCATGGACTTTCAATCATGGCTGAAACTAGACCTTATCTCTTGTAGCATCAGGGCTGACGTAAATGAAAACCAATCTTGAAATCTGACCCTAATGGCTCTTAATGTTAGACAAATCACAGTCCTATCAAATTAGAACATGGATTAGAAAAAAGCAGGACCTCGAGAGTTGGGCTGGGGATATATAAGGGATGTCCAGAAGATTCAGACTAACTCAGGCCCCCCTGTCACTGAGCTTCCCTTACAAGCTTATGCAACTTCTCCCCATGTCGGACAATGCTCTTCGCTTGTCTGATAAGGCTGTGACTTTTTCTGGAGTGCCCTTGCAAGGGGACATCATTTATCCTCATGCCCCACCCTCCAACCCAACATGTTCTTCAGACTTACCAAATCCCAGCGTGCCAACTGGAAAAGCAAGCCTGAGAAGAAAAGTCCCCCATATCAAAACAATTCAGGTCTTTAAAACAGGAACGGGGAAGGCGACAAAGTTTAATTTTCACTGAATTTCATATGTAGGAGCACCTGCCAAAGAGTCTAAGATTGGTTCTAGCATCTGGAGGTGGTTCTGTTTGAAGGAGCAGATAAATGAAAGAAACCTGGACTCCCATGTGCTCAAACTAAAACACCAACTTCAGAGTCTTTGATAAGTGCCCTTACATCATTAAAATCAGCCTGATCTAAAGTTACAATGTCAGAAACAGTATACCCTGAAAGGAACCTGAAAAGTTTTTGTTTGTTTGTTTGTTTTTTGTTTTTTATTTTTTTCAGAAACGGAGTCTTGTCCCCCAGGCTGGAGTGCAGTGGCGCGATCTCAGCTCACTGCAACCTCCGCCTCCTGGGTTCAAGCAATTCTCCTGCCTCAGCCTCCCGAGTAGATTGGATTAGAGATATGCACCACCATGCCAGGCAGATTTTTGTATTTTTAGTAGAGATGGGGTTTCACCATGTTGGCCAGGCTGGTCTTGAACTCCTGACCTTGTGATCCACCTACCTCGACTTCCCAAAGTGCTGGGATTACAGGCATGAGCCACCATGCCTGGCTGAAAATTTCTGAAGACAGGAACACTGGAGAGGATTTATCATGGGCCACTTCACCCAGCCACAATGTCTCTGGAAAGGATCCCAGAAGATGTCTCCTTCTCAAAAAACTTGAAAAATACTTTGGTCAAGGCAATAACAGAACCCCTAAAAAGTGCTTTAGTAGACTGTTCACTGCAGGCCACAGGTCTGGGTAAAGGACATGGTGGGAAAAAGTATAAAGAATAATCTTTTGGGATGGACATAGATTGTAAAAATATTTGTGTTTTATGAAAATGATCACCAAAAATACCTGATTTAAAAGGTTTTTCAGCCAGGCACAGTGGCTCAGGCTTGTAATCCTAGCACTTTGGGAGGCCAAGGTGGGCAGATCACTTGAGCCCAGGAGTTGGGGCAACATGGCAAACTTTATCTCTACCAGAAAAAAAAGGCGGGTGTGGTGGTGTGCAACTGTAGTCCCAGCTACTTGGGAGGCTGAGGTGGGAGGATTGCTTAAGCCCAGGAGGTTGAGGCTGCAGTGAGCCATGATCCTGCCACTGCACTCCAGCCTAGGTGAAGAGTGAGACCTCATCTCAAAAAATAAATAAATAAATGGTTTTTCAAAATCAAGTGGACAAGATAACCTACTCTGGATCTCAGTCAGTCTCCTTCCCGGGCACTGCAAGTCCTGCTCAATGTGCTCTTAAATAAATGGGCCCAAGATCAAGAAGAAAGAAAGCTGTGCATAAACTCAACATCTCCCAAGTCTAAGCTTACTGCAAAATTAACCAATTTGCCAGCAACTGGGATCAGCTTCAAGGCCCCTACTGTGTAGAAACTTACCACAAGATACCTCACTGGTGCCTCTATACCATAACGCCAGCGGCACCAATGAGGTATCTGGTGGTAGGCTTGTATATGCCTTTTCTGAGCGTCAAGCTTCAGCTAATACATTCATTCAAGGCCTTATAATTGTCTAGTTTTCCACACAACATTGCTGTTGACAAGAATACATTTTGCAGTTTTAACAATGGGCTAATATCCACTAGATTCACCTAGAGCCTACATTTCCCAGCCTCCCTTGCAGCTAGCTCTTCTCAAAGGAATGTAAGTGAAATATGCACAACTTTGCAGTCATCTTCTTAAAGAGCTTGCCTTGGAGTTGCTGCCCCCTTTCCTTCCTCTGTCAAGGATTGACACAAGTTTGGAAGGTGGCTGCGGAGAATGGCAAAGCTTCCTCACTAGCCTGGGCCTCCCGATGCCTTCACAGAGCAGAGCTATCTGTCTTTCCTAGATGCAAGAGAAAAAATAATTTATATCTTGTTTGAGCCACTGTATTCTGTGTTATTAGAACAGCCTGGTTTGTCCTTTACGGTAGTGTGGTGCAGTACTTCAGGATGAAACATATGCTATGAGCTGGTACTTAATATTTGCTGCTATTTCCCCCATAGCCTGATTGTATGACCCCAAAAAGAGAGGGCAATACCTTCTACAAGTCCCCAGTGACACCCTCACTTTCTGTGACTCTTGTTTCTACTATATTAGAGTTAGAGTCCCCAAGAGAAGAAAGTTCCCACCAAGAGAAACAATGTTTTCACTGAAATGGGAGCATAAATTCTTACCTGGTCACTTCTGGTTGCTCCTGTCAATGGATGAGCAAGGTTAAAGGAGACTATGGAATTGGCTAGAGCGGTAGCAAGTTCAAGTAGAATGTTTTCCTATACAATGGGGCAAAAAGGAGTATTCATGGAATCACAGGGCTCCCTTGGGGTCCCTTGTAGTGCTGTTATGTCCAGGGGTAAAAGTTAATGGAAGACCACGACAGCCCTTTCTAGGCAGGACCATCAAGGGCTCAGATCCCTCAGGAACAAAGGCTTGGCTCTCTCCAGGATAAAGAACCCAAACCAGCCCAGGTGCTGCCTGAAGGCAAAAGAAACAGAATGGAAAAGGGAGGAGGAATGTCATGAATACGAAATATGCAAAAAAAAAGACAATGGTTTTTACGTCCTGACCTGTTGTCATATTAGACAGTCTATATTTTAACTTCATGCATTTTCTTCCATTCTTATTCCCTTGTAATTGTATTATTATTATTATTATTATTACTATTTTTTTTTTGAGATGGAGTTTCACTCTTGTTGCCCAGGCTGGATTGCAATGGCATGATCTCAGCTCACTGCAACCTCCGCCTCCTGGGTTCAAGCAATTCTCCTGCCTCAGCCTCCCGAGTAGCTGGGATTACAGGCAACTGCCACCACATTCGGTTAATTTTTTTTTTTTATTTTAAGTAGAGACAGGATTTCACCATGTTCACCAGGCTGGTCTCGAACTCCTGTCCTCAAATGATCCGCCTGCCTCAGCCTCCCAAAGTGCTGGGATTACAAGCATGAGCCACCATGCCTGGCCACTACTATATTATTATGTGTGATGATTATTAGCTTTACAATTTAGTCTAATCCACAAGTTGCACAATATTGAGACCAGATTCCAACAGAACTAGAGAAGGAAGAGAACAAAGGTATTGAACTTAGAGCTATGAGGCTTTGGATTGTCAGGAAAGTTGAATATATTTTCTGTCATGAGTGACAGTAACATGTTAGGTGGGAGCATTTTGTGGAGGAAAAGCCTGTAAATTTAGGAAGAAAGGCATATGTGAATATTGGGCAGCCAAAGGGGTGGGTCCCCTCGAGTGGGTCCCCCCACCCTTTTTTAACCTAGCATCTGAACACTTCCTGATAGGGAGACTGTCCTCAAACAGGGTAAATATTGGTGGAACAGTTTTAGCTTTTAATATGGAAGTCTAAGGGACTATGCTCTTCCCTCCCATCTCTGACAACTAGTGCCTGGACACATGTCCTACTCTTAGTGTCGTTAAATGATACTCCATGAGTTTTGAATCTTGAGGGAGTGAAGTGAAGATGGAGGAAAAGTTGGGAAATTACTCTCAGTGATGTTCATGCCGGAGTCTAGCAGCATGTGGTGCTAGCAGCAGTGCCTTAACGAAGCATTCCTGTGTTTCCTGAAACTGATGTTCCTTAATTCCTCAGCCTTCCTATTGATCCTGTAAACTACCGAATATCCCTGGAATCAGTGCATTTTTCTTCTCGGGTTAGCTGGACTCAGACTCCACACACTGAGGGACTGCAGAAAATCAAAGACTCAAGGGAGGAGAGTATTCCCTGCAGTCCAGGGTGGAGAAGCACTCTCTAAACCTTATACAGAGGAGAGGGCTTCTGGCTCCGTATTGGTTGGAGGGGACACTGTTTCCTACAGGCCCATTTTATGGACTCTGATCACAAAGCAGACCCGTTTGTCAGGACAACTGGGGTGGTTATTGACTTGCCAGACCAGTCGCCCAGAAATCCAAAGGAATCAGTCCCCTGAACCCCTACCCTGCCTCCAAGGACCATAAAGTCAGAGAAGTATAGAAGTTTCGGCTCCCTGGGGAGGAGGAGCCAGGGCTGGGTTAGCTCCTCGCCCCGCCCCATAACTCCTGGAGATTCCAAAGATGTGCAGAGGGAGTTGCAGGGCCGACTGTGATGAAGCTTACAGCACTGCCACAGGGAATTTCCAAGTGACAGGGACCCCAGGGTGCTTCTCCTCAACGGAAATTAACAGCACCTGAGCTCTCGTGGCCTTGCCCTTGCCCCGATCCTTCAGGGAGGCTGCGAGCTGGGCAAGAGAACTCCAGGGGGATGGCAGGGGGAGTGTGTGTTTCCCCTTCCAGGTTCTCGCCTTCGAAGTCCGCGCCTTGGAATCGTGCGCCCCATCCTCCGGTCGCAGGGCAAATCCTGACCCAAAGGACCCAGCCCTTTTCACGCTTTTCCTAGCGCCTGCCCTTCTGCTGCTGGCAGCTCCGGATCCGGGCGCCGCGCGGTGCCGGGTCGGCTTCAGCCCAGCGCTGCTCGCCAGCCTCTGCCGCGCAATCGTCAGGCGCCAATTCACTACCGCGACGGGCCCGGGTTGAGCTGGGAAGGGCCTGGTGCCCTGTGCGGTGCCCTCGGAGCCCTGGGGCGGCCTCCGCGTAGTCACGAGGTCTCCCACCTCATTCTAGAAATGAGACTCCGGGAGCCCGTCGGGAAAAGCAAGGGGTGCAAGACCCAGGCGTCCTGGAGGCCGTGGCCCGGGTCTGGGGTCCCAGGAAGGGATCGTCCACAAGCGAACCCCACGGCAGACATCATCGAGGCTCAACCCGCCTGAGACATGTGGCCCTGAAGCTCAGGAATCAAGAGACAGCCCCTCTCTGCCAGGGACGGGGACACCACCACTCAGGCCGCCTCCGCAGTCCAGGAAAGCGCGGCGGGGCCGGTTCCTTGTCCACGCGGTCTGGCGGAGCCCTCGCCCCTGGAGAAAGAGTCAGGTTTGGCCGAATTCTCCAGCTGCTGTGGCGACCGTGGGGTTAGAGTCGCACCACCCCTCGCGGAGCCCTGGTCTGGAGTCCGAGCTGACTGGAGGCTCGAGTCTGGGGACTCGTCAGAGCCAAACAGATGGCTACGGGCTGTGTGTTTTTCCCTGCACCCCTGCCGCGCCCTTCCACACCCTAGAGGGCCAGATTTGGAGGGCGACGGTGCAAGATGTCCCTGCCCTCCGGAAGAGGTTTATATTCGGCCTCCTGGATGCCGGCGGGGCTGCGCTTCAAAATGAGAGCAGATTTCTCGTCTTTTCACAAATCTGGTGAATTACATCTCGGCATCTAGCCCGGCCCGGCCCGGACAAGTCCTTGTGGTGGGGTGTGGGGTGGGGCGCTTCTGGGTCATTTACTAACAAGCCCTCCCCCCGCCCCCCACCAGCTTGCCGCAGGGCACAGAGCGGCCTGGGCACAGTGAGGCTGGAGGGAAGCGAGTTTTTCTCACTTACGGGCTGTCTCCAGCGCATGGCCTGGCACCTCCATGCAGGTGTCCCTTGGCAGCTCAGGAGCTCAGTGGATCTCTGTGAACGTTTGTGCTTGGCTTCTTCTGGAGGTGACACCCCAAGACAAGCCAGGACATCAGGCTGCTGTGTGGAGGGGACAGTACAACCCACCCCAGGGCGGAAGGCTCAGGGATGGCTAGGGGCACCTCCCTGGAACTGAAGGTTCTGCTCATTTAGTGCAAGCAAAGACTCCAGGCCTTCCAAAGATCTGTTTCTTCAGCCCATCTCCCACCCAGACAATCCCATCCCCCTGCTCGACTTTACATGGAGGGAGAGAAGCCAGTCTTGCAGAGTCCAGGCTGAATGGAGTCCCACAGGCACTGGAAACCTTGGGGCTTCTATGGGGTTAATAAATTGGTTCCTCCATATTCTTTTGCCCACTCCTCTGCAGAATTCGCCCCAGGGCAATAATCACAATAACCATACCACCGCTGCGCTGCACCCAATTTCTGGCCTGAGATGGGAAAGGGAGAGAAGTCAAAGCCTGCAGATGTGAAGCCTCTGATTCCCAAAATGGGTACAAGAATACAACTGTGTGTCTGTGAGCTTTCATGGCTGGGCTTGCGAACAGGTGTGCCAATGTGCGGGGGCCGATTTTCTCTGACAGCAAGTGAATGGTGAGGGACCATGAAACCCCTATGCATTTTCCTATGAACCTGTTGGACAGGCCTCCCCAGTCTGTGCAATCAGGTGTGGCCACCTGGGAACAAGGTGATTGCATGTGATCCTGAGATTCCCTAGGCCAAAGGTAAGGGAAAGCTGCCCCTCAACTTCCCTCCAGAAATTGAGGGTCTGGGAATGAGGTGTGGAGGGTAGAGCCCCTGAGATTTGTAGGACTCACCCTGAGGGCCCCAGGAAGTCCTGAGTGTGGAAAACCCAGGCCACAACACCTTGGGCTGCTCTATGCCATTCCTGGAGCATCTGTGAAGAGCCAAGTGCTTTTACCTGAGTTATCTCCTTAATCCCCTTAATCCAGGTTAATTACAGGTTGGTCCTGTAATATGGGCAAGGAAATTGCAAGATCCTAAAACTTAATGAACTTACTCAAGGCTGGACAGCAGAGAAGCCAGGCTTAACATTTAGGCTGATCTTCAAAGACACTTCAACAGCTGCTTGGGGCTGAAAGAGGGTTTTTGGAAGAGGGCAGGTGCAGAAGGAGAGGGGATCTGGCATCAGAGGAGCAGTGCCAGGAACACGGAAAATAGCAGGACATAAAACACTGGGATTGGTGAGGCCTGTGGCATGTGGACAGTGCATTCTAAAATGTCTTATCAATGCTCTGGGAAAAAGAAAAGCCAAAACAGCCTATCAGAAGGGGATATTATTTGTGTCCCTATTTTTCATTTCTTTAAATAAAATGGAAAAATGCTCTTAAGCAAATAAAACAAGATTACAAGTCATGTTTGGCAGGCAACTTTAAAACCCTAGGATTAGATCTTAGATGTGGGGAAGTAGTTTAAGACCTTGATGCCTGAAGCAGTGTCAACATTACCAAAAGATTATTCTAAATGTGCAATCTCATCAAGATTCATCTCATCAGGCCCCATCAAGATCTAATGAATGAGAATCCACATTTTAACAAGATCCTTGGATGATTTTTGCACACACAAAAGTTTAAGACACTGGCAGGGGCTATTTGTATATAAATGAATACACCTTATATAGTATACAAAAGAGCCTTCCAGGGATGTTCCCCTACCCCCACCTCCCGTATCGTGTAGAAGGTGAGGGAAGGAGGCAAGGCCAAGCTCACCCGCTCGGTTCTTTCTTTCTTTCTTTTTTCTTTCTTTCTTTCTTTCTTTCTTTCTTTCTTTCTTTCTTTCTTTCTTCTTTCTTTCTTTTCTTTCGTTCTTCTTTCTTTCTGACAAGGTCTCACTCTGTCACCCAGGCTGGAGTGTACTGTCATTATCACAGTTCATTGCAGCCTTGACCTCCCAGGCTCAGGCAATCCTCCCACCTCAGCCTTCGGAGTAGCTAGGACTACAGCCGTGTGCCACCATGCCCGGCCTAAATATATAGCTGGGGGGGTCTCATCATGTTGCCCAGGCTGTTCTCGAACTCCTGGGCTCAAGCGATCCTCCCACCTTGGCCTCCCAAAGTGCTGGGACTCTAAGTGTGAGCCACCACGCCTGGCCTGCCATACTCTTTCTTTTTATAGTTTGATTGAATCTTACTAAGAGGTCACCAAGAAAACCTCTGGTAACTCCCTGACCTTCAAGTCTCACCCTCCTACCCACCTCAGCTCACTCCCCGATCCTCCAATCCACAGAGCAGATGGACAAGGAGAGGAAGGATTTTCCTTTCTGGTTCTCTGTTCCTTTGACTAATAAAGTGTGATTCATTGGCTTCTATTTTTAACTTTCTGTCAGTTTGAGTCCTTCCATTTTCTTGACCCAGAGAAGGGAGGGGAAGAGGTGAAAGTGCACGGAACCCCCTTCCAATCCCACAAGGCTTCAAGCCCTGCTGGGAAGACGTAGAGTGTGCGCTTGCAGTCAGTGCGGGGGAAGAGGGGGCGGCCACAGAGGCCTGGCAGAGTGGGGCCTGGAAGCCAGGCGCCTCACGGGGAGGAAGGTTCCAGTAGACTGGATGGGACTGAAGGCGATTTTCCCAGAGCTCTAGAGGACAAACACCCAGCCCCCCTCTAGACTAAGAGCTCCCTCCATAAAGCCAAATCTGACAGGAGTCTGGTAGGGTCTCATCTCCAATTCTCACTAATTCCATGATACTCCAGGACTCGGCCATCCCTCTCAAAGACCGTGGCTCTAGAGTTAGACCTCATGGTTGGAATGCTGGCCTCACTGTTTACCAGCCGCGGGCTCTCAGGCAAGCTGCTCAACCTCCGCCTCCCTGGTTCAGGCGATTCTCCTGCCTCAGCCTCTGGAGTACCTGGGATTACAGGCGCCCGCCGCCACTTCCGGCTAATTTTTGTATTTTTAGTAGAAACGGGGTTTCACCATGTTGGCCAGGCTGATCACGAACTCCTGACCTCAAGTGATCCGCCCGCCTCTGCCTCCCAAACTGCTGAGATTACAGGCGTGAGCCACCGCGCCTGGCCCCTGCTTAGTCTCTTTAAACTTCAATTTTCGTTATGTATAAAGCAGGGATAAAAATACCACTACCTCATAAGGTAGTTGCTAGGCATGAATTAGTACTCTTAAAGCATAGTGCAGTGCCTGGCACCAGCATATGCTCCATAACATTGCTCGCTAGTGTGATTATCATTCGTATTTTCCAACCTAGTCAGTAACAGCCACCCCTGCATTTCCGAGGGTGCCACGGAGAATACAAGCTCCCAGAGCCTCGGCTCGAAGTGCCTTGCTACGCGCGGCCCCTAGAGGGCGCCCAGAACTCACTCGTTCTGGGTTTCTGTGACCAAGTCCCAGGTCCAGCTCCCACTTCTGGGTGGCTGCTGAATCACGGCCGCGGCCTCCAGCTTTTGGGTCTTTTGGCTCTTCTCGCAGCAACCAAAGAAATGTGGGTTCTGGGTCCGTAGGGCATAAAACAGGAGGGGCAGGAGCAGCTCCCACCAAAGCCTTTCCCCAAGGAGGCACACAGTGGCAGGGGGCCCCCCGCACCCCTCACAATCTTCTCGCACACAAGGAGGCCAGATTTCCCCAGGCTTTGGGCAGGCAGTGGCGGCCGCTGGACCTTCTGGGCCTTGCTAGGGTCCTCAGCCAGTATCTAAGGTGGCCGCTGCTATCCCCAAGCTCAGCCTTAGGCACATGGGGTTCCCTTACCACCCGAGCTGCAGGGCTGGAACCTGAAGCCAGCTCCTAAGACAACCCCCACCCCCAGGCCAGCTGGGAATGGAGTTAGATCCTCCTCTGTAGGGGCTGGGGGAGGAGGGAAGGAGAGGAGGGGTGTCCAGGGGTAACCACTTACAGGAGGTGGCCTGGTCAGGTGTGAGCTTGCACCAGCAGTGCAGGCTCTGTGTGTGCCTGGCACAGCACACCTGTAGCTCCCCTCGTGTAACACTGCACACCCTGATTGTTGCATAGTTGAAGGAGGTATGTGAGGTTGTACCCAGCAATGCAGGCTGTGAGTGGGGGCATGTGAATTGTACCCACCCCTCAACAAAATGTAGGTACCCCATCACTCCCTGGAACTCACCCAGCCCTTCCTCACACCCCAACCTGCCACCCCTCACCCCTATCATGCACAGTCTTTGGAGTCTGCTCTGAGCTCCTTGGAAAACCTGACCTGACTCCAGCCTCTGCTCAGCCTGTTCCTATCAGATTCTCCAGGATAAGACATCCAGGTGAGGGTTCCGGGGTGGGAGGGGCCTCCCTGGGCCAACCAGGCCAGAGCTGAATGGGGGCAGAAGGCATTGGATGGGCCCTTTTGAGCCACGCAGGGAACGTGGTGGCAGCTCCTGCCAGTTGCTTGGCAACAGCCTGGCTGTGGAACTTCAAACTCTGAGCTGATCTGGAGGGTCTGGGGGCCCTGGTAGGGAGCAGGACTGGGGGGCTGTGTGGGAGTGACACATAAGTGTGAAAGTGGGCATGAGGGCAGCAGAAGGAGTAAAGCATGAGGGAGGAGGTCTCCTCTGGCACCTGAGCTGAAGGGCCCTCAGGGCAGCCCCAAGGCCGCAGCCTCCCGGTTGCCCTGCAGCCTGGCTGCTGAGTCCCAGCTGCTTCAGCTGGCTAGAGGTCCTTACTTAGTTGTCTCAAGCACCTGAAGCCTACCTTGCCCACCTGCGAGTCACTCGCCCCACAAGCAGGGCACCCATCTGAGTCCTGTGCCCAGGGCAAACCCCACAACTGCCTGGTAGTGGAGCCACGACAGGGCAGTCAGTGCTCAGGAGGTGCCACACAGCCCCCAAGCACAGATGCGGCCACACAAAGCCGCTATTATAGTTAACAGGTTGAGCCAGATTCTCTGTGTGCCACCCACCGCACTGCACAGGGCCTCTAGGACCCCATCCCTGCCTGGGTTCCTGGGGCCCCTCAGGCCGCCACCCACTCAACCAGAGGGCCAGATCTGAGGGGCAGGGCTCGCTGGCCGCAGGAATTTGGTGATTGCCGTCGGTTCTGAAGCCAAAGAAGGAAGCAGACCTCTCCGCGCAGGCAGGTTTGTTAATTCCCCTTCTCTCCCGGCACCTCTGCGAACAATTATTCCGATCGTTCTTTTTCTATTTTTGAACAGAGACGGGTCATTTCCGGCAGGGGAGGTAGAGGGAGAGTTTCGAGCTTTCTGTTGTGAGTAGTTGGCCTTGACTGTGACCCTCGCAGCCCCCCTCCCCTCCAGCCTCCGCCCCACTTGGGACGGAGTTTGCGGGTCCAGCCGCCACACCGGCCTTTCTCCCTGGCCGCGGCGCTCGGCGGACGCGGGATCCGCTGAGATTCCGTCTCAACGAATTCCGGGCGGAGAGGCGGGAGTCCTGCGTGTCCCGCCGCGCCGCGGGTCCCAGCGTCCCCAGGAGTCTGGCATCCCCGGGAGGCCTAGCCCAAGGGCAGGAGAGTCAGCGGGGCCCTACTGAAAGTGCACGACCCGGGCAGCCGGCGGCCGAACAGCTCCGGGAGCAGGCGAGCGGTATCCGGGAAGCTCAAAGGCCGCCCCCCGGACGCCCCAGGCCCCAGCGCTGGGATTGTACCTACCTGCGGAATGTCCTCTTCTGCATGAGTCCGCGTCGAGCTGGGCAGGGTCCGAGAGCTGCCGGGCTGAGGGCTCCGGCCTGCATGTGCTCTCCGCGGTTAGTGAGTGTGAGCCCTGTGATGTTCCTGAAGATGGGGGCTGGGGGGGAGGGAGGGTAGGAGGTGTTTTGGGGGACAGGGGTGTTGGGCCTAACTGTGCTCAAGAGAGGATGGGAGCGGGGGTGGAGAGCCCAGGCTTGGGAGCCAGCTTGGGGCTGCTGTGTTTGGGCCGGCCAGCCGCTCCCCACCTAACCCCTGTTCCTCTGTTAGGCAATCTGTGTCCAGAAAATGCTCGGAGTTCTCCGGACACAGCAGCCTCTAGAGGCGGTCTTGGGGAATTGGGAGGCGGGAAGAAGGCCACAGTCTCCCCTGGGGTCCTGCTGTGTGATCTGCGCCGGCCGGGAAGCATTGATCTTGAGTCCAAAAGAGGAGAGAAATCGCACCCCGAGAAGAAGGCGCGAGCTCGGTGGCTCCAGTCCTGCGGGAGCAGAGGGGACAGCAGACCTGCCCAGGTAGAGGGAGACGACTTCTGAGGTGCTGGAGGCTATTTCTGGATTTTGCGCGGCCTGGCGCTGGGTGCCACAGCCGGTGAATGCGGGAGACCTGCAGCAGACCCGGCGCTGCCGCCAGAACCTGCTCACTACGCTCCACACAGCTCGTCAGGGCCCAACCTGAGCACTCCGCGGGCCTGCGGGGATGGGGCGGAAAGGCTGGCTGCTGTCTTCGGACCCTGAACCCTCCCCTCTTTTTCTCTTTTCTTCATGTCTACACAAAGTGAGTGACAGAAGCCCCCTCTTATGCGGATATCCCAGGGGACCCCAGATGAGGGGGTGGATGACCAAGCCCACCCTCCACTCAGCCGAACTTCCCCATGGGCTTGCTGGGGTGGGAAGTTGCTGTGCTCACGACCTGTGTCACAGCCCTCATGGCTGCCGGGCAGGGGCAGGGTTGGGGGACAGTGGTTCTGACAGTTAGGGTGGCTCCCCACCCTCAGTATCCCGCAAACACTTCTGCAGAGCTTCCAGTGACCCCCACACCACGAACTTCCACTTTCAGCTGAAAAGTTCTCTCACTCTCCCATCCCAGAGAAAAAGCCTCTTACCCCTCCATTTCAACTCACCCCTAGGGTGATGAGTTCTGTAGACCCTCCACCACACAGCTTCTTCCAGAAAAGCAGACCCAAGTCAGTCTTGTCTAGGATAATTCGAATAGGCTGGGGACTGGCTGTTATGCCTGTGTGCATGTGTACTGTGGCTGCAGGTCTGGCAAGGGTGGTCTGGAGGGCTCCTGGAGGTTCCCAGAAAGTCAATTCTTTAGATCTCTCCTAGGCCAGGCTAGTGCTGGGAACTGGTAGGTCCCACTTACAGCACCAGAGAGGATTCTGGCCTTAATTTCTGATTCAATGTGCCCCAGTCTCTGCAGCTTGCTGGGTAAGCGTCTAGAGCCCCAGAACTTCAGCAGATGTTGGTCCCGCCACAATGTATCTGCGTATCGCACAACAGACTCCCACCAACACATACACCATCAGCACACAATTACACACACTCATACAGAACCATACCCACCCACTTGCAGTGATGGTCTCCCACAGTGATCCACACTCCCCACTACCTTTACTCCCCCAATTACATTCTGTCACACACAAGTAAATACAGGGAAAATGCACAGCTCACACATAATTACATCTCACACACAATTACACCCATAAAATTCAAGATGATCCACTTCAGAAGCAGTCACACATTTCACAGAAAAATAGATTTACAAAGAGAAACTAATACATATTCTCCCAAACATCAACACGATTCATACATAATCACAAACAATGGTTGATTACACAATTACCCAAAAAGAAACAGTCACATTCACATACGGTTACACACACACCACTACAAGCCCGTGCATACAATGATAGTTTCGATTTGCAACTTAAGCAGAAACAAGCATTTACACGCAAGAATTGCAAACACAATTATACACTTAAATACCATTATAAATATTCACTATTTGCTCGCATTGCTGATTGCTCACATTATCACAAACACACCACACACACACACACACACACACACACACACACGACTCTCACATCCAAAGAAATCCACATCCTCTCAGGCACTGGTAATCCCAGGAGAGCCTGGCTCTCCCTGCTCTCCTCAACTCTGCCTTCTCTCCATCTGTCCTCTTCCTTTCCTCTCTCCAGAGCCTTAGGGTCCTGCCCCGCAACATGTCTCTCAAGTTCAGGTACCAAGGGCTGCCCCTGAAGCATCAGCTCACACACCAAACCCAAGTAGCTGAAGGACGCTAGGGTCCGCAAGGAGCAGGCAGCCCTGACTCCGGATCCGGAGGCTTTTATTTATTTTTTTCACATAAATTACACAAGCACTTTATAAAATGGTTACACAGAAAACACCTTATAAGTGCATAAATTAACACCCCCCCACCCCTCAAATGGGTTCTGGAGAAATGGGCTGCATTTATGTGAAAACCTGTCTGTGCGTACCTGGATTGGGCTGGGATGTGTGGTGGGGGCCTGGCAGACCAAGTGAGGCTGTTGTAGCTGTTGGCTGTTGTGTGTGGTGTAGTGTGTCACAGTGTGGCCATGACCTTGTGTTTGTGCTGGAGGGAGTGCCATGCTGTTCAGGATGAGTCTGTGTCACCCCTGACCTGTGCCTGATCGTAAGGTCCAAAGTGTAAACACTGTGACCCTCTGTCTGGTTGACACTCTCCCATAGATGCCCATGTGTGGCTCTGGGGTGACACCAGGAGGGACAGTGACACCACCTGTGTGTGGGCCTATGGGTTTCCATGTGTGTGATGAGAAGTGGGTCACAGAGAAGGGGTTTCCCAGGGCAAATTCAGATGACAGCCCTGGGGACCCCAGAAGCTCCTCCTCCCTTACCTCCCTTGCCTTTCTCTGAATCCCACGTTAAAAATTAAAATAAAATGAAATAAACAAAAACAGATTTCTTAACAGTTCAGACAGGTGCGGGACGCCTCTGGGAGGGGGGCGCGTGTCCTTGTCCCTTGAGCTCTTCCACCGAAGGGAGAACAGTGTCGGCACAAATGTGGGGGCCCTTCGGGGCCGTGCGAGGGCAGTGTTCCCCTCCTGGGTGCAGTCTGAGGCCAGGAGGGTGGGGAGGAGTCCTGGGTCTCAGGCCTCAGTGACCCCTGAGTGGGCCTGGGGTCCCACAGGGCAGAATGGGCAGGCTCACTCGCAGGCCGACGCCACCGACGTGACGCTAGTGATTTTGGTCGAGTCGTCAGACCACGGCTGCAGATTCTGCAGGGCGAAGAGCGACGAGTTGTGCACGCACAGAGGGTCAGCGGGCAGCGGCTGTGCCAGGCTCTTCTGGAAGGCCTCCTGCTGCAACTGCAGGAGGATGCGGTTCGCTTGCTGCCTCTCGGCCTCCCGTTCCTCCGCAGTCTGCCGTCTGCACCGGGAACAAGCCGTTACCTGCCAGGAGCACCGACCCAGCTCCCGCGTGTGCCCAACTCCTGGTGCGTTCCCAGGAGATAAACTGAACGAGCGCTGCTCGCCTTTGCAGTCCCCAAATCCAGTTTGGGCCCCTATAACGCGTTCCCTTCTTTTGAGAGTCCTGACTCCAACAAAGACTGGAAACCCCAAAGCGGATGGAGCCAAGGTATCCCAGAGGAGGAGCGATGGGAAAGTCTGCGAGGCCCAAACAGCTGGGACTCGCATCCACGCGCAGCGCCCACACCCCGGAGGCCTCACAAGGGGCAGCCGGGGTAGGATGGCATCTCGCCTCCCCCTCCCCGGCCCTGAGGGAGACCAGGTGCCATTCCAAGCCAGAGGGCCCTCACCCTACCCACAAGTCCAGGGCAGAGAGGCAAGGACCAGCGGGTACGATCTGCTCTGCGGGACGTCTCTTTCCTCCCTCTCTCTGCGAATGTCTTCTAGGACTTGGGCCTTCTGTGTGGAGCCCTGTGCCCTACCGGGGCTCCTGCTGGACCCACTGGCTTCCTCTGAGGCAGTTCAGGGAGGCGATGACTCACTTATTCCATTTACTGCCGCCCCTCCACCCTGTCAACTGAGATCAAACGTCTGTCTCTAAGGTGGACAGACCTAATGGGAGTCCCTGGGGCCTTCAGAAGCAATTTGTAGGCGATCGATGAAGCCATGCGAAGCCTGCAAGGGCCTCTTCCAGCAGCGGCTGCTGACCTGCTCTGGGCCGCCTTTTCTTGACTCTGTGTATCTTTCCGTCTTTCGTCTTTCCCTTATCCCCTGCATTTCAAACGGCCTGAATATTTCTCTTTTAGGCTTTGTGTCTTATCTCTCGTTTTCTCTCCTCCCCACCCACTTGGTTCTCTCTGAATTAAAGGAATTTGTTTGAAAAGAAAATGGTGGTTTCAGTCATCCATTGCTTTTTCTTTATTATACATAAATAAGACTTCTGCAGGCTGCCTGTTTTTCTCCTTTTTTTTCCTTGAGCGGGGTCCCTATCCCTCTCCACCTCTGAAACTGGTTGTGTTTCAGTTTCTCTCTTTGCCTGCCTCTTTCTTTCTCTGTGCCCCTCTCTCTGGGAGGCCTGCCAGGCTGCCTCTCCTCCCCTAGGCCAGCAGCCCTCAGTAGGCCTTGGAAACCGGAGTCCCCCCAACCCCCGAGCTAGCCCTGGCTCCCTCTTTAGCGTTCCAAGGTCTGAGGCCGCATCCCCCACTCCTTTCCCAGCGTCAGAAATGTTGTGGTAGAATCGTGGGGCCATGGCTTCCTTTGTGGCCCCGTAGGCGGAATCCCAGGCAGATTCCTCGCCTTCGTTCAGAAAAAGAGGAAACTCCAATTCCTTCCTCCTGCCCCAAGGCCCGCCCGTCTCGGCGCCGCCGACTTCGCCCAGACTCTCCCGCGCTACCCCATGGGGCCTGAGCTAGGGGAGAAACTCCGGCGGGCAAGGGCCAGATGTGCGGGAGGGTGCAGCGTGCCAGAGGGTGCAGCGTGCCAGAGGGTGCAGCCGGAGAAAGCGTCAGTGCGCGCGGAGAGGGAGGCTGCTCGAGAGTGTTGGGGACGCTTCACGTCCGTGAGCGTAAATGTGAAAAAACAAAACAAAACAAAAAGCCCATTGCGTAGTAACTAGAGTTGTGGCTATGGGAGAAGGAAAATTCTCTTTCTCACACACACCCATCTGCTCCTAATTGATTCCCCTTCCAGTGGGACCCGCGAAACCCCGCCGCAGCCGGCGCGGATTGATTTTCTCCTTCCAGGGTAGGGACCGGCTGCGCAAAGGCCGGGTGTCTGGGGGAGGAGACCGTCAGCAGGGCCGCGGTCTGGGGCCACAGACCCTCTGCCGGGAGCCCGGCTGGAGCGCTGCAACAAGGTGCGGGCTGTTCTGCATCCAGTCTCCAGGACAGAGCAGGATTCCATAAGCAAGAGTTTGCGCAAACAAAAAGCTCCCCAGGACTCACAGATCCCTGGAGCCTGGACTGCGTGGAGTGCACTAACCCGCCTGTTTGCCCAAGCGGCGGAATAGACCTGCCGCGTCTACACCGGCAGAGAGTGTGCCAACCAGAAAGCCCTGAAGCCTCCGGTAAAACAGAGCCAGGGCTCTTCAGCCCCATCCCAGCTATCGGCCTCGGTTGCTTCCAGCTCCCCGCAAGCCTAGCGGGAGCTCGCTCCTCCGAAAGGATCAGAAACCGCGAGCGGAAAAAGTATGTGCGCCCCACGAGAGGCCAATGAACCGAGAGCTGCCTGAGACCGCGCCGCTCGCGGGCGGCCGGCCCGCCCCGCTTGCTCACCTCCACTTTGTCCGCCGGTTCTGGAACCAGGTTTTGACCTGCGCATCGGTCATTTTGAGCGCCTTGGCCAGGGCGGCGCGCTCGGCCGAGGCCAGGTACTTCTGGCGGTGGAAGCGCTTCTCCAGCTCGCAGATCTGCAGGCGTGTGAAGGACGTGCGCGGCTTCTTCTTCTTGGGGGGCGTCCGGTTCTGATAGGGGTGACCTATACGGCGTGTTACAGTGAAGGGTGAGAGGGCCACTGGAGCGGGAGACAGACAGACGGCAGAGGCAAGCAGCAGAGCGTCAGGAAGCGTCCCAGGCCCAACACCCCGCGAGTCAGCGAGCGCAGCAGCTGAACCCCCACGAGCAGGGCCGAGATCCTCCCGTTAGCCCTCAGCGACAAGCCCACGGCGGGAAACGGCCTCCTCCTGCCCGCCAGTCCGACGCCGCCGTCGCCGCTACCACGGAGGCCTCCCTGGCCCCGGGCTCCCGCGAGCCCAACCACCTCCCTGCCGCCTCTCCTCCAGGGGCAGTCTAAGGCGAGCTAATGGTCACGCTCCCCTCCCCTCAGTCAGCCCCAGGCCTTCAGGCTCAGAGTAAGAGGCCGAGCCTGACTCTGGAACCCGACCTGAGCCTCCATCCACAGCAGCACACACCAACACAACGTACAACGGGGGCAAACTCACAGATCTATACACCCAAACAGGACCAGACAAGCACAGGCACGGGACAAGCACACAGGACACAGAGCAAAACAAGGCCACAGCCATACACTCGCTGAAACCGCCTTCATGCCTGACACAGTATTAGGGCCCCGCGGTAGGCCCTAAACCGAGTACCTTTCACCAGAGGCCCAGGATTAGTGGACTCCCGGCTGGGTTTCCAGCAGGGCCCTTCAAGACTGGCCTGGCCTGGGTGGGGAATGGGATGGGCACCAGGCCCTGCTGCCCCAGGCCAGAGAAAACTTAGGTTGGGGGCACTGGGACCCCTCTAGGGAGGGCCCTTCCTGAGGCCTAGACCCAAGCAACTGTTCTTCCTCTGGACACCAGCCTCCACACCACTTCTGCCGTGGCCCCAGAGTCTGGTAAGAAGCTGCAGAAGCAGTTTCCCTGGCTGTGCTGCTGCCTGGAACAGAAGCAGGAAGCCAGGGGTGCTTTGGAATCTCCTGGCCCAGTATCTAGCTCTCAGCAGCTTCTCCCAAGTAGTTATGTAAACCCCCCTTCCACTGTTGGGCCCTTGAACCGGGGGACCCCCAGGAGGCCCCATCTCTGCCAGCAGCAGCCAGTGCCTCCTGCCTCCTCTCTCTAAGATCGGCTGGCTAACCTGGGCTCAATTTGTGGCTGCTTCCCAGCCCGGACGGAAGGATCGTGGTCTAGGATCCAGGGAACCCTAAGGGGAGCAGAAAGTGAGAACGGGGGAAGGGATCCACGCCAGAGGGAGAGTTGAGTGCCCAGAGTGGAAACGGGAGCAGAGGGAGCCAGGGCCAGCAGAGGAAGGCGGGAGCGGGCAGCAGAGAAGGCGGCAGCGGCCACCACTTAGTACCCAATGTCCCGGGAGTAGTCTTCCCGCCACCGATCACCAGCCTACCGGTGCATTGTTCGTGCCCAAGATAACAGGGCTGGGCCCGGGGTAGGACACCCAGCCGGGAGAGAACGAAAATGAAAAGCTAGCTGTCCTGGGCGGCTAAGCCCCGCTGCCATCCTCCCAGATGAAGCCTGCTCTCCGGAAAAAAAAAAAAAGGCCACTGGTTCTGCTGATTTACCGGGGCTCAGAGCCCCCACTGGCCCCGCAGCACCACGGGCACCGGAGCTAGGGGCGCGAAGTGCATGTGTGTAGGGGACTGGAGGTGGGGGAACCTGTTCTTTTCTTGTGTCTGATCCTGGGGCTCGCTTCCTGGGTCCTAGAACAGCAGCCAGGACGGAAGAAACTGTTCACGTTGCACCCCTTTCTCTAAGATTCCCAGGCCAAGAGTAGCTGCAGAAGGTGGTCCTGAATCTATGGCCTCCTTCTCTCTGCCTGACCCGGCTAGTGGATCCGGAGAGGGGACCAGGGAGAGCTCCTCCGAGCAGGGGTCCTTCGGGAGACAGAGAGGGGTCCAGGCTGAGAGAACTCTTCAAGCATGGCGAGTCTGCGTTATAGAATCGGGCGGGCGGCTCAACTTGGGGGAAGCACCAAGAAGAGCTGGGCGACCTGGAGCGCAGAACCGGCTTTGGGGAGCCACCCGGCGGGGCAGGGGTAGCACGGAGCCCGGGCCGCGGCCAGGCGGGGAGCGCGCGGGCCGGACTCACCTGTGAACCTGTCCTTTGTGTATCTGCGGTTACTCTCCATCCAGGGGAAGGTGAGGCCAGTGAGGTTGTTGACGCCCGGCATGGCAGGCACAGAGGGCACGGTGGGCAAGCCGGTGGCCAGGGGCTGGGGGTGGGCCACGGCTCCGGCGAGCGGCCTGTGTGCCGGCACCCGGATTACCCCCGCAGCGCTGAGTGCCCCGGCACCGCCGCTGCTGCCGCCGCCGCCGCCAGGACCGGGGCCGCCTGCCAAGGCCATGTTCACGTTGTAGGAGCCGGTCAGAGGACCCATGCTGCAGGCGCCGCCGCCGCCTGCCGGGCCTCCGGGGCCGCCGGGACCTCCAGTACCATAGGCCCCCGCTCCTCCAGCCCCCGTCGCGGCCGCGGAGCCCCCGCCGCCGTAAGTGTAGGCGCCTCCGACCAAGCAGCCAAGGCCGTATTCTCCGTCCTGGAGGCGCGAGGCGGGTCCCATGCAGCCACCCTGGTCCGGGCTGTTGAGGATCTGGTCGATGCCGAAGCTAATGGGCTCTGCGTGACCCGGGTGGAGGTGGTGCGGACCCAGGTGCTCCATGCTGGCCCTGGCCCCACCGGGGGGCCCGGGCGGCGGCGCTCGCTGCGCTCGGCTCGGGGGGCAGCTAGCAGGGGCTGGGAGGCAACAGCGGCTCCTGGCTGCGCGGAGACTTGGAAGCGAAGTGCGCAGAAAGGCTAAAGTAGAAGGGGGAGGGGAGGGAGAGAGGGGGCGCCGTATTCTTCCCCTCTCTGGCTTCTGCTTCCCCGCTCCGGCTGCTCGCTCGCTGTTGACTCTGGGACATCAATCACCAGGCGAAAAAGCCCGGTGCAAGAGAGCTTCGCGGTTTCGACTGGGTCTCTCCATTGGCTGTGCGCGGAGAGGAGCGGGGTGAATGACAGCGCGAGGGAGGGGAGGGGAGGGGGAGAGGAAGGCCAGAAGCCGAGACAGATGCAGGAGCCAGAGATAGAGGGACGGAGACCAAGACTCGGAGTAGTTCATGAAGAGAGAGAAGAGGGGAACAAGGCGAGGCTTAAAAGGAAAAGGGAAAACAGGAAGCGACCATTCCCAGAGACGGACAGACAGACAAACCCAAGGAGGGTGAAGTCAACTGTCTTCCCGGCCTGTTGGGAGCCCTCCCCTCACTTTGAACTGGGCCAAAGGAGTCCAGCCCACAAGGCGTCTGAGGAAGGGATGTCTCTGCCCAACTGGAGAATCTCCTCAAGGGCTCAGCTGCGAAACACCTGTCACTCAACCAGGAGATTTACTCCAAATTTCAAGTCCAGCTTTTTAGAAAGTAGAAGACTGTCTACTCCCCAGGTATGGAGCCCAGGCCCTGAGGCAGGACGGTGAGTTCAGGCTTGCCCTTCTTTAAAACACAGGCCTATGAACAACTGGCTATATGTTATAAAAATCAGCAACCACCCCCCAACTCAGCCTTCTTAGACAAATTCAGGAAGGGAACATATCCTGAAAGGCAGGCACAAGTCAAGAGGGTTGGTTTGGGGTCTGCTGCCAGGGTGCCCATGCCTCAACATACCCCTTTGGTTTTAAATAAACAGATGCGTCAAGAAGTAAAATCCTACAGGGTTCGAAAGAGGCAATTCCTACAGTGTTTGAATGAATTCAACCAGATTGCATTCCACCTAACAATTACCCCAGGGTTGGCTATTCCAGACAAGAAGCCTTTGGACTGTGGTGTGTGTTCTTTTCTTACGTTTGGAATCTTGGGAGGGAGCCATAGGGGCTTAAGGCCGTGGGGGCTGGGATTGGTGGGACTAGGATCAGGGAAGTGCATCCAGGACAAATTTAGGCCTTTCCAACGTTTTGCCAGTGGCTGTCTGGCTGAGAGCCCAAGAGAAAAGGAGGAAACTCCCTTTTTCTTCTTCCTGTCTTTCCCCTCTCCAGTAGAAAATGTTTGCTACCTTTTAGAAGCCAAGCTTTGGGAAAGGCACAGGTTCCATCACTTGGGATCTATTTCTGTTCTATTTCAGTTCAGTTTCAGATTAGACTTTTGGGTAGGCCCTGTCTCTATCTGGAAAGATGCTAGGATGTGAAGACTCACATTCTCTCCCATCAAGTCTTATTGCAATCTATTTGCTTTGGGCATGTCTGTCACCTCCACTTGAAGAGATCTTCTTGGAGGCAGAGAGTGGCTTATTCATTTCTGTTCTCTCCTGAAGAATACAGCCCCAAACAACAAAATATGGTCATCTTGGGTGAATAACAAAGAATGTATCTCTTTATTCAATAATATTTATTGAGTACTGTACTCACTATGTGTCAGGCACTGTTCTAGGCATGGGGGACATAGCAGTGAACAAAACAAAGGTCCTGACCTCATGAAGCTTACATTCTATAGAGGGGGTCAGACAATAAGCAAAGAAGCAAATACAACAAGACAGATGTTAGTATTATGGAGAACAATATAAACTCTACACCAATCCTTCGAGATGAGTATTCTCCCTATTTTACAGATGTGAGGAAAGTACATTTCAGAATAGCTATGATTGGTGTGGATCAATATGGAGGAGCTAGACTCAACTTGCTTTTGTGGGTTAGCCTGGAAACCTACGTGCTGGTTGGAAGTTTGTATCTGTGGGGAAAACCTTGTCTGAGCTCTAGCCAGGTGGACAAAGGCCCACTCAAGACAAAGCCAAATGTGAAATTGGTAGTTGTTTGTAAACACTAAGCAGAAGGCTGGGCATGGTGGCTCACACCTGTAATCCCAGCACTTTGGGAGGCCAAGGCGGGCAGATCACGAGGTCAGGAGATTGAGACCATCCTGGCTAACACGGTGAAACCCCGTCTCTACCAAAAGTACAAAAAATTAGCCAGGCGTGGTGGTGGGCACCTGTAGTCCCAGCTACTCAGGAAGCTGAGGCAGGAGAATGGCGTGAACCCAGGAGGCAGAGCTTGCAGTAAGCTGAGATCGCGCCACTGCACTCCAGCCTGGGCAACAGTGCAAGACTCCATCTCAAAAAACAAACAAACAAAAAAAAACACTAAGCAGAAACATGAGAGGGCTCCGCTCCCTCGCCAGTTCTCTTCTTCCCACTTACCCAATCCAGGTACTCTACCCCTTCCCAAGGAGTTCCATAACTTACTTTGGAAGTTGTCTGAACCCGAATGAATCTCTTCCTGCCTCTTATCTTGAGGGAACTAAAGCAGAAATAAATTATTTATTGAAAGACAGTTTTGTGCCAGGTACCACATCATGCTTATCTCATTTAAGACTTATAACAACCCAGGCAAGTTAATAGAAATGTCCCAATTTTTTATAATTGAGAGAATTGAATGAATGTTCATGGCAGTATTATTCATGATAGCCCAAAAGGGGAAACAACTCAGATGTCCACCAACTGATGAATAGATAAACAAAATTTGTTATATCCACACATGGAATATTATTTAGCCATAAAAAGGAAAAGAAGGGAAATGCTGGTTCATGCTATAACATGGATGAACCTAGGAGACTATTCTGCTAAGTGAAAGAAGCCAAGCACAAAGGCCACATATTGTATGATTCCACTTTTATGAAATGTCCAAAATAGGCAAATCCACAGAGGCAGAGAATAGATTAGTGGTTTTCAGGAACTGGGGGCAGCAGGGAATGGAAATTGACTGCTAATGGATACAGAATTCCTTTTGGAGTGATGAAAACATTCTGGAATGAGATAGTGGTGATGGTTACATAACTTTTAAAAATATTAAAACCCACCGAATTATACATTTTAAAGGGGCTGAATATTATAGCACATGAATTATATCTCATTTTTAAAAAGAAAAAAATGGCTGGGTGCAGTGGCCCGTGCCTGTAGTTCTAGCAGCTCTGCAGGGTGAGGCTAGAGGATCACTTGGGGCCAGGAATTTGAGCCTGAGATGTGCTATAATTGCACCTCTAGCCTGGGCAACATAGCAATGCCCCATCTCTAAAAAGAAAATGAAAACTGAGACTCAGTAAAGAGAACAAACTTGCTCCAAGTTCCATAGACAGAGAAGATTGATCTGGAATCTCAAAATCTGAGCTATTTTCCTTGTTTGAGGCTGAAAACTATGGGGAAGGGTACTGCAGCTTTTTTTGAGGCTGGGTCCTAGTGGCCTCACTCCTTTTAGTCTCACCACAGTTTTACCTGCTGCAGTTAAAACCCCATCTTTTGGTGTGGGTTGGTTGAAGGTAAAATTTATAAAACTAAATAAAATAAAATAAAATAAAATAAAATAAACCACCTATCTTTCCAGGTGCACATCTCCAGCTCAGATGGCCTTCCAACCCTTTTGGCATTTGCCTGATCTACCTCTTGAACTCCTCAGATCTGGTATCAGTTGTCCAGGGTACCTGGGAGGAGACTTTACCATTCCTGGCCCAGCTTAAGGTTGGCAGAGTCACCACTCCCTTGTACATGGCCCACTAAGACTGTCAAGCTCTTCTCATTAAAATCCAGCAGCCCAGGGATATACTGACTTTCCCCTGCGATCACAGCCGCTTCCTTGACGGATTTCTTCCTTTTTCCCCTCCTACCTTTTTTGTTTATCAGAGTCAACTTTTATCCCAATTGGGGATACTCCCAACTTTTACCCTCAATGAGGTGCTGGGATTCTGTGAGTCAGCTTAATCCCAGCCTTTGTCTTCCAATAGGGTATTTACTGAGGGCCAAGACTACCCTCTCTGTCCCTTCCTTACCTAGAAAGATGAGACTGGAGGGTCAGGATTTGCTGGGCTCTGGCGCCCACCCCTTCTCCTGAGAGCAGTGTTACCTGAGCACGGTGTTGCAAGGTTGGGAAGTTTTCTGAAACAGGAGAGGAGACTCACACAAGTTTATATTCGCTGCAGCTTCTGTGTTTCCACCGTGCTTTTGCATGCCTTGCAAAACAGCCCTGATAGGAACGAGGAGGGAGGGGAAGAAAGCAGGACTCACAGAGCAACTGCCATGTGTGAGCCACCAGAATGATCTCTCCACTCATCTTTAATCCTGTGATGTGGTTTTTGTTATCCCCATTTTACAGATGAGAAAACCAAGGCACTGAAAGCTGGAAAGGGGCAGACCAGACGCAAACACTGCTTTCTTGACTCCACTCACTACAAGCTGCTTCCTTAAGCCTAAACTTGGCTCTTGCCTCACAGGACTATCTTGCAGGAACCTAGGTGAGTTGCAGATCCTTCTCTCTGGTTCTGAGGCCACCTGGTAACACCCCTCCCCCCAAGCACCGGCTCCCCCTGGCCTGCAGAATAAAAAAGTGCCTCCAATTAAAAGAAGAGCAGCTGGGGCCAGGGCCCGGGCTGGGGGAGGAGGAAAGGACGGGCTCAGCCCAGGGGGAGGCCCCTTTGGATCCCACACAATCTCCTCCTCTTCCCCGCTCTGAAAGAGACCCCCGGGCCAGGGGTTGTCCTTTAGCTTACGGATATGTGTGGAAACTTAATTACTTTGTGTTTGTGGGGCCGTGCATCCACGAGGGGAAAGCTGGATGGGAAAGCCTGTGTGACAGTCAGGATTGAGAGGGCTGTGCAGATGTCCTGGGCATGTCTTTAAGAAATAATTTTAACAATGTATTCAATGAATAATTATAGAGCATCTAGTATGTATCAGGCACTGTGTTAGGCTGTTGGGATACAACTGCAAGCAAAATGCATGTTGGGAAGAGTGTTGGAGGAAAAGAAGGGAGTCTGGGTATTTTATACAACTGGATTTTGTCATGTGAGGATGTATGTGTCAGTGAGAATGCAAGTGAATGTGTTTTCTGCAACAAGATGAGTATGTGTTTACAACTGTTCCTCTGTAGTGAGTGCCTGTGATGGGATGAGGGCATCCCTCTGCTACGACTGCGTGCTGCAGATGGCGTGTACCATGGGAGGAGTGTCTTTTATTCCGATGGAATTGTCAGAGAAGTGGCTGTGTATGGGCCTGTGGTCGTGGGGAGGGGGACACAGGGTATACCCAATGGATATATAGTAGGGAAAGGGGGCTGAGAAATATGTAAGGGGATGTGTGACATGATGCGATCCATGGCGGGGCCAATGGGGTCTGCATTCCTAGTACCAAAAGTGTTCCCTCTACCTTCCCATTTGTCTCAGAAAAGGGGCAGAAAACTTTCCCTGCTGTGGGAGAGGCAGGATCACCTGGTGACTTAGGGACTTAGAGACCCAGTAAAGGGCACTGTAACTCCAGGAGCCCTGGGTTGGGGAGGAGGGTCTCTAGGAGCCTAGACTGAGGAGGTGGGGGGAGTGAGTAGGCCAAGTGACTCAGCTCAATGAGTCCTCGGGGTTGGGGGGGTTGTTCCAAGGCCAGCCCCCTGTCCCCCTACCCAATTCTTACATAAGATATGGAGGACCTCTCCAACACCAATGGACAGGCACACATTTTCCCATCAGTGGAGAGACCCTGAATGGATAAAGGACAGACAGACAGGAGACAGACATGTCCCTGCTGTAGGCCACACTTAGCTGTCACCTTGTGTAGGGGTACGGAGTTTTCTTCTCCTCCCCTGCCCATTCCTCTCAATCAGAGCCCAGCAGGTGGATGCTTCAGAAATAGGGTGCTTCTGTAGGGATCCCTTCCCTTCACTGTCTCCCCTCCCTGCTCGGCTTCTGACCCTAAAGGAAGCTGTTGGCCTCATTACCCCTGGGCATTGAGCTAAGGCTTCAGGCCTCTCTCTGACTAATTCCCTCCCAAGAGAGGCCCAGAGATCCTCAGATTCCACCATCCATCCAGCACTGTATTGACCATGGTGGCCTTGATTAGGGAATCTCCCATCCTGAGTCACCTCCAAGGATGCCAGAAACCTGGAAAGGGGCAGGTAGGGAGTAGGCTAAGAGAAGGCTCAGGGAAGGACAGACCCCCAGGGCCCTGCTCCCCCAGACAGCTCTCAAAGGGCTCCCTGGGCACGGAGTTCAGAGTCCCATCAGTGGGTCCCATCAGTAGGGCAGCTGAGCCTAGGACCCAGGGCTGTGGACCAGCCCCAACCTCTCTCATCCTTCGTGTCTCCCTTGGCTCCACTCTGCTGGCCAGGTGGGTCTGTGCTGGGTCCAGAAGCCAAGCCCTGCACTAAGGTGTAGGGGACGGAGAAGAAGCCAAGAGAGCACCAGCCTGCTGTGGGACCAGGCCTCTGAGGGCCCCGCTGCTTTCTAAGAACCATCCTATTCCTTCCTGGGGTTGGCCAGCTCCCTTTGCGGTCTGCAGAAAGGACCTCTACAGGTGTGCAGATCCCTCACTTTGCCTGTGCACAGTAAAACAGAGGAATGAGGCAAGCTTTCCAGCTGGGTGGGTGACGGCCCTGCAGTGGCCAGCTCTACCCAGATTTCTCATCTCAATTCCTCGCCTCTGCTGGGCGTGCAGATTTGGCCTCAGAGTAAGGGTGGGTGGAGATGCCCAAGCACAGGAAACCCAGCCTCCCAGGGGACCCAATCCTGAACTGTGGCTGAAGAGGTGGAGGTGGGGGTCATGCAGTCCCTCCTACGTGCTAGGGTCACCTTGACAGAGGCAGGTCTAGTTATTTCAGGGGGTGCTTAGGACTGTTTGCACATTGGAAGCTGCAGGCTCCTGCTGAGCCAGGGCTGGACTGTGCTGGGAGTGGAAAACTGACTGGGACACCTCCTCAAGATGAGAGAGCCTGGCTACCTAGGACTCTGCCTCCACCCGAGCCTGGTGGATGGAGTTCAGGTTTGATACTAACTTGCCAAGCTCCTCCTCCACCAGAAAAGCAAGGCGGGGTGGGGAGCGGTGGAGAAAATGGCCTCAGCTGGGGAGACCCATCTGCTGGCCGGTGGTAGTTGGGGCGGGGAGGTTAACATGTTCCCCATGGTGTCCTGACTACACACTGAAGCACAGCATATACACCAATGGTGACACACAGAAATACCCAACTCCTGAAGACTTCCAGACACAGGCTTGGCACAGAGGCAACACTCTCACACGCAGATGCACAGATGCCCACTCACCTTGCACAGGAACACGCAGACACTCCTCGGTGTGCAGTCCCCACACGTGCTCACAAAGCCTCCTTCATGCACTCATGTGCAGATGCCCACAAACACATCCATCCCACTCAGTCTCTGCAGCACAGATCCAGAACCAAACGAAACCCTCTCCCTCCGTGCACACAGCCCTATGGATGCTGGTGCACAGGTACACACAGACACACCTAACCACACTCCTACAGACTTACAGGCACGCTCACTTCCACACAGACCTTCCTGCTCAGATAACACAAAACAAAAAAACAAAACCACCCCCTCCCCTCTCACACATACTCTGAAGACGGCCACAGGGAGCTCAAAAGCAACCACAGTTTCCCAACTTTCCTGGGGAGGCCACGGTCGCCTTCCCTCGCGGGGAAGGAGTGGGAGGGCGGGGCAAGCCGCAGGTGCCAGAAGTGGGTGTGGGTGGGGTGAGCGCCGAAGGGGGAGGAACCGCATCCATATGCATGGTCTTCGTGCACAAAGAGCAGCTGCCCAGAGCTGGAGTCCCGGCGGGCCCAGAGTCGCACGGAGGCGGCGGCGGCCCAGCTAATTGAATTAGGTCGGCCAGGCCCTGCCACCCGCGCGCCACCCGCGTCCGCTCTGCCACTCGTCTCCGGCCGCCGCAGGCGCTCCTTGGGTGCCGAGGGACGGATTGAGGGAAGGAGGCGTCTCCGCCTGAGCCCCGGCCCGAGGCGGCCTCTCTCCCCGGAAATAATCCCATTGTCCCTGGGGCTGCGGGCGGCCCTGGGCGCCCGGGATCCCCAACTGGACTGCGGCACTGTGATTAATGGGACTGCGGCGAGGAAGCTGACACCGGGAGGGGCCGTCGCTCTCCTCTGCCCGGTCCTTCTCAGCTGCCCTGCGTTCCGGTGCCCCTTCCCCACGAAAGTCGGGAAGCTAGAGCGGGGAGGGGCGAGGGGCGGGTGCGGGGAAGGCCACTGCTGGGAATTAGACCAGTTAGGGGCCTTCCTGAGTGTGGTATGAGTCTGAGATGAGCGAGTGGGTCTGGGTGTGCGGCCATGTGCCCAAGAGTGCAAGAGCACCAGAGCTGTCAGCCCCTGCCAGTGGGGTGGGATGCTGGGGGGTGTGGATATGGTAAAGTGCACAGGTACTGCAGGGCAGGAATTATTAGAGCTGTTTGTAGTGACGCATGGATGGGATTTGTAAGGAGACCAAGCTCCCATCCCTGGGGGCCACAGTAGCCCCAAAACCAGGGAGCTGGGCCTGAGTCCCGGCACTGCCCTGGGGCCCACATAAAGTCGCTGCCTGTTATCTGCCCTCCTGTCGGCCCAGATTTCTGCAGCCACCTCACCCCTCGACCCGACCACCGGCAATTTACAGTGGGGCTCCTGGCACCTCACTTTTCCCATTCTCCCCTACCCGCCATGGGCTCCACCTTCCTGGGATGAAGCACCAGCAGTGTCTGTTCAGCTCTTCCACTCCTGACATCCTTGATATCCGGACTGTTCCAATACTTGTAGCCCTTTTGAGGTTAAGCTCACAGATCCCCCCACCCTCTCCACAACACACAGGAAGCCTCCGATATGTGGCTGGGAAATAACTCCTCTGACTTAGGTCGCCTGCAGCTCCTAGGGCAGAGACTTTGTGTGTCTGTCCCTGAACTGCAAGTGCCTGGGGGCAGACCAGAGTCTCAGCTTGTCACCAGCAGATACCCACTCAGAGGTGTTCTGGACACCAGTGAGACTTCCCTGGCTGTTGAGCTCCACCCAAGATTGGTGCAGACCAGAATGTTCAGGCGGGGTGGGCACGGGGCATGCCCCTGAGTCCCACGGGCAACTTTGCCTTCTCCACTGTGAAGCCGGAGACCTGGTTCTGGACTGAGTGTACATATGAGGTGCCCTAGGGATCCAGTTCGGGGCTCTTAGGGCTGTGGAAGAGGGAAACCATCCTAGGAATCCCTGGCTGCACTGGGTTTTCAGGATAATCCCAGTGGCCAACAGAGCCCCAGCCAGGACCCCTGGTGGGGTGCCTCCCACCTGCTGCTGCCCTCTACTGCCCCCCTGCCCCTACTTGACCAAATCACCCACTTTCTCACCTCCACTGCCACCCTTAGCCCCACCCCACTCAGCTCTGGAGTAGGTTTGCCTCCTGGCAAAAGAAAACCCCGACTAAGGGTGGGAGCTAGGCGAAGCCTGAGCCTCCCACCCACCAGAAAGACTCAGTGCATCTCAGATCTTTGTGCCCCATTCGCCAGGGACCACCATCTGGGAGGGATAACACCACGGGGAGACATGGTTGCTGCCCCTGCCGGCACATCCTCCACTGCTGCCCAAGGCTCAGTGAGGTAGGTTGAGGAGGGAGCTCTGGGCTGGGGGCAGCCAGCGGGACACCCAGAGGGCGCGCGGCACCAACGCTGGGTATTCTCGCAGGCCCACCGCCAGGCCTGGGCGGCCAGCACCGTCTTTCCTGGGACTTTTACTGCAGCACCGAGATGAACAGTGACATTCCCCTCTCCCCTTTCATAAATATTGCATCTTCCCAATGCAATTACAGGAGACGGAACGGCATGAGCGTTTACAAAATAAGATTATGGGGTAATGCTAATGCAGTTTATGTCTGCGCTCTGACACCAGACAAACTCCCTATTAATAACCTCTCAATGAGGTGCGAGGCTCAGAACGCAGAGCCCGCGGCTTCCGGGACGCGCGCTCTGTAAGAACTGCCGAAGCGAAGCGTGGCCGCCTCACGCTGGGGGCCGCGGCCTGCGCCCTTTCTCAGGGGTGCTGGGTTCCCAGCCTTTCCAGGCCTCTTGGCCAGGAGTTCCCCCTGCGCCCCTTCTCCGGAGGCAGCCTCACCGACGCCGGGAGCCTCATCGGCACCCTTACCTCCATTTATCGTCTATTTCTGCAGCAGTTTAGTCCCAGCTGGTGCTAAGCCCCTCTCTTCCGAATCCACACTGCTGGGAGGGGCCCAAGTTTTCTCCCCTAAAGGGCGTACAGGCCGTGTTCTTCCCCCACTCAGAAATTGCTCAAGGCTTCGCATTGCCTTGGCGGTGGGGATCCAAATCCCTTCCCCCTCCATTCAAGGCGCTGCACTTACTTTCGTTTCATCGGTAGTACCTTGCCCCAGTCGCTGGCTGCCCTTTGCCCTGTTGTACCAACTGATAGAAACGCTCACACCTTCCCCAGTCATCCCTTGGGTGCAAAGCCCTGACAACCCCTTTCCCTATGCGCAGCCCCGCCAAAAGGAAAGAAAATTTCTACTCCTACTTCAAAAACGAAATCAAAGTTCCGCCTCCCTGCACATTCTCAGAGCACAGTTCATGAGTCCCTCCTCAAGTGGCCAAGAGCACACAATTTTTAAAAACTACTGTGTTTGGCCAGGCACAGTGGTACACATCTGTAATCTCAGCACTTTGGGAGGCCAAGATAGGAGGATCGCTTGAACTTAGGAATTTAAGGGTAGCCTGGGCAGCATAGCAAGACCCCATCTTTATAAAAATAGAAAAGTAGCTAGGCATGATGGCGCATCCCTATAGTCCCAGCTACTCCAGAGGCTGAGGTGGGAGGACCCTTGAGCCCAGGAGCTCTAAGCTGCAGTGAGCCATGATTGTGCCACTGCACTCCAACCTGGGTGACAGATAGAGACTCTGTCTCAAAAAACACAACACAACAAAACAATCCTTTTTTGGATCGTAGATTCAGAGTCACAGAGACATGGGTCTAGTCACAGGACACAGAGTTGTAGTCACACTGCTTTTATAGTATGTTTGTAAACAGATCCATTAACTGCTCTAACTCTTGCTTTTCTTGCTTATGAGAGGTATAGTGGATTCTGTCTTCTAATTCATCAAGCCGAAACAGTGTAAAGGTTTCCTAATTTATTGGGCTATCTCTGTTTTTCTTTCTTTCTTGTGACTGCACTGAAATTTATGTAAGATGTATATCATCCCTTCTGGTTCAGCCCTGCTCAATTTTCCAGACTCAGTTGATGAGTTCCTCAGACACTGTGTGCCTTTCTTGCCTCCCTAACCCCTCTTCTTGAGTCTTCTTTAGGGTCCCATTAAGAGGGCGGGGCTAAGGTGACAGAGATCTGGGAAAATAGGGGATCTGCACAGCAGAAAAGTGCAGACAGGATTTCAAGGTCAAGAGAGCCAGCCCCCTGCCTACTTCTTGCCCTGCTGCTTGCTGGTCATTAACACAACCCCTGGTTCTTCTTGGCCTTCAAATAAAAAGACATTTCATGCCCAAGGACTCAGTAATGAGGAACCAGGGAGGGGCTGGGGAGCCTGCAATCTCAGCAAAAGTTTCCCCACCTCAGAGGCTTCCTCTGCTTCTTCCCTCCTCCTCCTTGCTTCTGAAGTCAGCGAAACCTTTAAGCAGCTTCTGGAAGAAGGAGGCCTCTCTGATTTTGGAGCAAGCAGAAGAGTGAGGGGCACGAGCAAGGCCTCTTTGTAGGCCTCCTGGAGGCCCTTTCCAGCAGCCACCACCTCTCCATCAAGGTAGAATTGTCCGGCCTTTGGAAGGCCATAGGGGACAGGATGGGGCCCAGAGCCTGTTGGATGGGGGGACAGCGAATGCTTTACTATATTCTTCTATCCCTTGCCCCTTAAAACTGGGGCTAGACCTAATCTGGCCAGCACACACTTACCCCCAACTCCCACCCACCATTCTTGCCCTGGGCTACAAGTGACTTTGCTAAATACTGAAAACCTGCCTGAATCTGCCTGGAGACATTTCTGACTGACCACAACATCCCTCTGCTTATTTATGAAGGATTAGACCTTCTCTTTACCCCACCTCCCCTAGCCAGTGTCCCTCCCGAGTCTTTTCTAAGTGCTCTGGGTATGGGAAACCTTCCTAACCAGGCCTTTCACATGACTTGTACATGATGTATAGACAAACACACACACACACACACACACTCAGAGGTACATACAGACTCCTCACTCTCAAAAATGTGTATGCAAACTCGTAAGCATAACACATTGACCATCATTGAAGTCATGGGTCCAGCTATGCAGACATGCATCTGTACTATCCCCCACTGAAAAGCATGCACTCAGAGATGCATACAACCACACAGGTGTGCATGTCCACACAAAAGAACACGCACACATAAATACACAACCAACCCATACGCCAAGCATTGTTTCCAAAGGTGATGCTGCCATGGAATATCCCGGAGTTTGCCAGGGTTGAGAAACGTGGCTTCTCTTATCCTTGATGGGAATTCTGTGTACATATTATAATGTGTTCAACCTATCTGGGCCTTGTGCAATTGTACGACAGTATTGGTAAAAACCACTCCCCAGAAGGTACCTGGGCTATGAGTCATCCCAGAGGACCTGGAGAAGTAGGAAGAGCAAAAATCTGTGCTGAGGGGCGTGGCCTATTCATTGGAATCAGAACCTGCCCATCATCTGCACTCTGTAAGCCAACTGAAGAGCTTAAAATGGGAAGTAGGAACCTAGTGGGCAGGCTCCAGTGGGGTGTGGACTTTGAAAAAAGAAAGGAAGGCCAGGCACAGTGGCTCATGCCTGTAATCCCAGCACTTTGGGAGGCTGAGGCGGGCGGATCACTTGAGGCCAGGAGTTCAAGACCAGCCTGGCCAACAAGGCGAATCCCATCTCTGCTAAAAATACAAAAATTAGCCAGGTGTGGTGGCACATGCCTGTAATCCCAGCTACATGGGAGGCTGAGGCACGAGAATCCCTTGAATCTGGGAGGCAGAGGTTGCAGTGAGCAGAGATCGTGCCACTGCACTCTAGCCTGGGCAACAGAGAGACTCTTGTCTCAGGAAAAAAAAAAAAAAAAAGAACCCTGTGCTCTCAAACTCCCACTTTTGTCCTCAGGTAGCTGTGTTTTTTTTCTCTTAGGAACAAGTTACCCTTTTAAGTCTTCATGCTGCTTGAGGGTTTGTAAGGGAAAAGTAGCTATTTCTTCATATGTTGCTGCTAATTGGTTCCATCCTCCCTGGGTTATGTAACAAAAAATACAGTACTGTTCATATTCTTTGATCAGTTAATCCCTCTTTTGGGACCATATCCCAAGGAAATGAAAAAGCAATTTGTACAAAGATGTTTATAGCAGCGCTATTCATAATAGTTCCACCTTGGAAACAATCCAAATACCCAACACTGGGGAAGTGGTTAAGTCAGCTAGGGGACATCAGCACAAAGGAATAGCACACAGCCCATCAAACTGCTAAACACAACACAGGAAAATGGTGTGATGTGCCACATTCTAGGTGAAGACGCCATGCATTATAAAATATCAGTATTCCCCAAGGCAATTCATAGACTTGATGCCCTACTAAACAAAAACTCATTTTCTTGAAACTCAGAAAAATAAAAAGATTCTACATTTCACATGAAAGAGTAAATAGGTGAACCTGTCAAATAATTTTCTAAAGAAGAGCAAGTTTGACCAGATGTTAAAACATTTTGTTATAGGATAATTAAATGGAAACAATGTAGCGTAGGCATCAAAATTGGCACTTAAATCAATGGGACAGAATAGAGCCTAGAAATAAACATAATCACACCTAAGAATTTAATATAGGTGTTAGAAAATGGGGAAAAGAACATTACCAATAAATTGTGTTGAGAAAAGCCTTACCATTTAAAAATAAATTTAAGTTATTTTATATCATATAAAAATAAAAATAGGCTAGGCAGGGAATTGGGGAATTCTCACACCTGTAATCCCAGCACTTTGAGAGGCCAAGGTGGGCAGATCACTTGAGCCCAGGAGTTCAAGACCAGCCTGGGCAACATGGCGAAACCCTGTCTCTGTACAGAAAAACAAAAAACAAAAAACAAAAACAAAAACAAAACAATAGGCAAACAGGCATGGTGTCGCATGCCTGTAGTCCCAGCTACTCAGGAGGCTAAGGTGGGAGGATTGCTTGAGCCCAGGAGTTGTGATTGTGCCGTTGCACTCCAGCCTGGGTGACAGAACGAGACCCTGTCTTAATTTAAAAAAAAAATTAAAAACCAACAATGCATGCTGGGTGCAGTGGCTCACACCTGTAATCCCAGCACTTTGGGAGGCTGAGCTGGGCAGATTGCTTGAGCTCACGAGTTTGAGACCAGCCTGGGCAACATGGTGAAACCCCGTCTCTACAAAAAATACAAAAATTAGCTGTGTGTGGTGGTGCCATGCCTGTAGTCTCAGTTACTCAGGAGGCCGAGGTGGGAGGATGGCTTGAGCCTGGGAGGTGGAGGTTGCAATGAGCCGAGGTGGCATCGCTGCCCTCCAGCCTGGGCGATAGAGCCAGAACTTATCTCAAAACAACAACAAACAATGCAAAGTTAAATTTTTAAAAAATTGAAGAAGATGATATATTTTTATGGGCTATACTCAGAAAAAGCACAGGTTTTAGCTTTTGTGTGTGTGTCTCACTCTGTTGCTCAGGCTGGAGTGGAGTAGTGTGATCGCAGCTCACGTCAGCCTCAAACTTCCAGGCTCAGGCGATTCTCCCACCTCAGCCTCTCGAGCAACCGGGACTACAGATGCATACCACCATGCCTGGCTAATTTTTGTATTTTTTGTAGAGACAGGGTTTCACCATGTTGCACAGGCTGATCTCGAACTCCTGAGCTCAAGCAATCCTCCTGCCTCAGCCTCCCAAAGTGCTGGGATTACAGGTGTGAGCCACCGCTGGTTTTAACCTTAATAAGATCAAGAGATGAAGCATTATGAGTGATATAAACATACATCATGGTGGTGTTTAATGTTGATGAAGTTTTTTGTTGCTGAGAAGGTAAGAGTTCAGTAAAACGGGGAAGGGAGAGGGATGTGTTTGCACCTTTCTGTCAGCACAGAGGAGACCTTGGTGCTGCTTGTGAAAGGGCTGCGCCTCTACCTGCTGTGGGTCCAATGGGGGTCCTGGCAGCAGAGCTCCAGGGCAGCTAGCTGGGGATACTCACTCATCTTCCAATCTGATCCTGAGCCTGTGCTTTCCTGTCCCCAAACCAGACTCAGATACCTGCCAGCCACCTAGAAGCCAGATTGCTGGGGTGCCAATTCCAATCCTCCACTTAAAAACCAGGCAAGGCCGGGAGCGGTAGCTCACGCCTGTAATCCTAGAACTTTGGGAGGCTGAAGCAGGCAGATCACCTGAGGTCAGGAGTTTGAGACCAGCCTGGCCAACAAGTCTCTACTAAAAACACAATAATTAGCCAGGTGTGGTGGTGTGTGCCTGTAATCCCAGCTACTCCAGAGGCTAAGGCAGGAGAATTGCTTGAACCCAGGAGGCAGAGGTTGCAGTGAGCCGAGATTGCGCCACTGCACTCCAGCCTGGGCGACAGAGCGAGGCTCTGTCTCAAAAAATAAAATAAAATAAAAATAAAAAAATAAAAACTGGGCTGGGACCATGGCTCACACCTGTAATCCTAGCACTTTGGAAGGCTGAGGCAGGAGGATCACGAGGTCAAGAGATTGAGACCATCCTGGCCAACATGATGAAACCCCATCTCTACTAAAAATAAAAAAAATTAGCTGGGCTCAGTGATGGCAGGTGCCTATAGTCCTAGCTACTCGGGAGGCTGAGGCAGGAGAATTGCTTGAACCCGGGAGGCGGAGGTTGCGGGGAGCTGAGATCGCGCCACTGCACTCCAGCCTCATGACAGAGCGAGACTCCATCTCAATAATAATAATAATAATGATAATAATCATAATCATAATTATAATAACTGGGTGACCTTGGACCAGTAACTTGACTTTCTAGACCTCAGTTTTCTCATCTGGAATTGGGGATAATTACAGCATCTCTTCATAGACCTCCTGTGAGGGTTAAATTCATGTAAAGCCCACAGAATAGTGTCTGTCCCAGAGTAACTTAGGAAAAGTTGGCGATGATTCAGGCTGGAGTTGAGTTGAGGGAACTCTAACAGGGGAGGCAGAAAATGGTGATTGACTTCTGTGATGCCTCTGTCTCCTAGGTCTTTGGCTGGTTTTTGAAGCTGAACCCACCTGGTTTTCTCCTTCATCTGATGCAGCAAGAGAAATTTGGCCAGGAGGGGGCCGTTGGTGCAGACCAAGCATCCAGTGGGAACACACAGGGGTCAGCTACCTTGGATTCCTCCTCCCCACTTGGGGGTTCAGCTTCCCTATTTCCCCCAGGGACAAAGACCCAGCCAGGTCACTCTCAGGGATTCAGGGAAAATAAGCATTGTGTCTGGGGCATAAAGAAAGGCCAAGTTCTGGGCATGTGGCTGCAGGCATGTCTTACGGGACAGAGACAGCCCCCCCAGCCGAGGACTGGCCTCCCAATAACTCTGTTCTGCCTGGAGTGTCCTTGTGCTGGACTTCCTCCAGCAACCTCACCCTTACAGAAAAATAGGGATGCTTTTCTTGAACTTCCTCTTTCTATTCCTCCTTCTAAGTCAGGGACAGATGGGGTGGCAGGGGTGGGAAGTATACTGATCTGTTTCTTGTCACTGTTGCCCCTATGTCCTGATATAAAAACCTGGGAGTCTTGTCTTTTTGGTGAAAACTCAGTTTATTGCTACATTTTATTATTATATCACTCATTAAAATTAGCCGAAATAGGACTTTCCAGGACCTACTTAGTGGCCACATAGTCGCCTCTGGGAGGAACAAAGGGAGTGGCTGCTGGGTCCACAGAGGATGAAGAGACATGCAGGGCAGGGGTCTTTCAGAGCCACATCGCAAAGTGCTTTCTTCTCTTGAGACTGGACCAGGTGAGCCTGTAAGAGCCAAGGTGACTACAGAATAAAGTGAAATGTCAGCCCTGGGGGGAGGGGGGCCCAGAGGTCAGCTGCAGAGAAGGGGAAGAGGATCCTGCCTGGCCCCACCGAGAGGCCAGCCCCACATAAGTGCTTGAAGTTTGAACTCAGACAGAGTCGGGGTTGATGACCAAGACCCTTCTTTCATTCATCCACCCATGCATTTATCTATGTATCCACTTATTTATCTATGCAGCCAACTTTATTGAGTTTTGCTCCAGGCCAGGACTGTCTGGTGCTGAGCTGAACAGATCTGTAGGAAAGGAGTTTGGGACAGACCCATAGGATGTGGGTTTGGCAATTCTTTCTTTTCTTTTCTTTTCTTTTCTTTCCTTTCTTCCTTCCTTCTTTTCTTTCTTTCTTCTTTCTTTCTTTTTCTCTTTCTCTCTCCTTCCTTCCCTCCCTCTCCTTCCTTCCTTCCTTCCCTCCCTCTCTTTCTTTCCTTCCTTCCCTCCCTCCCCTTCCTTCTTTCCTTCTTTCCCTCCCTCCCTCCCCTCCCTCCCTCCCTTTCTTCCTTCCTTCCTTCCTTCCTTTTTCTTTCTTCAATTTGCCACATTGCCCAGGCTGGTCTCGAACTCCTGAGCTCAAGCAGGCCAACTGCCTCGGCCTCTCAAAGTGCTAGGATTATAGGCATGAGCCACCATGCCTGGCCAATTCTTTTATTTCTGAATCAAAGCCAGAATCAACCACTTCTCAACCTTTCTGGGATTCCTGGTGACTTTGTAGTTTGCCCTGTGTTTGTTATTTTTGCTAACCCCTGTTTGCCTATAGTTCCTGATGATCAGAAAAATAAGCAAACCGAGCCTACAGCAGGAGAAGGGAGATGTATGCTTGTTTCAGAGCCCAAGAGCGGAAGAGACCTGGAGAGGCTGCAGAGAGAGGAGTCCAGGGAGGGGGAGCCAGAAGTCAGAGCTCTCCTACCTGTCCTCATCCCTCCCCCATGACCATCATCCTCTCCCTAATGTCCCCAACCCCCTCCCACATCCCCTGTTCCTTTCTCCACCCCCTACTCCCTCTACATGTCCCCTAGCCTCACACAGGGGTTCTCATATCCCCTCCCCCTTGGGAATCTGGCCTTGGGCCTCCGGTGCTGGAGAACTTGGGCTGGGCCTGAGCACCCCCTCCCTAATGAGCATTCGTTCTGGGATGAGCTCTGGCCTCCCAGGGTCAAAGGTGGCAGCTTTATTTACTCACAGCCATGCTCTCACTGCCCGGCTCCTTTCATCATTTTTTTTTATGATGGAAACAGCCCAGTGGCCACAGGCGCCCTGGGGGACCACCCCACGACCTCCCCTCTCCCCGAGCCCCCAGACACAGACACTTGTATTCCTCCAATAAGGGCTCAGGTTTCTCAACAAAGTACAGCTTTGCTCTCAGGACAGTTTTCAGCTGTCGATTTTATCACATTCACATTCTGTTCAGAGCCTGAGCCAGAGAAGCTGGGAGCTGGCCAGCATGTGAGAGTGAGCACGTGTGTGTGAGAAGCAGGGCGACGTGGGGGCTGAGGGTGCAGGGTGAGAGTGGGCATCTGTGGGTGAAATCCCAGGTCCGTATGGTGTGTCTGCTTTAAGAATGTTTTCATGTGTGTGAGAACCTGTGTGTGTATAAGCATGAGTATCTGGGGACAAGTATTACATATATCCATTTACCCCCAAAATAGCATAGGAATACTGTTGCCTGCACTTTCCCCTACATGTGCCCATATGGCTCATCTCGCCAACTTGCCCCGTGCTCTTCCTCCTCTCTGCTCCTCACCCCTCCAGGTGAGGTGCTTCTGTGCAGGAGGCACGTGGATCTGGGTGGCCAGCCTCAATGTGAGACGCCTGTCCAAATCAAGGCTCTCCTCACTGCCGCAGCCCTCCTGCCCACCTCCACCTCAGCTTTCTTGGCCTCCTCACTGGAACTCATTGACCCCCTTCTAAAGCAGTGTCCTGGCCGGGCGCGGTGGCTCACGCATGTAATCCCAGCACTTTGGGAGGCCGAGGCGGGCGGATCACGAGGTCAGGAAATCGAGACCATCATGGCTAACATGGTGAAACCCTGTCTCTACTAAAAATACAAAAAAATTAGCCAGGTGTGGTGGTGGGCGCCTGTAGTCCCAGCTACTCGGGAGGCTGAGGAGGGAGAATGGCGTGAACCCGGGAGGCGGAGCTTGCAGTGAGCCGAGATCGCACCACTGCACTCCAGCCTGGGCGACAGAACGAGACTCTGTCTCAAAATAAGTAAATAAATAAAATAAAAAAAAATAATAAAGCAGTGTCCCTGGGGGAAAAACCCTGATCAGGGAGGAGTTAGCCCTCCAGGAGCCCCCAAGTTGGAGTCCTGGAAGGGGTCAGACCTCAGGTGTGCACACAAATGTGGCAGTATTGGAAGGCCAGCCACTCCACAGAGGGACAAAAGACTTATGGACGGAGGTCGTGGCTGCGGGGTATTAGGCAAGAGTGGCTTCTGGCTGATGTTTGCTCTAAAATTTAAAAAAAAAAAAAAAAGGAGTGGCTTCTTAGGAGAGAAAAGCCTGAAGAGGGCCTCTCTTTGGGGACCCTCCAAAGGTGGCCCTTAGTCACACTATTTAAACTCCCAGGATCTGATTTCTGAACCTGGAAAGCGAGAGAGAGCACTCTGGGCTCCAGCACCATCCCCGTGTGGTGTCTGTGCCTGCAAGTATCTATGTGTTCATGATTGTGTACTCGTGCCTGCGGGTGATGTGTTTGACAGTGTGTGCTTGTGTGATGAATACACACAAGCCGACAGGTGATGATTTCCCAGTGCGTGTGCTCATGCCCCATGGAGGGGGTATAGCGGTTAGGTCCCATTTTAAATTACGTTATCCCATGTGTCTCACAAGCCCTTGCCTGACCCTATGTCCCAGTTTTGCATTCAGAATCTCTGACTTCTGCAGGTCTCTGGGACATAGGGCCTACACTGGGAACGGGGCTGTGCAGCCCAGGGGTGGAGGTCAGCCTGTCTTAGCTCCCCCATCTCCCTCCAGGCTGGGCTCTGGCTCTGAGCACATTTGCACCCCTCCTCAGGCTGCCACCTGTCTGGGCGCCTGAGGAACCCGGCTCCATTCCAGGCCCAGGTCCCTCCTCCAAGTCAGGGTCCCTCCCACCTTCTCTCAAACCTGCTCAACCTGCCTGGCAGCCCAGCATCTCCCAGAGGTGCCTCCAGAGGTGGGATGCACTGGAACAGCCCTCCCAGCAGCATCAGAAGCAGCAAGAGCTGGGAGTGGGGTGGGTGGGAGGGCAGGCTGACCCTGCAGAAGAGGATGGGGAATTAAGCTTGCCACTGCTGCTGGAATGACACCTCTCTCTGACCTGAGCTTGCAGAGCCTCCCTTATAAACTGCTCCCGCCCCCGCCTTGCCCCTCCCTGCCCCTGGCTCTTGGATGGCCTCTGAGAGTGACCTACTTTTCTCCACCCCCACCCTCAGTGGTTCCCTCCTGGCTCAGCTGATATTTTATCTGAGTGACCCAGGGGCACAATGGGTATATTGCCACCCCCAGAAGTGTCCTGGAAGCATCGATGGTGGGATGCAAGCTAGATGTGTGTCTCTCCTCCACTCCCAGGGCTCCCTGTTAGGATGGGAGCTCTGAGCAAGCCCAGCTTCCTCAAGCACTCCAGATGCTCGCAGTTACCAAAGTTAAGTGTCTACAAACAGACTGAAAGGATGGACAGAGCCACAAAGCCCCTCTAATGGGGGAAGGGTCAGACAATGTTCCTCCTTTTATTATTATTATTATTATTATTATTATTATTATTATTATTAACTCCTGGCTTCAAGTGATCCTCCCCACTTGGATTCCCAAAGTACTGGGGTTACAGGCGTGAGCCACCGTGTCTGGCCACCTGCTCCTCCTGTTAAAGGGATGAGAAACATTAACATGCTCACGTAGATACACAAAATAAAAAACATTTGTTGAACACCTACCATGTGCTGGGGGATGTTCTAAGAGTTTTACATGACTTAGTTCACTTTAACCTTCACAGCAATCCTATGGAGTAGGTATTATCCCCATTTTATTTTTTTATTTTTTATTTTTTTATTTTAGAGAGGCGGGCAGCTTGCTCTGTCACCCAGACTGGAGTGCAGTGGTGCCCCACCATGCCTGGCTAATTATCCCCATTGTTTTTATTTATTTATTTATTTTTGTTCTGTGGAGATGGGGTCTCACTATCTTGTCCAGGCTGGTCTCAAACTCCTGGGCTCAAGCTGTCCTCCTGCCTCAGCCTCCCAAAGTGCTAGGATTACAGGTGTGAGACACCTGGCCTAATTGTCCCCATATTAAAGACAGAATGACTGAGACACAAAGAGGCTAAGTAACTTGCCCAAGATCATATCTCCAGTAGATACTGAATTCAGGATTCAAACCCAGGCAGCATGGCTACTGACAGCGTGCTCTTCACCACCGCTTTACAATATTTGCATAATTCCCCTGAAGGATATACACAGCCACTCATATTTAGGACAGGCCACCTCACATACATAATTGTGCATAGAAATACATCATTACCTAGTTGTTTATCATAACTAACATTTATACAGCAATTTATTTACAAATCACTTTCACACCCAGAAACAATGCCCAGTGAAGGATGGGTTGTTAACTATTTAACAGATAACAATTAAGACTACGTTTACTGACTCAACTGGGGCTCAGCTATTTGGCTGGGAGCGGTTCATCTTTTCTTTTCTTTCCCTTCCTTTCTTTAAATAAAAATAAAGCATGCTTCATAGTAAAATTAAAACAGGACAAAAGAGAATAAAGTGAAAAGTAAAAGGCTCCCTCCTTCCTCCTGTTATTCCCATTTCTGGAGGTATGCCCTTCCAAAAATTGTCAGTGCACACGTAAGTAAACAGTAATAGAGATTATACATGGCTTCTCATTCTTGCGAGGAAGTCTTTGTGGAGAACCCCTTGTTCTCCTCATTTTACACATTAAGAAATCTCTGGCCGGGCACGGTGGCTTATGCCTGTAATTCCAGCACTTTGGGAGCCTGAGGCAGGTGGATCACGAGGTCAGGAGTTCAAGACCAGCCTGGCCAAGATGGTGAAACCCCATCTCTACTAAAAAATACAAAAATCAGCCGGGCGTGGTGGCAGGCACCTGTAATCCCAGCTACTCACTCAGGAGGCTGAGGCAGAGACTTGCTTGAACTCAGGAGGCAGAGGTTGCAGTGAGCCGAGATCGTGCCACTGCATTCCAGCCTGGTCGAAGAGCAAGACTCCATCTCAAAAAAAAAAAAAAAACAAAACTCTTAAGAGTGGGGTACTGCGTTTTATTTTTATTTTTTTTTGAGATGGAGTCTCGCTCCATCCACAGGCTGGAGTGCAGTGGTGTGATCTTGGCTCACTGCAACCTCCGCCTCCAGGGTTCAAGCCATTCTCCTGCCTCAGCCTCCCGAGTAGCTGGGATTACAGGCATGTGCCACCACACCCGGCTAATTTTTGTACTTTTAGTAGAGATGGGGTTTCGCCATGTTGGCCAGGCTGGTCTTGGACTCCTGACATCAGGTGATCCGCCTGCCTCGGCCCCCAAAATACTGGGATTACAGGCGTGAGCCACCGCGCCGGCCCGGTACTGTATTTTAACAAGCTCTCTAGGAAAAAAGTGGCATAGCTCTCCAAGGCCACTCAGGTACTAAATGGAAGTTAGGATTTCAGCCCAAGTCTTCCCGACCTGGAGCCCATGTCCCCCACTGCCCTTGCCCCAGGGCCCATTGCCTCCTCCATCCCCTGTTGGCACCTGCTGGCTCAACACCCCTAGAGCCAAGACTCTGCTGCTCTGAGCCTTTCAGGGTAGGGCGAGGGCCGCGCTGGAAAAGGACATTCCCTTTGGAAACTTAATCTAAGGGAGGACTTGCTGAGCTAAGCCCTGCTGAGGGGGAGGCCAGGGAGCAGGCCTGGGGACTTGACTGAGACCCAGATCAGCCAAGGGATGGGCTCCCAGGATGCCCCCTCAAGCCCCCGGCAGGCTTCACTGCGGCCTTGAGGGCTATGGAGAGTGGCAGGTAACAGGCCTCAGTCTCCACAGTAGCTCCAGCCAGGGACTCAGGATAGGGAGAGGAGGCGGGGTCTGGGGCTCCCAGGGAGAAGAGGGGCCTGTAGATGAGAACTGCAGCCCCCCAACAACATCCGCCTCTGGGAGAGGGACTGAGCGGGGGCAAGAAGAGTATCATTTCCAGCTTCTGGGGTGAAAGGGGGCTCTGGAAGCCCCTGCCCCTGCTGTGACCCCTCCTGGGTAAGTTTCCCCAAGGGCCGCTCAGACCCGTCCTCAGCTCTTCCATTCAGGGCCTGGGTCCCTGGCAGGGCTGGGACCTTAGGAGACAAAATTGCTAAGACTCAGCCATAAACCCAGCTGCTGAGGATGTATGTGTATTTGTTACGAATGTCTCCAAGTGGCTGGCCACAGTGGTGCCACGGCATTCTGACCCAGGTGGCCTAGGCTGGTCATGCAGGACTTTGCTGGGTCTTGCGTGCCTCAGGCCTGGACCCAGTCCTCACACCTCCCGTCCTAGTGTGGAATCTGGAGAACAGGCCAGGGCCAAGGCCAGGATGGAACCTATCTTCCCCCAGAGGACACTTTGGAACAGGGTACTCAGTGAGGTGCCCCCTTCCTATCTGGCCAAGAGGGAGCTTGCCAGGAATCAGGGATTCCTGAGGTCAGTACTCGGTGGAGGGAGAGACAGCCACGGTGAGACTTGCAGAAGCCAGAGGGAGACTGAGATTGGACTCCTCTCTCCACAATTTCCAGGCCAGGCCAACCCAGGGGACAAGGCAGGCCTCCCTGAAAGCCCACCCTCTCCCTCCTTGGTTCATGGCAGAGCCTCCCCAGTCCCTATCACCTTAAGGATCATGCCTGCACACCCTAACCTAGACATGCTACCTTTGAAGCGCCACAGCTCTGTTGTGATCAAGGTGGGCCTGCATGGGACACCCCGCTTCTCTCTCGGATGCAGTAGCACTGCACTGGGCATCAGAGGGCATAGGACTGAGCATAAGCTCAGCTTGGCTTCTAACTGACTGAGGGATTTTGGACAAGTCACCTCCCTACTCTGAGCTTCAATTTGGCCACCTGTAAAACATGAGAGTTGAACTTCATTTCGAATCGTGGGAATCTGGGTTTGAGCTGGGGAGTGTGGGGTTGGCCATGGGTGTTCTTCTTGGTGAACAGAGCAAGGAGCAGAGTAGAGACCCCTAGGAGATATTACTGGTCAAGAAGAGAAGATGTATGTGTATTTGCTATGAGTGTATTTATGATCATATATAGTATGTGACGTGTACATATACATGTGGAAGCATAAATACACATGTAAGGGTGTGTGTGTGTGTTTGTGTGTGTGTGTGTGTGTTTACGGCAGCAGCTAATTGATCCCTGCCTCCCAGTTGCTGTGGGGGAAGGGGCCGAGAAGGCAGTCACTCATTAGAGGCAACTAATGGGCCCAAATGGCCTTGTCAGCAAAGGCTGAGCTTAGATGAGCTTCCTCCCGAAGTGGGGAAGGAAAAAGATGTGAAATAGAAAAAGGAGGGGAGAAGAGAGCAAAGAAGGCGGGCAGAGGCCTCAGAAAGAATGAGGCTTCCCCAGGAGAAACTACAAGGATTGCAGTATCCTCACTTTATCCCTGTTAATAAATATTCCTCCTGCCAAGAGAAAAAGTTCCTGCTTTTTCTGACCCAAGGAAGTAGAGGGCAGAAAACTGTCAAGGGAAGAAAGGCAGACACATGTGTATTCCCATGCCCACAAGCACAGGTGTGCTAGCTGCATGCATATGGCCACACTGAGACGCAAGCATGTGGGCTATGTCGATGTGCAGTCTCAACACTTGTCATGCACGTGCTTACCCAGAGACACCCCCCCCACACACCAGCCTGAGCATAGGGAAGTGTGGGCATGTGCCTGGCACGGGAAGGTGTATGCGCATTCACCCAGGGGTGCTGGCTCTGTGTTGGTGCAAGGGAGACAAAAATGAGGAGGACACAGTCCCTGTCCCCCAGCTGACATTTTATTTTATTTTATTTTATTTTATTTTATTTTATTTTATTTTATATTTATTTTGTTTTATTTTTGAGATGGAGTTTCGCTCTTGTTGTGCAGGCTGGAGTGCAGTGGCATGATCTCGGCTCACTGCAACCTCCACTTCCTGGGTTCAAGTGATTCTCCTGCCTCAGCCTCTTGAGTAGCTGGGACTACAGGCGTGTGCCACCACACCCATCTAATTTTTTTGTATTTTTAGTAGAGATGGACTTTCACCATATTGGCTAGGCTGGTCTCGAACTCCCAGCCTCAGGTGATCTGCCCACCTCAGCCTCCCAAAGTGCTGGGATTACAGGCGTGAGCCACCGTGCCTGGCCCTCCAATGGACATTGTAGTTGGGAAGAGGTTGCTTGCTAAGGAAACGGATCATTTATATGATGACACAGGGTGTACTGGAAAGATGCCCAGCGTGACTGTAGTCCCCGCTACTTGAAGGGTGACATGGGAGGATTGCTTTAGCCCAGGAGGTCAAGGCTGCAGTGAACCCTGATGATGCCACTGTACTCCAGCATGGGCAAGAGGAGGAGACACCATCTCTAAAGAAAAAGAAATTAAATTAAAATAAAATTGTGTGTGTGTGTGTTTGGTCTGTCACCCAGGCTGGAGGGCAGTGGCAAGATCATAGCTCACTGCAGCCTCGAACTCCTGGGCTCAAGCAATCCTCCCACCTCAGTCTCCAGAGTAGCTGGGACTACAGGCACACATGCCACCATGCTTGGCTAAATTGTTTATTTTATATTGTGTAAAGATGGGAGTCTTGCATGTTGCCCAGGCTGGTCTCAAACTCCTGGCCTCAAGCAATCCTCCTTCCTCGGCCTCCCAAAGTACTAGGATTACAAGCATGAGACACTGCACTCAGCCAAAATACAACACATATTAATAACCAGAATTAAGAATTTCCAACACATTAATAAGAAAAATATTTTTGAAACCCCAGTTTTTAAAATAGGCAACTGGGCACGGTGGCTCACCCCTGAAATCCCAGCACTTTGGGAAGCTGAGGCAGGTGGATCACCTAAAGTCAGGAGTTCAAGACCAGCCTGGCCAACATGGCGAAACCCTGTCTCTACTAAAAATACAAAAATTAGCTGGGTGTGGTGGCAGGCACCTTTAACCCAAGCTACTCGGGAGGCTGAGGCAGGAGAAGCTCTTGAACTTGGGAGGCAGGGGTTGCAGTGAGCCCGGATCGCCCACTGCATTCTAGCATGCATGACAGAGTGAGACTTTGTCTCCAAAGATAAAAATAAAAATAAAATGGGCAAAGTATATGAAGAGGTGACTTACAGAAATAAAAACACAATGTCCAATGAACTTAGGAAAATATGCTCAACATGAGAGAAATGCAATCATAATTTGAGAACTACAAATTAAAATAGACATAAGATTTGTTTTAGCTTCATCCATTGGATTAGCAAAAATTCAACGTACTGACAGTATCCAGCATGGGAGAGAGTGTGTACGTAAGTTGGTCTTCTCATCCTCTCTTGGAAGTGCCCTGAATTGGTTCAGTCTTCTTGATAGGTATTTTGGCAGTTTCTATTAAAATTAACAATACCCATCTTCATTTGACCAACTCTATTTCTAGATATCCATTATCCTAACAAAATAGCCATGTCTGCCCACAGAACCACATACCAGAGAGTTCACTAAGCAAATTTACAACAATGAAAAATCAGAAGCAACCTAACAGTCCACCAGTGGGAATGGGTGAATAAACAGTGGCACCCCCATCTATGGAATACTTAAGGTGAAGCAATTAAAAATAATGAGGTAGACCTCCATGTTCTGATATGGGAAAATGTGCATGCCATATTTTCATTCCAAGCCATATATATAGATAGATAGATACATTTTTTTTTGAGATGGAGTCTAGCTCTGTCACCCAGGCTGGAGCGCAGTGGCACGATCTCAGCTCACTGCAACCTCCACCTCCCAGGTTCAAGTGATTCTCCTGCCTCAGCCTCCCGAGTAGCTAGGATTACAGGCACCCGCTACCATACCTAGCTAATTTTTGTATTTTTAGTAGAGACGGTGTTTCACTGTGTTGGCCAGGCTGGTCTCAAACTCCAGACCCCATGATCCGCCTGCGTCGGCCTCCCAAAGTGCTGGGATTACAAGCGTGAGCCACCGCTCACTGGAAAAGCAAATTGCAGAAAAACAAAAATACTCAGGTACAAAGGTAAAAACCCAACAAAAAAATCGTATGTTTCTCCTTGAATAATATATACATGTAGGTAAATGCGTAGGAAATGATCTAGAAGGATACACAGTGAATTGACCACAGCAGTGACCTCTGCAGATGATTCTGGAATTGGAAGGATTATTTCATCTGTATTTCTTACAACAAGAATGCATTTTTAGTTTACTTTTGAAATTTAAAGTAAATTTAAATAAATGTGGTTCATTTGAATAAATGAATTAACAAAAGTTTCAGCAGTGAGTCTTGACATACACAAACACGAGGCACTAAGATTTTTATTCATTGCATGAAGAAAGAGGCCCCTTTTTGGCAGCAATTCTGCTTTAGCAAATGTCACAAGGACCCGCCTCCCATTCCACCCCTGGAATGTTAAAATTGGGGGCTGTCTAGACTGTTAGAGGGCTAAAGACCTTCAGTTTACACAGGTAAGGAAAGATGGCCAGGGCCCAAGTCATAGCTTCAGAAAGATCACAAAAGGCCCATGGAAGGCGGAGAGTGGCAAGGTGACTGTATTCTTGTTTGACTTGCAATTTGTCATCTTAGGGACAAGTCCAGGCCCAGGGGCTCATGGCTGTACTCACAGCACCTGGATTCGGTCCTAGTAATTCATGATAAATATTGAGTGACTGCTGGCACTAACAGTCACTTACATCAGGCAGCTCTTTGCAGTTGATACAATCCTGCCTTGCACATTTCCTCATTTGTTCCTCATAACCTCTGAGAGGTAGCTTCTACTGCCATCCCCATGTCACAGATGAGGAAACTGAAGTTCAGAGAGGTCAGACTTGGCCACGTTCACTCAGATAACAAGAGGCAGAGCAAGACTCAACTGCAGTCCTTTTGACCTCCTATCCCTAACTCCACTGTGGCAAAATCCCCCTGGGGTTACCATCTGCTCCCTCCCTCAGCTTTCTGGGTATGAGCCTTAGCCCTGGCCTGACATTTTCTCTGGGAAAAATCCAGTGAGGCTGATCCTAGGCAGAGGACTTAACTGAGCCTTGGTTGCTGATGAGGACTATGACAGGCAGTGCAGTTCAGTGGTGAAGATGCACGAGGCTCCAGTCCCAATTCCTAGCTGAGTGACCTTGGGCAAGTTATTTAACATCTTTGCCTATTTCTTCATCTGTAAAATAAGAATAGGAGAACCTGGCCAGTCACAGTGGCTCACGCCTGGAATCCCAGCACTTTGGGAGGCTGGGGCAGGTAGATCATTTGAGGTCAGGAGTTTGAGATCATCCTGGCCAACATAGCGAAACCCCATCTCTATTAAAAATACAAAAATTAGCCAGGCAGTAGTGGAGTGTGCCTGTAATCCCAGCTTCTCAGGAGGCTGAGCAGGAGAATGGCTTGAGCCTGGGAGGGGGAGGTTGCGGGTGAGCCGAGATCGCACCACTGCACAATCTATCTCTTGGAGATGTGAACATACACTGAGATAATACATATAAAGTCCTTAGTTTGGTGCCCAACATACTATTAGCTCTCACCAGATGCTCAAGATGATGGCAATTGATTACAGAATGGCCCTCCCAGCCTAGTGAGTGTGACTTGAATCTCAGTCTTACTGCACACTTGCACCGTAGAAAGAGCTATACCAGAGAGAGATGTGACAGAGCAGCCTGGGAACTGCAAAGCAGTTACTTGGTTAGGGGATTCTGAGCCAACATTTAGCTGACAAAAGGGAAAAATAAGGTCCCCAAACAGGAGAACAGGCCAAGTGTCCTTGGAGTGGGTAGACAGAGCTCAATGTGGGGAGGGGTCTGTGGTCAAGGTCAGGATGGGACTGGTGTGCCAAGCAGAGATGTCAGGAGAAATGGCCTGCGGGAGGTCTTTAGGGGGCACTTAGGGTTCACAAGGAGAGTCACCAGATGGGATCCAAGAGCAAGGGTGCCATTTGGATGCAGATTTCTCTTCATCTGGGCTTCCTTCTCTGGAAGGGAGCCAGAGAGGAAAAAAATGGAGAGCCAAGGTATGCAGAAGACCGAATCCCCAAAGCAGCCTCTAAGCCTTGGCAACTGCTGACAGGGAGCCTCCAGAGTCACTCAAAGTCAAGGAGAAGGGCTCTCCAAGGCACCAGTTCCATAACGCATTTCAGGCAGCTTCCTGTAGCCTCTCTCCCACCCTGGTCCCACAAGAAGCTAAGCCAAACAATGATCAGACCATAGAGTCAGTAGATGTGGAAGGAAGCTTCAGAGCCAACCAAGATGGGCACGCCTCTTCACCAGTTGCCAAGTCAGTAGCCAGCTCAGGGGTTACTCTGGAGCCTCCCTCATCTTCCCCCTCAGCCTCCACCCAACTGATCACTGAGTCTTCCACAAGACTACTAACTTCTCTCCCTCTGCACCCACCTCATTAGCCCAGGCCACCACCTTTCACCTGGAATGTGGCAACAGCCTCCTGGCTGATGTCTGATCCTCTGATGCATGATCCATCATCTCCCACATGGCCACAATAATACACCTTTCTAAAATATGTATCTGAACAAGCTTTCCCTCTGTTTAAAACCCTCTGGTGGCTCCTCATTGCCATGGCATCAAGTTTGAGCTCCTTGTCACAGTTTATAAGGTCCCTGCCTTCTTCTCTGGTCTTGTCTTATTATTCACCATCTCTTAATTTATGCTCCGATTGGCCAGAACTTCTATAACTCCTCAGGCTCTCACCCCAGAACTAGTCAACCGGAATCTGCATTTTAACAAGATCCCCTCGTGATTTGGATGCGCATTAAAGTTTGAGAAACACAGCTCTAGGCTAGTAGCTCCAAAATTCCCTAATAATTAGAATCATCTGTGGTATTTATTAAAAATGCAAATTACAGGGCCCTATCTTAGACTCACCCAATGACAATTTCCAGGGGAGGGAGCCTGGGAAGCTGTGTATTTAACACAATACATTTCAATACCTGAATACACTTCAATACTTGAAGCGTCCCAAGTGATTCTTCTCAGCAAGGATGCTTGGGAAACATCAGCAGTGGTTCTCAAGCTTGGCTGCACATTAGAATCACCTGGGAGAGCTTTAAACCTATATTTATTTTATTTTGTCATTTTATTTGCTTTTTTAGAGACTATCTGGAGTGCAGTGGCGTGATTATAGCTAACGGTAGCCTCAAACTCTTGGGCTCAAGTAATCTCCTGCCTCAGCCTCCCAAGTAGCTAGGACTGCTGGTGTGCACCACCATGCCCAACAATTTTTTTTTCTTTTTTCTTTTTTTCTTTTTTTCTTTTTTAGGTAGAGAGGCGGTCTCGCCATGTTGCCCAGGCTGGTCTTGAACTCCTGGCCTCAAGTAGTCCTCCTGCCTTGGCCTCCCAAAGTGTTGGGATTACAGGCATGACCCACCATTCCGTGCCTAAACCTGTAATAATGCCTGAGTACCAACCCAGAAATTCTGGTCTGGGGGCAGCCTCAGCATCAGGATCTTTCAAGTCTTCCCTGGGTGATTCCTGTCTGATGTGCAGCCACGGTTGAGAACCACTGTGCTAAGTAGATGATTTCCAAATGTAGGTGCATGGACTAGGTGCCCCAGAATCATTTGAGGAAGCTCAGGGGAGGCTGGGAATGGAAGTGAAACAGGGCTGAAGACCCTGGGATCTTAGTGGGGAATGGCCTTCAGAAGGTCAGAAGGGGAACCTGAAGTGAGAGCCTCCTACTGGGGGGGCCTTCACCTCCCCAGAGGGAGGAGGCAGCAGAAGCCACAGCATGCTGGGCTGGGGTGAGATAGAGGAGAATCCCCTCAGATCCAGAGGAGAATAATGAGTGCTGATGGGCTGGTGCCGGTGGGGCAGGGCAGCCTTGGGTCAAACATGTGAAGCTGGAGTAGACAGGTATGGCACCACACCTGCTCACTCTCACCATCCCTAACCAGTCCTCCTGAGCCTGGACCTCTGGCCATGTAGCCTGCAGCTCTGGGACACCACCCACCCCAGCTTGGCACTTGGCTGGGGCCTGAGCATGTTGTGGGGGTGCAAGTGGGGGAGAGAGGCAGAGGATGGAGATTGCTTATTGACCTTCCCAGGGACCTACATTTGACAGATGACAAAGTGCTCCACCCACACCTGCACCTCGTCCTCATGATTACCCTGTGAGACAGTTTCCTCCCCATTTGCAGGTAGCGACATGTAGACTCAGAGAAGTCATGTGCTCAAAGCCACAGAGCTGGTCAACAGCAGAGCAGACGTTGGCCGTTGGAGTTCTGGGATTTTTCCTCTAAGAGACAGCAACTGTCTTTCCCATGCGTGTTTGTGCGCTCACACAATCATACACTTGTAAGCAGTCACACCCCACATGGTCACACTAGTGCACTGCTCTGTCATACTCATTATTTCAAAGACCCACATGTTTACACTCTCATACTCAGCCTGGACCCCACCTCACAGGCACACACCCACACACAGCCACAGACGAGCACACTCCCAATCTCCAGCGTGCACACTCACAAAGACACAAATGTGCCCATACTCACCCTAATGAGCCCCTGGTGGCCCTCCCTCCTTCCAGAGCTCACGTGCCCTGCCCCTTCCTCACTGTGTGTGTGCATGTGCATGGCAGGGATAGGAAGCAGCTGTCTGGCTCCAATAGTCCACCTCCCATCCCTCCACCTGCCACATTGTGGCTCCAGCCCCAGGGCAGAGGCTGCCTGTGTTTGGGCAGCAGCCAGGGTTGAATGAGTAAGAGGAACCAGAACAGAGATCAGAATAGAAACCCCACCCTCATCCAGACCCTCCTCAAGAACTCAGAGAACCAGAACCCCCCAACTCACATCCTGCAGCAGAGCCAGAGCTGAGCTCTGAGAAAGTTTGCCCTCAGCCGTGTGGACAGGGAGCTGACACATGACCAGGTTCATTTGGGACTGAGACAGCTTCCCTGGGTCTCCAGCAGGACTCTGGGGCCCCCTGAGTGGCCCAAGGGTCTCTTCAACCCTGAGTACTAAAGAGAGAGAGCCCCCTACAGAAGCCATGACCCTGAGCTTTCAAGGGGCTGATGGAGCCAACACAAAGTAAACCCCGCTCTCTACAGCACATCCGAAGCCTGGAGCAAAAACCTTGGGCTCAGAAGTCAGAACTAATTGGGTTTGAATCCAGTTCTGCCACTTGCTAGTGGAGCTAGTGCAGCTTTGGAACATTTACTTAACCTCTCAGCTCCCTCATCTATAAAGTGGGGCTGTTATATCCGTCTGCCTTGTAGGACAGAAAGATCAAATCGCAAAAGCATCTGGCACATCACATGGGAAGTGTTCGATAAATAGGAGCTGTTTTTTGTTTTCCTTGCTATTATCATTATATATATATATATATATATATATATATATATATATATATATATATATATATATATATATATATATATAATTAGAGACAAGGTCTCATTCTGATTTCCAGGCTGGAGTGCCATGGCACAGTCATAGCTCACTGTAGCTTCAACCGCCTGGGCTCAAGTGATCCTCCCCACTCAGCCTCCTGAAGTGCTGGGATTACAGGTGTGAGTCACCGCCCCTGGCCCTATTGTCATTATTTTTATTTTATTTTATTTTTTGAGATGGAGTCTTGCTCTGTCACTCAGGCTAGAATGCAGTGGCACCATCTCAGCTCACTGCAACCTCTGCCTCTCGGGTTCAAGCGATTCTCCCGCTTCAGCCTCCCGAGTAGCTGGGATTACAGGTGCCTGCCACCATGCCTGGCTAATGTTTGTATTTTTAATAGAGATGGGGTTTCACCATGTTGACCAAGCTGGTCTCGAATTCCTGGACTCAAGTGATCCACCCGCCTCGGCTTCCCAAAGTGCTGGGGTTATAGGTGTGAGCCATCGTGCCTGGCCCTGTTATCATTGTTATTAAAGGTGTTCCCAGATGTGATCATTGCAGAGATCAGCCAATGGGCAGATAAGCTGAGGTGGCCATTTGGGAAAAGCAGAAGGCAAGGGTAGGGGCAAAAGCAGGTACTGGGGGAGAATTCAGAGAGGGTGCAGTGAGTAAGAGGGCTCCTTCCCACTAAGGAGAAGCGCAGCTGGAGGGGCTGCTGAGCATGGCCTCTGCTGGGTCTCCTGGTTCCTGCCACAGAGATCAATGGGAGCTGGGGCCTCTCTCTAGTCATGGATGCCTGGCATTCCATCCTCTGATGCTCCAGACGGAAATCAGGGCCCACTCATTAGCAGGCACCACGTCCTGCTTCCCATTGCTCCCTGAGACACCTCGTTGTATTCTCCAGGGACTCCAGGGAGCCTGGAAGGTTTGAATTTTTCTCCCTTGTGGGCAATCAGACTGGGAAATGTGTTCTGCTAATTGACCTAGAGAGGGGAAACCAAAGCACAGCTTGTGCAAAGACCACACTCCAAGTCACAGGGACAATCCAACAGAGCTGGGTCCAGGATCCCTGACTTCTGCTACCATCCTCAGACACTGACCACAAGGTCTGAGAGGGGATTTAAAAAGATCTCAATAGGCCGGCCTGGGTTGAGGAGTCAAGATCTTTGTCCTCTGGAGGTGAGGCCAGACTTAGCCAGCAGCTGGGAAGAAGGAAGGCTTTTACAAGTCACGTCCCCACTGAAAAAAAAAAAAAAGGCTTCTGTTACATGAGACTGGAGAGAAGCTGGGAGACAGAGAGAGAGGTACTAAGACCAAGACACTGTCCCCTCTGTGGCCTGGGCCTACCTGAGGAGGCCAGTTACCCACGAGCCCCTGCTCCCCAGGGCCCTATCACTAGGAGCAGCTCTCATCACCTCCAAGCCCAAGCAGACCCCCCTTTATCAGGCCCCCTGGCACCAGCCTGTCTGAGCCTCCACCACCTCTGACGCCCAGGACGTTTGTTTTGGTATCTGTGGTGGCTGTAGTCAGAGCATAATTGAAGTTGAAACACCCACTTGGACCCCCTGAAGGATAAACAAGCGGGGCTGGGGCAGCCTTGGAACAGATGTGAAGACAGACATGAAGACAGCAGGTCCAGGAAGCCAGGCAAGCTGGCTGGGAAGGGCCAGAGGGCTGGCGGGAAGGGAAGGGGACCAGGCAGGAGGACAGTGAGGAGGCCAAAGGTGTGCCCACTTCCAGGGCGGTGGTGGCAGGGAAGTCAATACTCGGAGGCCAACTAGAAAAACCTCACAACTCACCCATCCTGGTCTGGGGCTGCCCTCAGGAAGCTGATCTAACGAGGGCATGAGCCTGGCTCTAAGGAAGTGTCTCGTACAGAGGTTCTCAGGCTTTAGGAAGCTTGGTAACAATTCAGTTATCTGGACCTCTTCCCCACAGTTTCCAGCTCAGTAGGTCTGAAGTAGGCACAGGACTTGCACTTGGGGAAACACTGGTCTTCATTGATGGGAATGTCTTGACCTTGCCTTCAGGAGATAGGGCCCTGCCTGGGGTTGGGAGTTCCCATCAGAACCCAGAGGGCCTGTTGGGGTCTGGGAGGGGCACTCCAGAATCCCAGCGGATATCTCCAGAGAGCTTAGCGGTGGGATGTACAGCAAGGACACCTAGGCAAGAACTGCCAAGGAGACACAGAGTTCCAGATGTTTTCCTAGGACTCCCATCTAGGCAGCTGGGGCAAAAGGAGGCCTTCAGAGCCTTGTTCTGCCAGCTTTGCCCTCTAGGCTCAAGGTATTTAAAGGACCGGAGCCCGCATCTTTGCTGGAAAGCAGCTCACTGGCTGGGTAACAAGGCAAATACTCTGCATCCTCTACACCATCCCAGTGCAGGCTCCGCCCTGCCTCAGTAGGTGATGTAAGGTGTGTGGGGAGGGGGTTGTGGAGGGGTGAAGGGCTGGAGGGGCACTCTGGCAAGCCCAGTGTTGCAGCCACAAGTCTCCTGAATCTTAGGACCCATTTGTATCTCTGAGCAGCTCTCCACTCTACATACAGGAGTGGGAGGAGACAGTGGGCCTGTGCGGGGACAGGTGTTCTTGATGGACTGGGTCTAAGCAACTCACAGTGCTGCATGTGTGCAGTGAAACAGATCCTGAGGGCGGGGCTTGCTGGCCCCCAGCTGACCACAGTACACAGTAGCTCCTGTCTTGGCTGCCTCCGAGAGTGCCCCAGCCAAGAGAGAGGGGTTGGGATGCAATGGATCAGAGCCTGGGAAGGACAGCCTGAAAGTCAGGCTGCAGGGGTGTTGGGCCAGGGCCAGGGAAGTCCATCTGGCAGCACCCACACCCTCTGGGGTCCCACTTGCCCACATACACCTGGGCCCCAATTTCCTCTCCTGAGACCATCCCATTTGAGGATGTCACCATGAGTGGTTTGATGTGTGAAGTGGGTCCTGTACTTTGGTCCCCTGAGGCTAAGAGCTCTCCCTGTCAGCAAGACCCCCTCTCCACCCACTCCCCATCACCCTCCGCTGGCGGATTCCCACCTTCCCAAAGGCATTTCCTTACCCAAATGCAGCCTCCCACCTCCCTGAGCTACTGTCCTGGGTATCAGGGCTGCCATCTGGTGGCCATTGCCATAACTACTGCCACCACCTTTTCCTGAGGCTGAGGCCATTTCAGAGGTGTGGCCAGAGAGCAGCACAGACCCCAGGGTAGGACAGGGAGCTGGGAGAGGCAGGTCTTCTGCCCCCGTGGACACGCCCACATCCTGCTTCCGGTGATGGGGAACTCCCAAGAGTTGGCCTTGATTGGCGGGAGAGTCTCTCAGGTGGTGAGCAGGAACTTCCAGGTAAAGGCTGGAAGGCTTTACTCTCCCGGAGCCTTAGGAAGCCCTGGGGCCACCCAACAGCCTCCTCCGCCCCATTCTGCCCTGTCTCTCCTGTCCAGAGCTGGAGAGGCGAGGCCGCAGCCCTGTTTCCTGGAGCTGAAGAGGTCCTATATATGCTCCTGGGGGGACAGATATTCTTGCATGGGGGTCCCCACTCCCTATCATCCTCTCAATCCCATGCCTGTGGCTCCATGCCTTGACCCACCAGTGAACACAACTAGGTGGACCCGGAGGTCTGAGGATTCACCTTGGAGATGGGAGGATGGAAGGCCTCATTACAGGATTCCTTCGCAGCCCAGCCACAGTGAATAATTTATGTACAAGGCGGAGAAGACAATAAATCAGCGGCAGTGATTAACATGAGCTATTCTACGCGTGGAAAAGATCTATGGCAGGAGGCTGCCAGGTTGCTGGTGATTAATGCCACTGTTTGCACTAGCTTCTGGGCCTTTATATTCAATTATGGGCCTGGAGTGTGTGTGGGGTCCTGGGATGGCATGGGGGACACTGGGGGCCCAGAAGGGAAGGCTTGATGCCTAGGACCAAGAGTGAGGTGATGACAGGTGGCAGTCTGACCCGTGGGCACCTTTACTGATGAGCAGGTGAAGTTAGTGGGATGGAGCAGTGGCTGTTTCTGTAATGGGAGTCACTTTATCCCTGGGGTCACTTCTAAATACTAGTCAAGGAGGTGCCTTGGTAAGTGGGCACAGGTGGAAGGAGGTATCCTTGGGAAAACCTGACTCTTCCAGAGTCAAGGGTTGGGTTTCTGAATCCCCTGCCTGCCCTGTGCTGCCATGGCCACGCTGCTAGGAGTGCAGGAACATCAGCCAGCCAGCCTGGGGTGGGGTCGGGGTGAGGTCAATGCTGGAAAAATTCCCCCACTGGCAACAGAGCCAGGGAGCCGGGGCCTGTCTCCACACTCTAGGGAGGGATGGCGGCAGGAGGGCGGGCTGGAGAAGAAGGCTCTGGGGTCTCTCTTCCCAGCTGATCCAGGAAGCCCGGGGAGGCCTCCTCCCTGGATTCCCACACTTGGGCCCCTTGTCCTCAGCCAGCTCCAGCTGGCCCCCGTCAATGCAGGGGCTCCAAAGACTAGTGGCGGCTTCGGGGTTAAGCGATTTCCCCCTGCCCAGCCCCCGCCCCAACCCTGGCTCCTGTCAGCTCCTTTCTTGTCTTCCTCCTCCTCCTTCTCTTTGGTGACCTCTGTGCAGTGTGGCTCTGCCTCCCCACAGAACCCCAGGGCTGTCATGAGGCACAGGGTTGGTATGGGGGAGGTGGGCTGACAGCTGGGCTCAGGGACCCTCTAGGCCAGGCTGGACTGAGGGGTGTGGAGAAACCACCCCCGCCTCCCTGCATCCTGGCTGGGAGCCGGCTCTTTCATTCTACCCACAGACCAGTGCTTCGGAATTCCAGTCCATGGTGGGAGGACATGCTGAAGGAAAGGGAGAAGGGAAGCTCAATGCCCTGGCCAGGGTGGGAGAGGGCACAGGAGGGGGCTGGCAGGGGCAGGCCAGAGTTTCTGGCTGAAGAGGGAAATCTCTGGTTCATCTCCCCCACCCCTCCTGCACACCTCAAGGCTTCTCAGGGAGCAGTTCTAAGTCCAATGGTGTGTGTCTGTGTGTGTGAGCCTGTGTATGAGAGTCCATATGTGTCTCTGAAGAGTGTCTGGCCCGTGGCTGTGTGTGTCTGCGTGTCTGAGCACTGCTGGGTCTCATGAGGGCCTGTGTGGGTGGGTGGGTGAACACACAGGCTTGAAGCTGACCCCCTCCCCGGGGCCCAGCTCACAGCCCTGCCTAGCCAGCCTTCCCCCACAGCAGTCTTCCTCAGCCCCTAATCCCCTGTTTGCCTGGCTCATCCCTAGGCTCTTTGGGACTCCATTAATGAGCCCCGGCCACCCCAAGACAAGCCCCGAATTAACTCCACTGCTGACCCTGACATGGACACCTGTAATTAGGCCAGCAGCAGCTGAAGCAGAGAAGCCCCAGGGGCTCCATGGGGTGAGGGCAAGGCTGGGCTGGGACAGGGAGCCTAATGCTCAGGAATGCTCTAAAAGCTGGGCCTGGCTCCAGGGCCTGCCACCCGGCTCACCTCTAATACCGTCCAAAGCCTCCCAGACAGGGCTCCAGGGGGATTACCTGTGGAGGGGCCCTGAAGGTGGGCAAGGCAGCTCAGCAGGCCTACCGTGCCAGCTCTGGGGGGCGGCCTTCAGAAGGAGAATGCTGCCCTCTTGGCCTTAGAGCCCAGCAGCCTGGCCACAAGGTCCTCAACAGCCCAGAACCTGTGCCCACGATGGCAGCTACCCAGGGAAGAGCCAAGTGCAGGCTGACTGGCCCATCTCCCTCCCTGTGGCCAGAGGGCCGGCCCCTCCCCTCCCCTAACTTGTTTTGTTTGCACAGTGTGTCCCAGTAGCTCCATCGCATTAACCCCTGACCCTGACTGAAACTCTCCCTCCCTTCTGACAACCGAGTTTACCTAGTGGCTTTCTCAGGCTTAGAGGGGAGGGCTGGCTCCTGTCCCTCCTGTCCCACCCCTCCCAGGGGAAGCTGCGCTCCCTGTCCTGCGTGCTCTCCTTGGGACTCCCCCATCCCGGGAGCTGTCCAGGAGTGTGTCTGAGAGCAACTGAGGTGGCTGAGCTGAGCACCTGGGAGGCAGCCCCTCTGCCGGTTTGACACCGGGGGTAGACAGTGCAATCATCTTCATGTGCAGTCTGGCAATATCTATCAAAAATGTTCAATGAACATGTCAGTTGACCCAACAATTCCGCTTCGAGGAATTTGTCTATATATGTCCTGCACTTGTGCTCAGAGAAATATATCAAGGTATTTTTGCAGTACTGTAAGAGCTAAAGACTAGAAACAGTCTAGGTTTCCATCTGGGGCACAAGCAACATGATTAAAACGTAGCCATATGATGGAATATCATACAGCCATCCAAGAAAACAATGTAGGCTGGGCGCAGTGGCTCACACCTGTAATCCCAGCACTTTGGGAGCCCGAGGCAGAAGGCTTGCTTGAGCCTGGGAGTTTGACACCATCCTGGGCAACATAGGGAGACCCCCATCTCTACAAAAAATGTAAAAGTTAGCTGGTTTTGGTGGTACACACGTGTGGTCCCATCTACTCGGGAGGCTAAGGTGGGAGGATTGCCTGAGCCCTGGAATTTGAGACTGCTGTAAGCCATAATCACGCCACTGCACTCCACCCTAGGTGATGGAGTGATACCCTGTCTCAAAAAAAAGAAAAAAGAAAGAAAGAAAGAAAACGAAAAAAGAAAAAAAAAGAAAGAAAACTATGTGTTTCTGCATGTACACATATATTATATAAATATATCCCCAAAACTCTGGAAAAATAACAACCACATCGATGACAGAGGGATGAGAGGGTCACTCTGTGCTTCTGTATATACAAGAAGGCTTCATCAAACATTCTTGTGTTATTACAAAACAAACAAGAGCTCACAAAAAGAATAACAGCACGACAGTCACTCATCTAGCTGTCTCCCACTACATAGCTCTGGAACCCTCCTAACCATGCTGTTTTTATCCTCATGTTACAGAAGGTGAAACCGAGGCTGAGAGTGGTTATGCAACGTCCCCAGTCATTCAGCACACACAAGTCAAGCCATGCCCTAAAGCTCAGAGATTGTCCGTGCCATCTCTCCTTGAAGATGACATTTCTTCCATGTTCTGAGCCTCTTCAAGGGTGTGGGCATTGGGGCTGAAGTTAATGATTTTCCCCCTGGACTTCTATGAACAGCACAGAGTAAACCCTTTCCCTTCCTGTCCACTTCACCACCTCCAATCCCCAGAGGAGCTGCGCGGGAGCCCAGCCAGGGGTGGGTGGTGCCAGAAGCCAGTGCAGCTTCTGGCCTTGGCATGGTTGCCAGCTTCCCCATCAGCTGCTCCTGCCAGTGAGAGCCCACTACCCGTTCCCCGCGAACAACCCCCTCCTCGCCACAGAGCACCCCCTTAATTACACTTAATGGCAAAGACCATAAGAGCTTTATTAACTTTATTATGGACCCAATTAGCAGTTAATGCCCCATGACTACTGTCCCCCCCAGTATCCCATTAAACAAAATGAAGCAGTCTTCCCTGCTTCCCTGCTGGGTGGGGCCTGAGGGGACAGGGAAATCCATCTTCCTGGGCCTGATTCTGCCCCCTCAGGCCCACTGGACACCAGCTCAGGCCCTGGAGCTTCCCGGGGACTAGGGCTGGGCGCTCGGAAGACAAAGATTAATCAGCAAGTATTTTGGTGCCAGCCATTGAGCCCACTCACCCACACACACATCCACACACATGCACACATGTGCACACGCAGACACACACACTCACATATACACAAAGCCTGGCTGATGTCCAAATAGCCCCTGTCTCAAATCAAGGATGTGGAGATACACATCCCTCAAACGCAACCCTATCTAGCGCGCCAGCATTCTCCAGCCTCGTCCAAGCAATCTTCAGAGCTGGGGTGCTCATGTTGAGGGCCTCTGCCTGGACTTGTCACAGTGAGAGATCAGAGAGCTGGGAGGTGAGAAGACTGAGGGCGAGGAAGGAGAGCCTCTTCCCTGAAGCCCACACCCTCACCACACCCCAGGCACTTCCCCACTCTGGCTGATTGTTTCAAATATTTATTCAGCACCACAATGTGCCAGACACAGAGCTAGGCCCCCTCTGCCATCTCACTTGGGCATCACAACAACCCAAGGAAGTAGGTGTGATTTCTCCCAATTTACAGACACAGAAACTGAGGCACGGAAGGATCAACAGGTTTAGAAACAGGTGTTCTATGTGATTTGCCTGAAAAGATCTCTCCTCTCTTTTTCCCCAGCAACCCACCTTGCCCCATCCTGAGGCAGAGGAGGCAGAGATCACAGACAGCATTCTCTCCATTACCTACAGACGGAGAATTAAAGCGCAGAGAAGCTGCGAGGGACAATTGTGGTGATCATGACAAGACAGCCCTCGGGATCTGAATCCACATCCACCTTGATGGGTTGAGAGGACTAGAAACCAGAGAACACCCCCATCTCTAATGCCGCAAGAGGCCCCTGATGCAGGATCTTGCAGGAATAAGAAGGCTCCATGGAACGGGACGAGGCAGGAGCAGAGAGGAGCCATGATACGTTAACTCTCCCAGTCACCCCACTGATCAAAACCTTAAGACTTGAGGATTCTGGTTCCTTGTGCTGGGGGTCTCCATCTATCCCCACTCAAGCACAAGAACCACCTCAAGATGGGACAGGGACTTGGGTCCCTCCATCGGCTTTGGTCTCAGATAAGGAAGAAACATTATGACTGACAGGGCAGAATGGGTGGCTGCCCTGAGCAAGGGGGCGGGAGCCCAGGAAAGGAAACCCTTGAACCTTTGCTTGGAAACAGGCTCCTTGTTCCTGCTCCCCCTCCCCAGGGCTGCGTCATCCTGGAAGCAACCACTTGAAATGGGTCCTAGGGAGCCTGGGAGAGGGGCTGGCCTAGTTCCAGCCTCCAGCGCCTGGCGCCTCAGACAGGCCCATGTCCCCAGTCCTCCTCCAGCCTAGCCCCAGCTAGGGTCAGGAGGTGACAGGGAGAGTTTTCCTCTAGGCCCTTCTAAGTCAGGATCCACTCCCACCCCAACACACACCCAGCATGGCACCCCTCCAATTGCTCCATCCCTGGGGAAGGCGGGGGGCATGGGCAAGTCAGCACTCTCTCCTTTCCCAAGAGGCCATGGGGCCTGGGGAGGGGGCAGAGCCTACTCCCTGGGGTTACTTGAGGGCAGAGCACTGGGGAGCCTCCCCGAGTGGGGCCCCCACTCTTCCCTTTGCCCCGGATGAGTGTTCTCTGACACCAGGTTCCCCGCCCCACCCTCTAAACAAACAGAAGCATCACCCTCCCCACCCTTCTCAAACCCAGAAGGATCTGGTGCCCAGGTCACCTCAGCTGGAGAAATCCAGAATCCGCCTACGGAGAACACTGAGGAACCTTGGTGGAGGCAGGGGTCAGAGGGGACAGTGACATTTGAGGGCCTTGGGGGAAAGTTAGCCTATGCTGAGCTGAGGCTCTGGCTAGGGGCCCAGTATTGGCTTTGCTATTTCCTGGCTGTGAGAGCTTGAGTGAGTCTTCCAACCTCTTTGAACTTCAGGTTTTCATCTGTAAAATGGGGCTGATCACAGAATTTGCTTCATAGGGCTCTTTGCGAACATTAAAGTAGTAATGTATAGAAAACCTTTAGCCAGTTTCTGGCACTAGTCACTGTTACAGCATTGCTGTCTGTAGCGACGGGGTGGTCCCTGATTGGTAATAATGAAAATGATAATAGGGAATACTGAGGGCATCACAGGGGCCATAGCCCCTTCCACGAACCCTGTGCCTGGTTCTCACTGAGCATGGAAGAAAGAACTCACAGTTCACATCAGCCCTCCAAGGCCCCCACTACTAGCAGCTCACCCTGGCATAACAATTTCAGAGGACTGACGAGGCCCTGGCTCACTCCCAGCAGTCCCTAAAGGTGCCCAGCACATCTTCTTACCTATTTACCTCTCTCTCCCTCTCTTGTCTTCTCCCTTCCTTTCCCTGGAGCAAGGAGGGAAAAAGAGATATCAGAATTTGAAGGATGTGAAAATTAGCCAGAGCTGAGAGAGGTGTCAACTTCAAGGGGGCTCCCCCATCCCCACCCCTTCTCTACTCAAACGGTGGTGTTTCCACAAGTCTCTGCAGGGAGACCCCCACCCCCTAGGTGTGGACTGACACTGTCAGGTGGGAGGAGAGAGAAGGAGGAGAGAAGGCTGCCCAGGAAGAACAGCAGCCCCAGCCCAGGAGTCTGTGCCCAGGATGGGACCTCCACCCAAGCCACACAGAGCTCAGGTTTGTGGCTGAGGCAAAATAGCCCGGAGGAGGGGATCTGTCTCACCTTCCTGATTCCAGCTTCCCTGGCCACAGCTGAACGTGTTGGGGCCAAGCTGGCTGACTTAAGGACAATTCTTTTCCCGAGAGTTGAGAGGGATCTAGGGCACTGTCCTTTATCCCAAAGTACCTTTCCAGCCCCACCTCTGGCCTGTCTGAAGGTCTTTTTGGAATTCCTGCCTCGATTTCCCCACCTCTCAAAGAGTGCCATGAGCTGGTCCTTGCTCTACCTTCTGGGAGTGGTCAGAGGAGCAGTGGGTGGGAGCTCCGGGAGAGGAAGCCCTGCCGCAGGAGCCCGTCCCCTCATCCTGTCTCTGTCATCGTTAACAGCCGTAATTATTATTACTTGGAGAGACAGACCAGAGGTGGTCAGGGACATGGTTGGGGTGAATGAAATGAAAAAGTCCTGGGTACGTGCCGTCTCGCCAGGTTAATACTCCTGCCTGTCGGCCTGACAGCTGCAAGATTGATTACCCAGGCCTCCCGCTCTTTATAACTCGATCAGTTGAATTAATCTCTGGCTGTCGGCCCATCTGATGCCTGAATCACAAATTTAATTTGGAGGTGCACAGCTCCTCCCCCATTCCGTCTCCCCCTTCCTCCCAGCTTCCCCCCTTCCTCCCCAGCTCATCCCGTCTTCCTCCTTCCTTTTCCTTTCCCGTTTCCTCCTCTCTCCTGCTCCACAGTTTCCTGTTCCTCTCGCTCTTCCTCTTCTCTGCAGCCTTTCAAGGCCCTCAAGGGGACAGTGGGTGGAGAGGAAGGAGGGAGAGGGGGAGTGGGTTGCCCTGAGTCAGCAGCCCCCTACCCAGACCAGGAGAGGGGTCATGTGCCCCCACCCACCGGGCGAGGTGCCCACCCCAGCATGCTCCACCCCAAACAGAGAAAGAGGCTTGGCTGACACTAAGTAAGACATATTAATGTACTAAAGACTTAATGAAGTTGGGGCGGGGGGGTGAGGGGTGGAAAGTGATTGCTTTATTAGTTTATGGCCGATTAATGGGGACGCCATTACTGTGATGGAGATGGATTGCTGCTGTCAGCAGCCTGGGCCGGGGCGGCCGCCGCTCCTTTCCACGGGTGGTGGGTGCCCCAAACAGAGTCAGAGAGAACTTCATTAGAAGCATCTACAGGATCCCACCTGGGAAGGGCCCAAGGCTAAGCTGGAAGGATGGCGACAGGGACTCAGCTCTAGGCTTTGGAGGGGAATTCCAAGGGGTCAGGGGCTGGGAGCTGACATCAGTTGGGATGGGGCAGTGGGGCTGTGCGGTGGCCTGGCTCTGGACCTGCACATGCGAGGGGTTCCATAGTCACCTGGGGAAAAGGAGGAAGGAAGATAACCACAGAATAACCAGTGCCCACTTGACCTGCCTGAGACACCTTCAGGATGAAGGGAGTGGAGAACAAGGGAAGCGGGCCCCATTCTTCTGCCCTTCCTTATTGGGAGCAGTGCACAAAGACCTGGGCCCACCAGCCCAGAGGAATGGGCAACCCACCAAGCAGCAAGGCTGCCTCTAACACTAGAATCCCCAGCTCCAGGGCCAGGGACTTCCCATACTCTCTAAGTAGATAGAGGTGAAAACCACATTGCCTCAGTTACCTCTGACCACTGCCCCCAGGCAGCCAATGGGAAGCAACGCCAAGGAAGGCGAGGAGTGGACTTCGGGGAGAGCGGACCTGGCAGACACCACCCAGCTCTGGGCTTTCTCCTTCAGGACTGGAGGTCCTGACACTGGGCAAGCTAACCCAGACACACCCCATCCCTTCATGCCTCCTTCTGGGACCCTGTTTTCTATGAAGAGGGAGAGTAAATGCTGGACCCAACACAGCTCTGCTTCAAGGGGCTGCTTTCTATTTGGAAGTCTCTAGGTTCCTCCAGACCTCAGGGTCTTCTATCAACTCCTGTCTCTCAGGCATATATGACATTTTGGCATGGCCATTTTGATGCAAAAACATTAAACTTTCAGGATTTTAAAAAATCAAGTTATGTGGCCAGGCATGGTGGCTCACGCCTGTAATCCCAGCATGTTGGGAGGCTGAGGTGGGAAGATCACTTGAGGTCAGGAGTTCGAGACCAGCCTGGCCAACATGGTGAAACCCTGTCTCTCTACCAAAAACAAACAAAAAAAAGTAGCTGGGTGTGGTGGGTGGGTGCCTGTAATCCTAGCTACTCGGGAAGCTGAGGCATGAGAATTGCTTCAATTAGGGAGATGGAGGTTGCAGTGAGCCAAGATTGCACAACTGCACTCCAGCCTGGGCAACAAAGTGAGAGTCCCTCTCAAAAAACAAAAAAATCAATTGATGTTCAAAATAGACAGTGCCAGCCCCTCCCTAGCGCCTACTCTGTCCTGAGGCCCTCCCAACCCAAACCCCATTTTGAGAGGCATCAGGGATGAAGATGGATTCCATATGGGCTCAGAACCACAGCCTGTTGACCAAAGTACATAGTACCACAAACACATTTTGATGCAAGTTAGGCAAAACAATAGTGGCAAAATGATAGAGCCAAAATTCCCTCTTTGGCCTCTTTGCCTGTTCCTCACCATGTGTGTAATTCTCGCTGAGTGTGTGTGCCCCACTTACAATGAGTTACTGTACATCCAAACGCCAGTCCATGAGTCATGGCTAGCACATGGTATCATGTGTCTGCATGCCCTACAAGGGCCTGTATCTGTGTATGCTTGGGTGTCCGTCCTCATCAAGGTGCGGGCACTCCCTGCTGGGCACCGTGGTCACCACTCTTTGCCTGCTCAGGCCAAGGACCAGCAATCGGTTTAGGGGTCATCACCCAGGCACACCCCCCAAAGGAAGAGCTACCTGCTCACACTAACTGGGAAATAAATACCCTGTTTCTGAGAGTAATTTAATTATTGGCTCCTGTGGACTAGTGGGTAATTAAATTCCGTAGCTCCCAAAGTAATTAATTGCTATGCAAATAGTAATGCCCTCTGCTTTGGAGAGAAGGATCCCGGCCTGAGTTTGCCCTGCAATTAGAAGCTAATAATTACCCTGTCAGTTCCCAGCTTTTGCCGGGTAATTACCTGCTGAAGCCCCACTGGTCACTGAGGGCTATTCCCATCAACTGCCACTGTAGCTCTGGCTCTGGTGGCCCCAAAAAGCCAGAGCAGGGGACCCCCAAGAGTGCTGGTTAATCCTGAGGTTCTCCCCATCCTACACCATGTCCACAAGCCCCAGGAGTCCCATAGAGACACACTTACTTCTGACCATGGGAAACTCAGGATGGGATCTCCTTAGCCTCCCTTTGCTAAGGAAGAGGTGCCCCATCTTCTCAATGGCTAGAATCCTGTCAGATAGGTTCACCCAGGCTGGAGTGCAGTGAGCCGAGATCAAGCCACTGCACTCCACCTCCCAGGTGGAGTTCAAGCCACTTGAACCTCCACCTCCCAGGTTCAAGCAATTCTCCTGCCTCAGCCTTCCGAGTAGCTGAGATTACAGATGTGCACTACCACACCTGGTTAATTTTTGTATTTTTAGTAGAGACAAGGTTTTGCCATGTTGATCAGGCTGGTCTCAAACTCCTGGCCTCATGTGATCTGCCCTCCTCAGCCTCCCAAAACAAAGCAGGCATTTTGCAGCTTCCGCACACCTTCTCCCAGGTACTCAATAAACACTAATCTAGGTCCTGCTGTAAAGGGGCTTTGAGGATGTAATCAAAGTCCCTAATCAGTTGGCTTTAAGTGAGGGAGGTTATCCTCCATGGGCCTGACCTAGTCAGATGAGCCTGTAAAGGGTCAGGGCTCTCCCTGATGAAGGATGCTCCAAACAGCAGCTTGGTGTAGAATTGTTCTCCCTTTGCTAGGTTCTCCCATCCCGACTGCCTGTGGACAGCAGCTTTGCTAGCACCCAGGGGGTTCCAGCTTGTTCCTGATCTTTCCTTCCTGACTGCTTGCCCTACAGATATCAGACTTACTTAGCCAACCCACACAATTGCATCAACCAGTTCCTTGAAATAAAATTTGGTATGTATTTAATAAAATTTATTTTATTATTTTTAGAGACAGGGTCTTGCTCTGTCACCCAGGCTGGAGTGCAGTGGTGCAATCACAGCTCACTGCAGCCTCAAACTCTCAGGCTTAAGCAGTCCTCCCACCTCAGCCTCTTGAGTAGCTGAGAGGTGCACACCACTGCGCACCACTGCAGGTGCACAGAGGTGCACACCACTGCAGCAAGCTAATTTTTATTTTTTATTTTTTGGTAGAGATAGGGTCTTGTTATGTTGTCCAGGATAGTCTCAAACTCCTGGCTTCAAGCAGTCCTCCCACCTCTGCCTCACAAAGCACTGGGAATACAGGCATGAGCTAACATGTTTGGCTCCCCCAAATTTTTTTTAATGAGCCAGGTGTGGTGACACATGTCCGAAGTCCTAACTACCTGGGAGGCTGAGATGGGAGGATCACTTGAGCCCAGAAGTTCAAGGCTGCAGTGAGCTATGGTTACACCACCGCACTCCAGCCTGGGTGACAGAGCAAGACTCTCTGTCTAAAAAACAAAACAGGACGGGCATGGTGGCTCATGCCTGTAGTTCCAGCACTTTGGGAGGCTGAGGCAGGCCGATAGCTTGAGTTCAAGAGTTCGAGACCAGCCTGGCCAACATGGTCAAACCCTGTCTCTAATAAAAATACAAAAATTAGCCAGGTGTGGTGGCGCATGCCTGTAGTCCCAGCTACTTGGAAGGCTGAGGCAGGAGAATCACTTGAACCCAGGAAGCGGAGGTTGCAATGAGCCGAGATCACGCCACTGCACTCCAGCCTGGATGACAGAGGGAGACTCCATCTCAATAAAATAAAATAAAATAAAAAAACAAAACAAAACAAAAAAAGTGGCTCACCAAAGATTCCCTAGCTAGTAAGTGGGAAAACAAGGTTTCTAGCCAGGCTCCCAAGTAGATTATAACTGCCCATTCAGTGTCAGGACCTGGCTCCAGGTCCCAAGTTCAAGGTAGGTTATACCTGTGCCCAATGAAAAGGTGCTTGTGGATCTCCCCAGCCATCTCATAACTCTCAAGCATCACTGTGGCTAAGCTGAGTTTTTGTTTCTGACCTGGATCTTGTCCCCTCTATCAGCCTCCTGGCCCTTTGTTCTGGGTTCTTATTGCTGTCCCTGATTCCTTCCTAAGGAGATGGGCCTGAGAGTGGCAGAGCCTATGTGCCTTCTAGGCTTTGGTCGCTCCCTTTGAGAAACAGCCAGACCCCACCCTCCAGGTCAGAAGTCTTCCAACTGAATCCCTGTGGAATATTGTCCTGATGTAGTCTCAGAGCCGAGGGACTCCCTAGGAAGCCGGATGCTGGGCAGGCTGTGGGTGGAGGGGTAGGGCTCATGGAGACTGACTGAAGGACTCTGAGCCAAGAATGGGTTTCAGGAGTCTGGGAAAGAAGTCTAGGGAGCACAGGGGCTCAGTGAGGGCAAAAATCCTCCCCAGCCCCTCAACTGGTACCTCACAGTTATCTTTCGGGTCTCAGCTGCAGGAAGCTCTCCCTCACCCACATGGGAGGGTAGGCCACATGCTCCGTGTTTCTTCTCTCCCATTCTCCGTCTTAGCCCAGGTGAGCAAAAGGGCAGAAGACCTAGGCAGAGGAAATAGACCTCACAGGTGACCAGCTCTCCTCAGTCCAGAGGACATGTCTAGGGCTGAAGCCTAGAAACGGGATGGCAGGAAGCACTATGGGCTTTGAGGCCAAAGTCTAGCCCTGTGAGTGCCTTGCCTTTGGTTCAGACACCCTAGGATTAGTGAACCATCCAAGGCAAGACTTCCGCACCACCACCAGGGAGGACAAGAGAAAAATGGGAGGCAGAGGATAGCCCTGGGAAAGCCAGAGGTGATCAACAAACAAGCTTCCTACGCTTCATATAGGGATGTGGGCAGAAACTACACACAGGGAAATACTCAAGCCTCTCCATACGAGATGGTTAAGGTCACTTGATATTGAGGGTCTCATCTATTTGGGAAAATCCAACCTGGAAGAGATCCCTTACCTCCACCGCCCAGGTTCACCTGACCTAGGCTCCCATGGCACAAGAAAAGTAATAGCGTCCCATGGTCTTGAGTCTGTGCCCTGACTTCTATTTCCAGCTTCTGCTCCAATTTAACTGCAGGAACTGGTGGGAATCATACTCCCACCTGTGCCTTTGTGAGGAGGTAATTTCTTGCTAGAGATTTTAGGACAAAAATGTCTAATCAGCCGGGCATGGTGGCTCACACTTGTAATCCCAGCACTTTGGGAGGCTGAGGTGGGTGGATCACTTGAGGTCAGGAGTTTGAGACCAGCCTGGCCAACATGGTGAAACCCCATCTCTACTAAAAATACAAAAAGTTGCCGGGCATAGTGGTAGGTGCCTGTAATCCCAGCTACTTAGGAGGCTGAGGCAGAAGAATCTCTTGAACCCAGGAGGCGGAGGTTGCAGTGAACAGAGATTGCACCACTGCACTCCGGTCTGGGTAACAGAGTAAGACTCTATCTCAAAAAAAAAAAAAAAAAAAAAAAGAAAGAAAAGTCTAATCATTTATAAGTCAGCAGTCTTCAGAGAACTCAGAGAGCACTCCGGAGGGTGGAAGCCACGTCTCCCCCATTGGACTAGAGGCTCCCTAAAAGGAGGAGCCTCCATGTCCCCTTTAAATAGGGACTCCCAAATGCAGTTGTATTTCTCTCTTATCTTCCCCCTCAGTGCCTTGCCTTGAGGTCTGCAAAACAGTGATTCTCAAAACAGAGTCCCTGTGAAGAAGCCCGGTAGGATCAGGGGTCTCAGAGCATGGCCAGGGCTGCCAGACACCCTCCACACAATATGGCCCCCTGCATAGGCTGGTGCAGTTGCTACTCCACTGACAGCTCTTTAGAATCCATTCAGAGTTTTGGCCCTGCTGTAATCTCTGGGTGATGAATATTTCCCCTAATGAACTGACAGGAATTGAATTAGGCTGGAATGCTTGTGTGCTTAGACTGTAGCTGATTAAACCCCCATCTGTGCAAGGCCTGCCTGTGAACAGCTTGTTACATACAATTTTTTAAAGGAGGGAAAAATGGTGTTGGTATTCAAGTTCTGCAAAGGAACAGGAGAGAAAGTGGAAGCATAATGTCAATCCAGGCTTTTAGCAGGATCTGGTTGCTTTTAATCTGATCAGGCCAGTACTCCCACCTTAGGGCACCTCCACTTTCCAGCCAACTTATCTCATGAGGAGGGACTTAGGCCAGGGGTCTTCAGGGCACAGGTACCTGCACCCTTCCCCAGGAGTCCTGCCCAGATCTCCTCTGAGCCCACAACTGTCTACCTCTTGCAAGGAGCATTTATTAAACAGGGAGTTGCTTTGGGGAAAGGTAGGAGAAGGAGAAGGTGTGAGAGCGAAGCCAGGCCTGTGGATTCAGTTCCCATCAGATGCAGCTCTAGCTCTTTGTTCTTCCTCCAAAATCATCTGGTCACCTTCATGGGAAATTGCAGGGAGTTTGGGGTAGGCACTCCGTCTGGGCTATTCGTGGGCCCTTTGTCAGTCAGGACCAAGGACAGCACCCCCACTATTTCAAGGATCACCAAACTTCCAGGTCCCTCCGCTTTTCCCTCTTCTTCCCTGCTAAACATTCCTCATTCTTCAAAACACCTTTTCCTTTTCCTTCTTGTTCCCTTCCTCTTATTCCTCCCTCTTCCTTCTCATTCCTTGTCCTTAATCCCAGGGACAGGGCCTGGCTTCTGATTCTTCACCACCAGGTACTTCACCCCAGGAATCCCTCAAGAAAAGTTATTTAGGCTGGGCACAGTGGTTCACGTCTGTAATCCCAGCACTTTGGGAGGCCAAGATGGGTGGATCGCTTGATCCCAGGAGGGAGAGACCAGCCTGGGCAACATGGTGAAACCCCATCTCTACAAAAAATTAGCTGGGCATGATGGTGTGTGCTGGTGGTCTCAGCTACACAGGAGGCTGAGGTGGGTGGATCACCTGAGCCTGGGAAGTCGGGGCTGAAGTTAGCCATGATCGTGCCACTGCACTCCATCCTGGGTGACAGAGTGAGACCTTGTCTCAAAAAAAGAAAAGTTATTTAAGCACCCCAAGAAGCCTATCCCACCAAACCTCTGTTAAAAGCCTTATTCCCACGACTGACTCTTACCCAAGCCATACAAGAACACACACGCCGAAATCTGGTGGTTAGCAGGAAGGAAGGTCAGGGTGATTGTTTCTGACAGACTGGCCAACTCCCCTTCTCCAGTGGAGCTCAGAATCAGCCCACCTGATTTGAGTACTCCCAGCACAACTGTGGCTCAAACACTACAGCCCTCTCCTCTCTTCACCTCTCCTCCCACCCTTATCCCTTTCCCTCCCTTCCCCCCGATCCTCTCCTCTGTGTCTCTATGAAAAGTGGCAGCAGCTGCTGAAGAAGGCAAATCCTTCAATGAGCATCAGCAATTGTAGTGACTGAATGTCCCAGCCTTCTTTCCCAGTTAATCTGACTTGGGAAGAGTTGAGGTGTGCTCTGGCTCTGCTGCCCATGAAAGGCAGAGAATAAATAACAAGCCAGAGGCATAAACAGATGTGCAGATATATGCAGCTGGCATTTCCCTGCCAAATTACTATGGACAGAATGCTGGCAGGGGGCCAGGATGCCTCCCTCCCTGTTTGGAGTTCCGCCACCAGGACCTATCCAAGCTCACCATCCATTTGGCAACATCTGAGTGAAGGGAAGGGATGCCAGGGAAGGGAGTGGGGAGGCTGCAGGTGCCCTTAGGTTTGGTGAAGAGCTCCAGAAGCTCATTCTAAAGACTCAGGTGGGTGGGAGTTAACATGGTGGGGAGGGATAGGGAGCTCTGACCAGGCCCTCCCTGTAGGTTCCCTAGGGTAGTCCCCTCAGGGTGTGGCTTGAGGGTCAATTCTTATCATAGTATATGGCTCTGTGTTTCCACCCTCCCACTCACTCAAGGATTGGGTGTTCTTTGATCTTGGATCATATATGGCATTCCTCGGAGTTGGCATGGAGTACAGGGGGCAGGCACCAGCTGGTTAAGAGCCCATCAGAAACTATGCAGAACCAAAAGATGTCCCTACAGGCTGGGCTCAGTGGCTCACACCTCTAATCCCAGCACTTTGGAAGGCCAAGGCAGGCAGATCACCTGAGGTCAGGAGTTCGAGACCAGCCTGGCCAACATGGTGAAACTCCGTCTCTACTAAAAATACAAAGTTAGCTGGGCATCGTGGCACATGCCTGTAATCCCAGCTACTTAGGAGGCTGAGGCAGGAGAATCGCTTGAACTCAGGAAGCAGAGGTTGCAGTGAGGTGAGATCGCACCACTGCACTCCAGCCTGGGACAGAGTGAGACTCTGTCTCAAAAAAAAAAAAAAAAAAAAGATGTCCCTAGAGACTCTAGCTCTGGAACAAGAAACCGCACTTGGAATTACTGTGCAAGTAGCAAAGCAAGTGGGCAGGGAGAGAAAGAATGAGCTAGAAGGAATGTTGCCCAAGGGGGTCTCTCTATGGCTAGCCCCAGATCTGAGTTCAGAGAGACACCAAGCCACCTTCTGGGCTTCATTCAGATCACAAAGGGTCTTTTCTCTTATTAATTTGCCTTTCTTATGCCAGGCCATCTCATGCAGATTTGAGTGGCATGGAAAAGTTTTTCCAGTGCCTGATTATTGCCCTTGCTCCATATAAGGTTCTGCAGATTTCTGACTTTATGGGGATGGGTGATGTCTGCTCTGATGAGCCATGGCATTATGACAGATCTTGAATGGTCTCAATTCTGTAGGCAGTGGGGAGCCAAAGAATTATATGATAAAAATAAGTGGCCTAAAAAGACCAGACTGGGAGTGGAGTGGAAGGATGGGTTGGAGGAATGAGAGATGCAGAGTGGGGAGGCTAGTTAAGAGCCTGTTGTCATTCAGGCCTGATGATGGAATCCTGAGCTATGCAGAGGCAAAGGAACAGAGGGAAGAGTGGAAAAACAACTGCTGGGACTTTGTGATGAACTGAACAGGAATCAGATGAAGAGAGATAATGTGGGCACATAATTTATCATGCAATCTAGAACAGTTTTGAGCATAAATGGAGTTCTAGCAATGATTTTACCAAGACAATAGACATGAACTGTGGACAACTCTGGGCAAATCTGAACACACAGATGCCTTGGTCAAAGATGACTCAAAGTATGATGTTTGGGCAAAAGCATGTGTAGGAATGATGCTGACCAAAGCAAGGAGGCTGGGAGGCAGAGTAGCAGGATGGGAAAAGAGGGAACAATGCCCTTGGCATTGGACTTGTCAAGTTTGAAGCACTTAGAGACATTCACCTTGCAATAACCAGCAGGCCACCCTCTTCCAAGCATCCATGGGTGTTTGCTTGGCAATGTGTGTTTCAAACTTGAAGGACAGTCAGGGTTAGATATAGTGCTTTTTTTTTTTTGAGACAGAGTCTCGCTCTATTGCCCAGGCTAGAGTGCAGTAATGCGATCTGGGCTCACTGTAACCTCTGCCTCCCAGGTTCAAGCAATTCTCCTGTCTCAGCCTCCTGAGTAGCTGGGATTACAGGCATGCAAGCCTAGCTAATTTTTGTATTTTTAGTAGAGACAGGGTTTCACCATATTGGTCAGGCTGGTTTTGAACCCCTGACTTCAGGTGATCCACCGGCCTCGGCCTCCCAAAGTGCTGGGATTACAGGCGTGAGCCACTGCACCTGCCTAGTGCATATTTTTTGACTCACAGATGCCACTTCTAGAAACGTTAATCTCAGGAAATATTCATTCTTGTACCAAAAAATGACATGTATTAAAGCAGGATCATTGTGGCATCGCTTGGAAATAACCTAAAGGTCTATGAATAAAGAATTGGTTCAATCTATTCTGGAGTGTCATGTGAAATATATCCACACATATTGAGGTATATCCATATATGACCTAGAAAATATCTCTGGTATTTTTTTTTTTTTTTTTTTTTTCTTGAGACGGAGTCTTACTCTGTCACCCAGGCGGGAGTGCAGTGGCGCGATCTCGGCTCACTGCAAGCTCTGCCTCCCGGGTTCACGCCATTCTCCTGCCTCAGCCTCCTGAGTAGCTGGGACTACAGGCGCCCGCCACCACTCCCGGCTAATTTTTGTATTTTTGTATTTTTTTATTTTATTTTATTATTATTATACTTTAAGTTTTAGGGTACATGTGCACAATGTGCAGGTTAGTTACATATGTATACATGTGCCATGCTGGTGTGCTGCACCCATTAACTCGTCATTTAGCATTAGATATATCTCCCAAAGCTATGTATTTTTTTTTAGTAGAGACAAGGTTTCACCATGTTAGCCAGGATGGTCTCGATCTCCTGACCTCATGATCCGCCCGCCTCAGCCTCCCAAAGTGCTGGGATTACAGGCGTGAGCCACCGTGCCTGGCCCATCTCTGGTATTTTTAAGTGAAAAAGGCAAATTGCAAAATAATAGTATGACACGATAAATATACAGTAATTGTTTTAAACCCTATTTTTGTGTGTGTCTATATGGTGACTATGTAAGAGACCTAGAAGACTACACACTGAATTGTTAACAGTAGTTGCTTATGGAAAAGGGAATAGAATTAGAGGGAAAGAGAAAGGCTTTCACTCCTTTATACAATACAGAAGTTTGACATCGAATTTTTTTCTTGAGATAGGGTCTCAGTCTGTCGCCCAGGCTGGAGTGCAGTGGCCTGATCATGGCTCACTCAGCCTTCAACTCCTGGGCTTGAATGATCCTTCCACTTCAGCCTCCTGGGTAGCTGGGACCACAGGTGTGCACCACCATGCCTGGCTGATTTTTGTATTTTTTGTAGAGATGGGGTCTTGCTGTGTTGCCCAGGCAGGTCTCCAACTTCTGAGGTCGAGTGATCTACCTGCTTCAGCCTCCCAAAGTGCTAGAATCACAGGCGTGAGCCAGCACGCCTGGCCAAAATGGAAATTTTTATAAGCGTATGTTCCTAGACTACATTTTTAAAGTAAAGGACCAAAAAAAAAAAAGGATTTTTTAAACACAGACTAAGGAGTTATTAAGGGGATAGGTGAAGCCCTAGGAGTGGGTGAAACCAGAGACTGGGGCTGAAACTTGAGACCTATTCCCACAGATGGGAAGCTGGGAGCAAGGAGACAAGGCCAGAAAAGAAACCCCAGAGGGTGGCCAAAGAGGGTGGAAATCACTTCTGACTCCCAAGGCTAGGGAGATAGAATCTCCACCTCACACGTAAGGCTGCCCTCATCAGTCTCTCCAAACTCCAACCATCCCCTTCAGGAGAACAGAGCTATACAAGAGCCCAGCTTTGTTCCAGGGCCGTGATGTGTCCTCGGTGACCCACAGCCGTTCCAGACTCAGAGCTGTTAGAGAAAAGTCCAGCTCTATGTTAACTGCCACATCAACCCAGAAGATCAGCTCAATCCTAGGCACCACCTAGGGTGACCCAGCCCCAGCCTAGGTGGCCCCACCCTGGGTAGTCCTGACTTTTTCCTACTTCTCTCATCTTCCCTAATGCTGTCAAAACTTGCAGTACTTCTCCAGGTGAAAAAAATAATAGCCAGAAATTAATTCCATCTTGGGGAGCAGGGCTGTGTGTGTGTATTGTGGGGGGTGGCGGGGATGGACAGAGAGCAGCTTGACTCACAGAGCTCCTCCCCTGGGGAGATGGAACCTGACAGACAGGGGTGTGGGATGCATCGAGGTGACTTCCTGACAAGGCTGTCAGCACGTTTCACTCTTCACTCTCAGCAGCAGGTCCCCTGCAGCTAAGTCGGCTTCTTTTTCTCTGTCTCCACCTCTCTCAGGCTGACTCTCTTCCCCCTGCCAGTGCCTCTTCTCCCCATTGGGAAGCCCTTTCCAGTGCACACTTCCTATCTTGGTGCTCCACTTCCCACCTCTGTTAGGCTCTTCTTTTAACAGAAATGCATAGAGTCAGCTTTTCTATTAGGGTGCCCTAGCCCCTGCGTCCTTCCCAAACACAGCAAATTTTATAGTTGATTGGGAGTCCAGGGATGTACACAGCACATGGGGGCAAGGAGACAGTGTGCACACACGTGTGTGTGTGTGTGTGTGAGAGAGAGAGAGAGAGCACCTTTTGGTCCGTGTGTATGCTGCTAGTGGAGGGAGGGGTTCAGAATGTGTATGTGCTGGAGGAGGGCACAGATGGCCCTAACCAAGGTTCCTCAGGTCGTAGAAAGATTATAGATATCAGTACCAGCATTGTCTATAGAGTTTGTCTCATCAGCAGCCCCCTCCCCAGTTTGTAAGTGAGAAAGCTGAGGTCCAGAGAGGTTAAGTAACTTATCTTCCATCACACAGTTAGCTAGTGGTAGAACTAGGGTTAAAACCCAGGAATTCTGACTCATGGACAATACTGTGTTCACAACTCTCTCAGAGACCTTAGAGAAAAGGTCCTATATCTCAGACACCACAAAGGTGACAGATGCCCAGGCAACAAGATGTTGCCCATCTCTACAAAAAAAAAAATTAAAAATCAAAAAAATAAATAAATAGCTGGGGCTTGGTGGCATGCACCTGTAGCCCCAGCTACTCAGGAGGCTGAGGCAGGAGGATCCCTGCAGCCCAGAAGTTCAAGGCTGCTGTGAGCTATAATCACACCACTGCACGCCAGCCTAGGAGACAGAGACTTTGTCTCAAAAAAATTAAATTAAATTAAATTAAATTAAATTAAAATTAAAACTTAAAAGATGAGGCTGGGCGCAGTGGTGCATGCCTGTAATCCCAGCACTTTGTGAGGTCGAGGCAGGTGGATCACGTGAGGTTGGGAGTTTGAGACCAGCCTGGCCAACATGTCTCTACTAAAATTACAAAAATTAGCTGGGTATGATGGCACATGCCTGTAATCCTAGCTACTCGGGGGGCTGAGGCATGAGAATCACTTGAACCCAGGAGGCAGAGGTTGCATTTAGCTGAGATGGTGCCACTGCACTCCAGCCTGGGCTACAGAGAAAGACTCTGTCTCAAAAAAACAAAAACAAAAACAAACAAAAAAACCTTAAAGATGATAGATTTGACTAACAACTTCTTAAAGTGGTGGGAAAATCTAGAATCTCCTGGCCTTCAGGCTGCCCAGGGGATAGGCCGGGCCCTGTCTCACTCTCTGTGTCCCCACCAGCCCCAGCGGTGACAGCAACCCCTCTCCTTTCCATCCCCGCTGATTATCTCCTGACAGAGTTCTCCTTGGCTGGGTGTTTCTTACAGATCCTTATTCTCCCCCACCGGCTGCCTCATCCAAGGACCCAGCCCAAGACAAATTGGTCTTCCCCTTACCCAAGCTCTGGTTCCAGCCACTGCTTAGGGGCTTGCTTGACTTTTTCGAGTGTCCTCTGTTGCCCAGCCCAAATCTGAAGTCCCCTTTGAGCCACAGCTCCTTGGCATTGGAATCATTTGACTGCTCCAGGAATGACCCAAGACATCTTCCCCTTCATTGATTGGAAGAAAAATTGGTTCTTAACACAAGCTCTGTTCATTTGACAGCAACATGAAACGCCAGCACGGGGCGGCCACCCCCTCTACCCCTGCCTAGCATGCTGTAAGTTCTGCGGGTCCCCTTGAAGAGCTCATATATGAAGATTGTCTTCCCCGCCACGCTCTACCCCCAACCCCTGCCAGGAGCCTCTGCTATGAGGGAATGGTGGTGAGTACGGCAGGCTTCTCCTATCGCTCTAATTGCCTCTCCCACCTGCCCGCAGCTCCCCCAGGAAGAGGGGTGGAAAGAAGGGTGCGGAAAAGAGGTTGGCAGAGCAATAAAATGTCAGGGCCTTTCCTCTCTGCTCCCTCTTGTGGCTCTGGAAGCGTCACGCTTTCTCCCCTCTCCCCTCTCCCCATCTCCATCTCCTCCCCTTCCCTCTTTCTCCTCGGCAGCCCCCATGCAACCGCTGCTGAGGCAATGGCATTTGGGGGATGAGGCGGGAGAGGTTAATTATTGCTCCCTCGCCCCCCACGCCCCCCCCCCACAAGATGTATCTGACTGTCAGAAGGGGTGACAGATGAAGACAAAGTACAGGTACGGCACAAACCGGCCCTCCTTGTACCAGCCAGGGGTGGGGGTGGAGGGGGGCGCGCTACAGAAATTTTAACCCCTCCGACGCTGGTTCACATAGCAGGGAGGGGCGGCGGGAGTCGGGGAAGCTGGAGTTAGAACCTGGGTCCTGATGAGGGCCGGCTGAACCCAGAAAACCTGTGGGGCCTCTTGCCTTGCTACAGTGATCTGAGGTGGGGGGCTAGATTGCGGGGAGCGACTGTCCCAGAGGCTACAGAATCAAGGTCACAAGCAATCATTCAGAGAACTTTACAGGAACAGAGAAAGGGGCTCATGGAGTAGCCTAGATCAATTTGGGGACTCAGGAACCCCAGTAAAAGGGAGCGTTCCACCACTCTTTCACCTTCTCCGTGACAATGTCCCCCTCACATGTCTGTCCCCAAGGCTGCTTGTCAGGGTGTGGGTGTGCCTGTGTATTTGAGAATGAGCGTCTGTGTAATTTTGTGTCTGAGACTGCGTGTACTTCCGATGATGTAATGCAATAGGCTTGGAAGTACTGGCCTACATTGGGGTTGTGTGTGTGCGTGCATGCACCTGTGTGAACGGGTGTATGCATACACACCCACGGGTGCTTGGAAGGTGTTTAAGGGTACTGTGATGTGCCTGTACTGTGAGCACAATGTGCTGTGAGTGTGCATGACAGAGAGTGCTTCTGTCTGTAAGTGTGGCTGTGGCGAAGGAGTGTGTGTCAGGAGAATGTGGATGTGTGCGTGCAAGTACTGAAGTGTCTGCATTTGGGACTGTACACACGTGTGCTAGTGTGAGAGATATGTGGACGTGGATTATGGTGTAAGTGTGAGCATGGTTGTGTGTGCACGCAAGCTGTGTGCACACTGGGCTTGAGACTGCAGCCTCTTCCTCTCACTGGCGTCCCTCCCTTTCCTGACTCCCCTCTCTCCATAAGCAAACAAGGTGAAATAATTACTTTTCCATTTAAACGCCCCATGTTCAAGCCAGAATGAAAACAAAGTGATTTAATAAAATTGTCTTTAAAAGGGAAAAGAGGAAAATAAATGTCTGCTCTGCTCCCCTCCCTGGCATTCAGGGAGGCCCCAAGCCCTTCAAAGTTAATTAAAACAGAAACTAAAATCACAGAATCACTTCCCAATCCTTTTCCCATCTCTCTCTGCCTTAAAGGTAAGGCAGCCCCAGAACCGCTGCCTCAGCCCTGTGCCTGGAGGGTTCCTCCTGTTTTAAGTTTCGACTTCCCCCAGGACCAACCCTCACTCTCAGCAGGCACCTTGGCCTTCCTGCACACATGTCTGGGGGAGGCAGCTCCGTCCCTATTTCCCTCCTCCCAAAGAGTCATTAAAGGCTTTGTCTGGTCATTTGAAGTCCTTGATGGACACTGGTCCCCATCAGAAGCTTCCGGCCTTGCCTCCTCCCAGGACACAGCCGGCCCTCAGCCCTGCTGCTCCCCCGCCCCAGGTCCCTTGAGCCTCCAGCTGCTCTGAGCTTTATCTGTCTTCACTGACCCCCTGGCCCAGTCCTCAGCTCCAGCCCAGCACAGTTCCGGCTGCTTCCGCCTGGTCTGTATCTGTTCCCCATCAGAGGCCCCATTGGAGCTCTAGCCCTTCATCAGCCCAGATAAAAGAGATGGATGGAGGTGACTTTGGGGGATGCCCCTCCTCACAAGCCCAGAGGTAGAGCCCTGGGTTCTGACAAGGGCTCCCTGAGGAGGGTTAGGGGTGGGGGTGAAGACTGCTGAGCTCTCTGGAAGCCCAGTCCCTGCCCATCTCTATCCTGCCTCCGCCTTTCCCCTTTTCCTAAGGCCCAATTCCTAAGGCCTCCTCCAGGCAGATGCCAAGACTGCAATCACCCCATTCTCCAACACACCCACTTCAGCAGGAAGCTCTGCACTGGGCACCCTGCCCCCATCTCCATGCAGATCATCTACCCCAAAATAGTAATGCATAGTAAAACTGACGTTTATTGAGCACCTATTTTGTTACAGACACATTGCTTATAAGATCTCTAATCCTTATCACAACCCCTATGGAGTAAATTTTATCACTATATTGCAGAAGAGGACACAGAAGAAGGAAGGTTAAGAAACCTACCCAATGTACGCACTTAAAAAGCAGAACTGGCTGCGTGGGTGGTGCATGACTGTACTCCCAACTACTCAAGAAGCTGAGGCGGGAGGATTGATTGCTCCAGCTCAGGAGTTCAAGGGTGCAGTGAGCCATGATTGTGCCACTTTAGTCTGGGCGACAAAGTGACACCCTGACTTAAAAAAAAAAAAAAAAGAAAAAAAAAGCAGAACTGAAACTCAATCCCATACTGCAAAACCTCCTATGCAAAGACCCACCATTACCCTTCAGAGATTACTCCCCCCAGAAACCCCCCACTAATGCCCCCAGAACTTAACCCCTCTGACACCAAGGAGTTAGGCCCAGGAGAACTGTGAGGCCTTCTCCAGCCCTACTCCAGCTCTCGGGGTGGGGGTAGCAGGAAGCAATTGTCCCTAGAGTCCTCAACCCTTATCCTGGGAGACTCCATTACTTCCCTCAAGCTGTCACCACTTCTCATAGAGACCCTGTCTTTTCTTCCAGGGGACTCCAGCCCTCATTTCAGTGAAGATACTGAGTACTTCAAGGTGCTCCCCACCAAGAGGATGGGATGAGATTTGATTGTGGGGTAACTCTTGTCACCGCAACTGGACTTTCATAACTGTCCACCCTGTCCAGAGAGCCTTTAGTTGCCGAAATGGCAGAGTAAATGTCAAAACCAAATCCAGGCCAGGCACAGTGGCATGCACCTATAGTCCCAACTACTCGGGAGGCTGAGGCAGAAGGATCTCTTGAGCCCAGGACTTCAAGTCCAGTCTGGGCAACATAGCAAGACCGTGCCTCTAAAAATAAATCAATCAGAAAAATAAATCTAGGCCAGGAACTAGCTTGCGTTTTTAGCACATCCCACCCGCACCCCACTCCCTAACCAGCGAGGACACAGCCCAGGGATCTAAGGCCTCAACCCTGGGGGAAAAAAAGAGGCCCTGAAGAAAGGGGAAAAAGGCAGTGAAGGGGCAGAAACTCTGGAAGTCCAGCAAGGGAGGGTGAGAAGGAAGGGGAGAGGTATGAAAATTACCATAGACCAAGGGTTGGGGTGGCACCTGGTGACTCCCGGACTTGACTGCATCTGGAAAGCATCTAGCAAAAGCAGGGAAAGGAAGAAATGATTCAGAAGCACCTTCCCACTTCAGTCCTAGAAATGTGTGTGTTGGTGGAGTGGGTGGATATTCTATGACCTTTTCCAGATCTATGCCCCACCCTTGTTTGAACGCCTTGGGCTGAGCCCAAACTGGAAGCTGGTAATGGCAGCCAGGTAGGTGATGACCCAGGTGGCTGGGACAAGGCTTCATGGGACGCTGGTATTGTGAGCCCTGCCCCACCTCGCCCACCACTTAAGTGAGTCACCTAAGCCAGGCCAGGCCCTGGAGCCTTAGCTCTCCTCTGCCCCCAGCACATCTGGGAGCCAGCTTCAGCAGAGAGAGGGCTAAACTGGGGCCCAGCATGGGGAAGGGAGGTGGGGGTGGGGAGGGAGGGATGACTCCCTCAAGATGGCTTCCAGGCTCCACCCCCAGACAGGTGTATCCCTGCCACCAGAGCCTCTATCTCTGCCCTGTCCCCACCCCAACTCCATCCCCAATCCCAACCTCATTACTCACTTCTGCCCCCTTCTCTATCCCACCACCCCATCCCTCCCCAAGTGTCCTCAAACCGCCCCTCATTATCTGCAAGTGACTCCCAGAGCTCACTGCCTCCCAGAACTGATCCCTCCTGGTCTCTAAGTGCCCTCATCACTGCCCTCAGAGAACCTAGCCTCTTACCCCAGCCTCCCAGACCCCGCTCCCACCCTTCCCCAGCACTGAGCAGAGGCAAGACTTGATGTGCACTAACAGTTCCTTACCACGCGTGGACTTACACAGCTGTTCCCGGTTTAGAAAGAATTCAGTCATTCAGAAGGCTGAGGAAATAACCACAGTGCATCCTAGGAGGCAACAGGCCTATGTCTCTAGTTTCTTTCCCTCTGCCCTCAGCTGCCTTCATGCTCAGAATAGAGTACCAGGTGACAGGACCAGTGATTGTGAGTAAAAAACCAGGGAATCTCCAGGCCTACCAGAGTTTAGGCCTATCTACTCCTCGCATATACACATATTAGACAGTATTATATGTGCATGTGAGCATAATCCTGGAAATATAAACATACCTAACTAATGTAAGTATACATACACATCTTAGACTGGAATCCAAGTTCCATGAGGGCAGGAACAATTTTCTGTTAAGGCTCTGTCACCCAGGCTGGAGTGGTGCAATCATAGCTTACTGGCAGCCTTGAACTCCTGGCTCAGGCAATCCACCTTCCTTAGCTGCCGGAGTAGCTAGGATTGCAGGTGTGCGCCATCACACCCAACAAATTAAAAAAAATTTTTTTTTTGTAGAGATGGGGCTTCACTATATTACTCAGTCTGGTCTCGAACTCCTGGGCTCAAGCAATCCTCCTACCTCAGCCTCCCAAGTGCTTGGGTTACAGGCAATTTTTTTCCCATGATGTAGCCCCAGTGCTGGTACATAACAAGTATTTGTAGAAAGAATATGACACAGCCAGGCATCATGGCTCATGCTTGTAATTCCCAGCTACTCAGGAGACTGAGGCAGGAGGATCACTTGAGCCCAGGAGTTTGGGGCTGCAGTGAGCTATGAAAGTGCTACTGTATTCCAGCCTGGGTGACAGAGCAAGATCCTGTCTCTAAAAAAAGAAAGAAAGAAAGAAAGAATGATACATAATGGAATATATACTTGAAAATAAATGTCTATACATATACATATAACAATACATACAGTTGCAGTCAAGTCCAGGAGTCTCCAGGTGCCACCCCAACCCTTGGTCTATAGTAATACTCATACCTCCCCCCTTCCTTCTCACCCTCCCTTGCTGGACTACCAGGGTTTCTGCCCCTTCACTGCCTTTTTCCCCTTTCTTCAGGGCCTCTTTTTTTCCCCAGGGTTGAGGACTTTTGCACACACATACATACATACAAAACCTACATGTAGGCCAGGCATGGTGGCTCACGCCTGTAATCCCAGCACTTTGGGAGGCCGAGGCAGGCAGATCACTGGAGATCAGGAGTTCAAGACCAGCCTGGCCAACATGGTGAAACCTCGTCTCTACTAAAAATACAAAAAATTAGCTGGGCATGGTGGTGTACGCCTGTAATCCCAGCTACTTGGGAGGCTGAGGCAGGAGAATCGCTTGAACCCGGCTGCAGTGAGCTGAGATAGCACAACTGCAATCCAGCCTGGGCGACAGAGTGAGATTCCATCTCAAAAAAAACTTCATGTATAATATATCCACATACATACATATGAAATTAGATGTATACATGTATACATACAATGCACACATAACTACTATATTTTACATATAGATATCATACTAATATATGCTACACATACATGTGCACATTCATATACATTAAATGAATACAAATTGAAGCATCTTTTTTTTATTCAGATTTTTCCAGTCAAGTAAATTGTCTCAAGGCCCCTGGCCCAGGTCTGAGTGTCACTACCAGAAGGATCCACCAGATGGCACTCCTTCGCTACTTCCTGTACTCCCAACTTGCCAGAGATGTCGCCTCTTTCCGCTAAGGCACAAAACTTGCAGAGCCAGGTGTTCCCCAGGCGCTTCCCCGCACGCCACCGCCCGCGCCATCCCCCCAGCCCCCACCAGCGTGGTGAGGGTGTCCTCGGTCCCCAAGGTCTGCAGTCTTGGCCCTCTCTGAGTCGGGTTCATCTCTCGGGCTTCCAGGCTTCTTTTTGAGGGGCGCTCTCCAGCTTCGGGCTCCAGTTCTGCCCAGTCCGCACATCGACCCCCCCGGTCACCAGGGCGCCAGGGGCTGGGCTTCGCCAGGACACCCTCAGTTATACCAGCACGGCTGCGCAACACTTCTTTGGAGCCTTCGCGGTGACGAGCAGCCGGGCGAAGCGGCCCTCCTCCTCACGACAGCCCGAGGAGGGGGTCAGGGTCATTTTCAGACAGCCCCCTCTGGCTTCCTCTTCACACCCTGCTCTAGATGGAGGAGAGAGGTACGCCCAGCCCGGCTCAGCTAAAAGCAGGGAGAAGAGCCCGGCCGAGACCTGGAAGCCTCGGCTTGGGAGGAGCTGGTCCGACGGACCCTTCCTGCCCCGGTTTGTCCGGACTCCGGATCTCCGGGTAGGAGCCAGAAGAAAGCGCATTCCAGGGATTTCAAGCGAACTATACTTAAAATCTTGGAGGTGGGAAATGTAGGGTGCGACTGAGCCTCTCCCGCCTTCAGGCCTGGCAACTCTGGGTCGGCGCTCCTGGAACCTCACATCTCGGGTGTGAGCAACCTAGGACACAAAACGCGGGGATGGCTTGGAAGCCCGTGGGCAGGCGAAACCGGGAGTTCTGGCAGCGGCTCAGCCTCCCCCTCCTCCTCCCTCCCCCTCCCTCCCCCTCCCCTGCCTTCCCCCGGGAGCAGCGGGAAATTATTTATTAAAACGCCGCCCGCGCTCTCATTTATTTGCGGTGAATAATCCTCGGCATCTCAGCACGTTTATTAAACCTTTCCCGTCCCTGCGCCCGCATTACTTTAATAATAAATCGCGTGTCACTTTCCAGCGACATTATTAAAGCGGGTCCGCTGCAGCAGAGGCGGGGTGCGGGGAGGGAGGGGGCGGTGGACAACAGTTCTCCCATTCCAGGCTGTGGTGCTTGAACCAGCAGGGCGGGGAGGGGAAAACTGAGGCTGCTAGGAGGCTGCTCCTGAACACCTACAAAGTCGGCTAACGCGATTAAGGAGTGCGGATTCCCCGGGACCTGCGTGACCCTCTCCGGTGGGGTGGGGCTTTTGGTGAGGAGCCTCTGCTCTGCAGGTGGACGCGGTAGGAGCTATGGGCCCGCAGAGGGCGTCTTGGAGCCCAGCTGGGCGAAGAACAAGCTAGGGGCGGATTCCCTGGCTGATGCTGGGACTCACACCCACGTCCCCTCTTTCAGCGCCGGGCGGATTTTGGCCACAGCGCCGAACAGCACGCCCCACCCCCGCCTACCCCTCTGATTCTGCTTCTGTGGGCGCCCTGGAATCGGCTCCCGGTATCCAGCCCGCTTGCGCTGTTGTGCGCGGCTCCTAGGGCCGCCCGCTTCCAGCCTGGGTTCGGCAATAAAAACTGTCGCTGGCTTAAGGACCCGGGGCAAGCCAGCAGTAGATGGAGTAGTGCGTAGCCGCGGGAGGGGCGGCCAAGCAGGACCTGGGGTTGGAGTTCCGGACCACACCCCTCCCATGTGGCCAGGCTCCCTGCGTTGGGCCCCAGAGGACAAACTCTGACGCTGAGCCAAGGGCAGGCCCTCCCGCAGTGGCGCCAGGATCCGGGTGGAGCCCTGGCGTGTAGGAGGCTGTCGCCATCTACACACAGCGCCTCGGCCTCGCTGACTTATGCTTTCATTCTTTCCTCCAATCATTAAATAAACATTGAGTCTCACCAGTGTCCCTGGGATAGGTAAGGAGAATGAGGAAAGAGATTTGGGGACCCCAAGCCAGAGAGGACAGGTCACAATTGGGGCAGATAGGAAACAGCCTTACCATGACTCTGGCTTCTGCAGGAAATGGGTAGATTCCTATGGGAGCTGGGGAAGGGTATGGACCACACAGGTGACCAAACTTCCACCCTCCTCTATCCAGTTTATGCTTTCATTTTGGGGGCCAACCCACATAGCCCTGTTCCCCATTCTGGCCTGGGGAAGGGTTTGGAATAAGATGAGCAAAGAAGCAGATAATGTATATCAGCCCCAATGGAGGGCAGACGGGGAAGATAACTTCCCTCCAGCCATATGGCTCCAGCCTCCCTCCCTCAAAGGCGGGATAGGCCCAAGTTCAAACTTTCTCTTTGTACATCTGGCAGGCATGTGCTTAGAGAGCAGGCCCTGCAGCTTCTGGAAGCCAGAGTTCTGTTAGTGTGGGAGGCCTCCCAGGGATATTCAGTTTTCATGTGCACATCTGCATAAACTGTCTGTGCATCATTAGAAATCTTTATTGGTGCCTAGCCCTGTGCTAGCCTTTGTCCAATACAGAGTGGTATAAGATCTCGAGCTGGCCTCACCTATCTCTCTGCACTGAACTAAGTCATGCTCCGCTGTTCTCTCTCTTGTACAAAAGACGGCAGACAGCAAAAGGGACTGCAGTTAGTAGGTGCAACTGGGGCTTAGGAGAGAGGGAAAAGTTCTGGAAGATGAGTTTGGGGAAAGGGCAAACAAGCTAGATAAACGTTGGGGACCAGGAAATAGCAAGAACCAGGGCCTGGGAGGAAGGGCAGTTAGAACTGTGGCCCAGCAGGGCTGGAAGAAGTGGAGAATCCTGGTGCCTGCACCTCTGTGTCTGCTCAGGCCCCCACCCCAGCCTGGGAAACAACCTGTTGGAGGTCCTACTGGCCAGGGCATCTCCTGCATGGGCCCCTTTGTACCCCACCGGTCCTGGTCTCAGCTTCTCTCCCTACCCTCCTCCAGCTTTTGTCTCTATCCTACCACACTGCTACCTTGGAGTCAAATAGGCCTCCCATGATCATCCCTACTGACAGCATGAAAGCAGTCGATGAAGGGACCCTGCTCCCCTTTCCAGGTCTTTTCAAGAGCAGGGATGAACACTATAGCCGCTCACCCACCCCCATGGGCCAGAGCTCTGGACCTAGTAGTAATCGTCATTCTCTTCACTCTCAGCCTCCTCCTCAGGAACCAGGTTTAGTGATCGCAGCTGGGGGATGCCTGTAGAGTTCAGCTGGTCTGCAAACACACATGGGCAAAGAAGAGAGAACAGGAGAGAGGGGCTGTCGGTGCCCACATAGCCCAGTCTGCGGAAGGCTATGCTTGTGTATACAGACACATGGTCTGTTTCTTACACATTCACAACTGGAATCCAGCACCATCCCCCCAACCCCCAGAACTCAGGAATCCCCTTACCAGGTGTGAGCACTGTCAAGCTAGCAGGGGCCTCCACTTGACCCAGGGCATTGCGGCCAAGGCAGCGGTAAGTGCCCTCATCACTGGGACGCACAGCCTGGATCTGCAGCCAGCCAGTCACCTCAAACCTCTGGGGTCCACCCCTAAACTGGAGCCAGGCAAGGAATCAGCAGGGTCCTTCTGGAGGGCCCTGGGCTGCCTGAGGGAAGCCTCTCCCACCAGTCTACCTGCACAGAGATGTGGGGGTCATCCCCTGGCAGCTGGATGTCCAAGCCATCCTTCCTCCACTCGATGGAGGCCATGGGGTAGGCAAACACTTCACAGCCAAAGATCACATCCTGCCCTGTCACATTCCAAGTGTCATATGGATGTGACACGATCTGGGGCCCTGGGGGTGAAGGCGGGAGGTCTGAGAATAGCATGGCCCAGCAAAGGCATCCAGTCTGGCAAAGACATGATACACAAATTTTTGTGGACATGCTTGTGGCAGAACACAATATATGCTGAGGTAAATACACATCCATAAACACACCGTGACACACACAGGTACACACAGATATGGATGCTGGTACACACAAGGGTACCACGCAGACGTGGAGATAGGTATACATGCACATGTGCACATAGAACCTCATGCAGACCCAATGCACAAACAAGCACACACATCTACATTGTAGCTTGGCAGCCACTCTGTCCCTAACTGCTCCCCTGTCCTCATTTCACCCTCCCCAGCCTTTCCTGCGTGCCTGTAATCAAAACCTTCCAGATCCCCCTTCCCCTTTTCTAAACAGGCCCAGTTCCCAAAGGAGGAAAAGCAGCCGTTCCCTCCTCAGTACCCCCTGGGGGAGTCCTGCGGCAAGGCAGAGAACCTGAAGCTGGACTTGTGCGACAGGCAGGAAGCCTGCAGGAGTGGAGGAAATTGCTGGGACCCCCACGGGGTGTTTGTTTTCTGGCTGCCCCAGCCGAGCCAGACGCAGAGCCCGGGCTCAGGAAGTGAAAGTTACTAAAGCTACCAAGGAAAGCTAGAGGCCTGAATGGACCCCAGTCCCCAGGGATAGAGAAAGAACTTCCCGCTCCCCTTCACTAATCCCTAAAAGCAGGAGAAAGCAGAGAGGTGGGGAGACTGGGTGAACAAACTGCTCTAAGAATGAAACGTGATTGCATCTCACAGGAACCCGTCTTGCTGCCTGGACTCCACTGGTCTGGGAAAAGTCGGGGGGGTCTCTGAGCAAACCATAGGTTATGTGCCTGCGCCCTCAGAGGACCTGTCTCTCCCTGCCAGCCAGCTCTGGAGCTTTCACGTGGTTCAGCGAATGCAGCTTGCTGACGAAGCCCGGGACTCCCACTCCACTCCACCCCCCACCCCCACCTTAAGGTGGCAGCTTTTATGAACCAGTAGCGAGAGCAGGGTTTTATACTGGACTCGAGGCCTCTATAGCCTTATCTTTTTTGCTCTGCTGGCCAGAGACCAATGCTGTCAGGGGTCGGGGAGCAGTGCCTCTAGGAAACCTAAGTGCTGGGGTGGGGGCCCCGGGCCATGCGTACCCGATTCGCAGGGCCCCGGGTGTGCCACAGTGAGGTTGGCATCGGGCCGAGCGCGGGCCGCCTCCTGCAGGCGGCAGATCTGGGAGTAGGTGTGACCGTCGGACCCGCAGAGCGGACTCTGCGAACGACAGGCACACAGAGGTTCCGGCACCTCTCCGCGGCTCAGGTCGCCGCCTGTGTCCAGCCGGCACTCAAGCTGCTCGCCGCAGTGCCCGTAGAAGTGAGCACTGGGGTCCAGGTCGCAGAGCTGGCCCTCGAGGTTGGCGCATTCCCAGCAGCAGCCGCACGCGTCGCGCACCCTGCCCGCCAGGCAGCCCCGCGGCGCGGCGCACTCTTCTGGCCGGCAGGGAGCGCAGCCCTCGCCCTCCGCTAGCAGCCGCATCCAGCCGCGCCGCAGGTAATCTGGGCCTGGGGATGGCCTTGCGCCGGTCGGGGGCGGCGTCAGCACCACCAGCAGTAGCAGGAGCACAGGCAGCGCCAAGGCAGCTGCGGGCCGCGGCGGCGGCAGCATGGTTAGCGGGAAGCCCTGCGAGCACTCGGGGCATCAGCGCGTTCGGGCACCCTGCCAGGAAGGGAAGCCAGGTCAGGAGGTCAGAAACAGGGCCTGTGCCGAAAGACCAACCTCACTGCTTCTTGTACCAAAGCATGACACTAGCATCGCCCCCTCCCCTGCTACCAAGTAGCCTCCCCCAACACACAGGCCTAGTGACCCTCTAGGGATTATCCAGTTATGGCAGTTAGCAATCAGTTGGGCTGTTCTTGGGAGGGCTGGGAGTGAAGAGAGGTGAGGAAAGGGTGATAAGGCTCAGGCGCACGCACACCCACCACCAGCACCACTTCCGTGCACCACCCGACTCCGATCCCTGGCCCCTGAGCATCCTTGCCCAAAGAGAATGGGTGGCTCCAGAAGTAAGAAGCTGCTAATGGGGGGTGAGAACTGGGGGGGCTGATGCCGCCTCGCTTATGGCCTGGGGCACAGAGTGCTCACCTAGTGTCCGGAACTAGACCCTTCGCAGCAGCCGTGATTCGAGTCCGAAAGAAAAGGTTATGGAAAGAAAGCAGAGGCGCAGTCAGCCGGGCCCGCCGGCCACCTCTGCTCCGTCCTGAGGACTTCTGAGAGAGCCCACGAACTTGGATTCAGAAAGCAGCTCCTCCGGCCCCCTCTCTCCGCCCCTCGACTTCGCGCACCCGCCTTCCCACTAGTTCTAAGGCTGCCAATTTTATGTAGCCGCATGGGACCCTCCCGGGTCATTTCCCCCAGCCTGGCCCAAAGTCACAATGCGAGCAGAGGAGCCGTAACCAGACACCGAGGCTGGGAGAGAGGAAGGGGGTGAGGACCGGAGGCGGGGAGTGGGGGTAGGAGTTTGGCTGGGAAGCTCAAAGTGTTGGCTGAACGGCTAGGCCCTGTCCCATCTGATTTTACAGTCCCTGGCGTCGGCGAGGGCAGCTGCATAAGGGGGAGGCGGCAGGAGCTCTGGTGCCAAGTCATTTTACGTCGATGTCGGGGCGCTCCTGGAGGGCAGGACCAACCACCTTCGTCTCCCCGCAGCCCAGGGCTGGTTCCCGGGAGCGACCGCAGGCTTGCCCACCCAGCTGCCCCACCAAGGCGCGGACAGACTGGGCGCCTACATCCGCCTTCCCTCATCTGGCCTCCTTCTTCCTCCCCACATCCGGCAGGTGCTGCGACCCGCGGGTGAGCCGGGTGATTCGAGGTCGGAGCCGACCAGCGGCCGCAGGGAGAGGCGGGCTGGCGCCTCCCCGGCGGGCGTCCCTCGGGTCGGGATTACAGGTTACGGTTGCGAGGCTGGCAGGGCCGGAGACACTCGGCCTCGCGGCCGCCACCACCGCCACCGTGGCACTTTGGGCCGGGGGCGGGGAGGAGAGCATTCCTAGGGGCCCGCCAGCCAAACCCGGGTCGGGCAGGCCCCGCCCCGGCCGGCCCCAAGCGGCTCACAGAAGCCTTGGCGCAGTCCAGCTCGCGGGGGGATGGGCGAGGGTGGGGGGCAGAAATAGCAATCTGCAGCCGGCAAGGGGGCGGCACTTAGTCAGGCTCCGCCCACAAGACCCGGCTGCCGTCCCCGCCCGCCTGCGCGGGATCGACTCCGCATGCGCACTGGAGCCTCGGAATACAGCCAGGACTCTCCCGTCGGAATGCGCCCCTAAGTTGGGCCAAGCCCATTCATTCAGGGGCTCCCGAGCCACGTAGGCGCCATCCCTGGCCAGAGGGGTTCTGAGGAGGTGGGCAAGGGCAGACACTCTCTCCCGGTCTCAAATTCGAAATAGGGACTAGAAGGGAACTTCACGCGAGGCCTCGCAACTGTCGCGAGAATCAGAACAGGAAATCTAGGAACCGAGAACACTAAGAGCCCGCGGATTTTAAACAGGAAAAAGAAAGGGCGGAGCAAACTCTGGCGGATAGTTGTGAGTAATCCCTGGTCCTTGGAATAAGTGTCGACCTGAGACAGAAGGGGAACTGTCAGAGAGCTGCCGGAGACCCTGAAAAAGGCCAGAGACGGGGACTTGTGGGGCTGACGAATGGAATCACCCAAGGAGAGGTCTCTGACTCTAACAAAACACCTTGGGGACGGAGCTCCTTGGCTGGGATACAGAGCAGACAAGTCCGGGATCTTTTAGTGAATTGCTGCCGGCTTCTAAGGCCTGGAGCAGATATTCAACAACAAACTCCACGGACCTAGAAACTCTCCACTTATCCTACTATTGTAGACGGTGGCTTACTTTTAGTCTTCCCTATGCTCTAAGCTTCTGGTAGTAGGAATCGTGCCTAACTCACTACTGTATCTTGTGAACCTAGCCCCGCGCCTGGTGGCACGTCAAATTCTCGGTAAATATTTGTGGATTAAATGTGAAAGACTGCCTGAGTGTTTAACCTGGATTTTCTGAGTCGCTGATGGAGAACAGTAGGTAGACGGGGAACCAGCGCCCTCTGGTGGGCTTGTGGTTCGTGACGAGAACATGCTGGAACCGTGCATCCAGGTAGGCACAAAGATAATAAAAGGGGATCCGCTGTTATTAAGTAGAGATTTTGTTACATTAAAACCCTACATACCGTAAAAATGCTTTTAGAAGGGAGTTTTTTGAATAGGACACAACTTGAAAGTTTAGATACATTCCCCGATCCTCAACATCCCATACTTTATCCATCAAGGCTCCAAAATATTCAGTAACACCTATGCGCATCATACATAGTAAAGAGATAGCAAATGATTTTGCGTATATATACTTTGAAAATGTTTACTCGGTTTTGTGCAAAACAGGCCAAAGGGAAGGGATTTTCTAGCCTAGATGATGTGAATACTGCTAGGGAGAGGAGCCAGGTGGCAGCATCCTTTGCATTTAATGAGGGAGACTAGATCCAGATGGGCAGGGTGAAGTTGAAATTTGTTGAATAATAGATGGTCCCGCCTCTTTTTTCCCCTTTTCCTGCAGATGCTTGTATTGAAGAAGGAATGAGGTATAGAATGTAGTTTTCTTTCCACTGTGAAGCCCTGTGTTCACAAGATTATCATACGTTCACTTTCAGTCACTGACACATGAAATAACTGAAGTATAATGACAGAATGATGAGCTGGAGTGTGGTGGTGCACGCCTGTAGCACCAGCTACTTGGGAGACTGAGGCAGTAGGATCCCTTGAGCTCAAGGGTTCGAGAGACCATGTCTCTTTAAAAATAGAAGTTTAGGGCCAGGCGTGGTGGCTCATACCTCTTAATCCCAGCACTTTGGGAGGCGGAGGCGGGTGGATCACCTGAGGTCAGGAGCTTGAGACCAGCCTGGTCAATATGGTGAAACCCTGTCTCTACTAAAAATACAAAAATTAGCCCAGCGTGGTGGTGCACGCCTGTAATCCCAGCTACTCAGGAGGCTGAGGCAGGAGAATCGCTTGAATCTGGGAGGCAGAGGTTGCAGTGAGCCCAGATCACGCCACTGCACTCCAGCCTGGGTGACAGAGCAAGACCCCCTCTCAAAAAATAAAAATAAAAAATAGAATTTTAAAAATAAAAGAGTGAAAAGAGCCCTATACAGATGAACAACAAAAGATGAAACAAGGCATACAGTCATTGTTTAATTTGGTAAAGAAAAGAAATTACTTCAAATGATCCACATATTTCAACCTGTCACTTCACAAACCCTGTTTTGACACAGCTGGTGAAAATAGTAGAGTTGCAACTTTGAGGAAGAAGCAGGAATGAAACAAATGGTCCATACTGACCTATTAAAGACGGATATGGAGAAATTGTGCTTCCTGTGAATATTAGAATTGGTTGATTAAAAAAAAAACCTCAACATAGATAATTAAAATGGAATACTTTGTAGCTACCAACTATGACAAATAGGTAAACTCAAAATAATGTATGTAGGAAACAAAGTGAAAAGTATGTATGGAAAAATAAGGTTAAGAGAAAAGAAGAAGTATATGGATACTGATCACAACTGTATGTGTATTTATCATCTATATCATCAATAAACATCCTAAGAGAATTTGGAATGAGGCTAATGGTTGAGTGTAATACTCACTACTGCTTTATAAGTTATTTTTCCTTTTTTTTTTTTTTTTTTTTGAGACAGAGTCTAGCTTTATCGCCCAGGCTGGAGTACAGTGGCGCAATCTCAGCTCACTGCAACCTCGGCCTCCCGGGTTCAAGCGATCCTCCTACCTCAGCCTCCTGAGTAGCCACCTGGCTAATTTTTTTTTTTTTTTTTTTTTTTTTTTAAGTAGAGACAGGGTTTTGTCATGTTGGCCAGGCTGGTCTTGAACTCCTGACCTCAAGTGATCTGCTCACCTTGGCTTCCTAGTAGAGGCTATTTTTATAGGTAAATTAGAATGTCAAGATAAATGTAGCAAAGCTGGGGTGGCCAGGTAAAAAGATTGGCTGGGCACAGTGGTTCATGCCTGTAATCCCAGCCCTTTGGGAGACCAAGGTGGGCGGATCACCTGAGGTCAGGAGTTCGAGACCAGCCTGGCCAACATGGCAAAACCCCATCTCTATTAAAAATACAAAAATTAGCTGGTTATGGTGGCGCATGCGTATAATCCCAGCTACTTGGGAGGCTGAGACAGTAGAATCGCTTGAACCCAGGAGGCGGAGGTTGCAGTGAACCGAGATCGCGCCACCACGCCAACCTAGGTGACAGAGCAAAACTCCATCTCAAAAAAAACAAGAAAAGAAAAGAAAAAGGAAAACATAATTCAGCTATAAGTAGTGTTACAAAATGAAGACTGGAATAGCCAGGAACTGGCTTTCTGGAATACCTAGGCATTAAGGCAAGTTGAATAAGCTTCAGGACATCTAAATCAGGCCTCAGTCTACCTTCGTATATCTCAAAAGGCAATCCCTCCCCCTAACACCCACCTTCAGTATCCCATTGACCCTTGAAATGGTGACTGTAGCTCCATCCAACCTGATGACTTGGCCAAATGTTATATTGATAAACTTAGAAAAGATGCTTAAATCATTCCACATGTACATTGTTTCTACATTTCTATTTCTTTCTTTCTTTTTTTTTTTGAGACAGAGTTTCACTGTTGTTGCCCAGGCTGGAGTGCAATGGCACAATCTCGGCTCACTGCAACCTCCACTTTCCACGTTCAAGCAATTCTCCTGCCTCAGCCTCCCGTGTAGCTGGGATTATAGGCATGCACCACCATGCTAGGCTAATTTTGTATGTTTAGTAGAGACAGTGTTTCACCACGTTGGTCAGGCTGGTCTTGAACTGACCTTAAGTGATCCACCCACCTCGGCCTCGCAAAGTGCTGGGATTACAGACGTGAGCCACCGCGCCTGGCCCTTTCTACATTTCTTGTTCTCATTTTGTTTTTAACTTAATTTCATTATGAAGTATAATAGACAAGCAGAAAAGTGCACAAAGTAGATATATGGTTAAATTAATTATTACTAAATGAACACTTGTGATTATCCAGGTCAAGAAACAGAACATTGCCAACACCCTCAGAAGCCCCCATCATGCCCCTCCCCGATAATTTTCCCTCCTCTTCTCCCTAGATAACCATTTTTTTGTTTGTTTTTTTGATTTGTTTGTTTGTTTTTGTTGAGACATGGTCTTTCTCTGTTGCCCAGGCTAGAGTGCAGTGGCGTGATCATGGTTTGTTGCAGTCTCAAAGTCCTGGGTTCAAAGGATCCTTCCACGTCAGCCTCCCAAGTAGCTGGGACTACAGGCACACCACCACACCTAGCTAATTTTTTTATTTTTATTTTTGCAGAGACAAAGTCTTACTATGTTATCCAGGCTGGTGTGGAACTCCTGACCTCAAGCAGTCCTCCCACCTCAGCCTCCCAAATTGCTGGGATTATAGATGTGAACCACTGTGCCTGGCCAATAACCACCTTTAACTCTATACTTTAAGTTTACCTGGTTTTGACATTTATAGAAATTGGGACATGCCTAGGATTGGAATTACTGCTTCATGTGATATGCATATTCAACATTAGTAGATTTTCTTTTCCTTCCTTCCTTCTTTCCTTCCTTCCTTCCTCCTTTCCTTCCTTCCTTTCCTTCCTTCCTTCCTTCCTTTTCTTTCTTTCCTTTTCTTTTCTTTCTTTCCTTCTTTTCTTTCTTTTTTTTTCTTTTCTTTCTCACAGGGTCTCACTCTATCTGGGCTAGTCCCAAACTCCTCGGCTTAAGCAATCCTCCCACCTCAGCCTCCCAAAATGCTGGGATTATCAACATTAGTAGATATTACCATACACTTTTTCCAGTGTGATGTATGAATTTATATAGTCTTCAGCAGTTGATGAGTTTTCATTATGCCACATCCTTGCCAAGAGTTGGTATTGTTGTTGTTCTTTTAAATTTTAGCCATTAGGTAAAAATTTTAGAGCCTAAAATTTTTAAATGGCCAGTTCTGCAAGGATTTCCTCTCTTGGATATTTTTTTAAAAACCTTTTATTTTGAATTTTAGACTTGGATAGAAGTTGTGAAAATAGCAAAGAAATTTCCCATGTACCTGTCACCTAGCCTACCCTGGTGATAACATAATATCTTATATAACCATGATATAATTATCAAAACCAGGAAATTGAAATTTATACAGTACTATTAGCTAAACAATGGACCTTATTTGGATATCACTGGTTTGATATTACGTGTGTGTGTATAATTGAAATTTTATTGCATGTGTAGAGTTGTGTGACCATGAGGTGAGTAAATGGGTCTTCAGGGGTATGACAGGGTAAAACTGATGCCAAGGGAAAAGCTAGTAGACTCTATAGTACTAAACACAATGTCATTTAATATATGAGTAGCTTTAAAATTATTATATCAAAAGTCAGTGATAGGAAAGGCAGCTAGTTACGGTAGCTAAACACACACAGCTGGGTGCGGTGACACATGCCTATAGTCCCAGCTACTCAGGAGGCTGAGGCAGGAGGATCACTTGAGTCCAGGAGTTCAAGTCCAGCCTGAGTGAAATAGCAAGACCCCGTCTCTATAAAAACAACAAAAACCCACTCTCACACATTTGCACACTGTGCGTCTACCTGTTGGGGGAGCTGTGCACATGGGTAAAGTCCCAGGGTCACTGGTTGAAGTTCACTTTGCATTATGACACACTCAGAAGGAAAGATAAGTTTCTGCCCTTACATCCAATTTTACTTGAAGACAACTTTCTGTAGGTGAGGCCAGTGAGATAACTTTCTGCTGACACCCCACAGCATCCTCGTTCCTTCTGCCGGACTTCCAGATTTCTATTTCTGGCCCAAACCTCTCTCCTGAACATCACTCCATGGATTCGTCTACAACCACTTCTAGTATTTTCTTCCACAGCCAGGGAAGAAGTCCATAAACAGCTCCCGGCTACATCATACTTAGGACGCCCAGAAAAATGTATCAGTATATCACATCTCAGGGAAACCTTTTATTGACTCTGTTTAGGTGATGTGCTCAACAATAATTCACCACATGGCCCAGGAGCCACCACCCTGGACCACAAACCCCATAGCAGATGCAGTCAGTACCTCACTCATATACCCTTGGCTCACTCCAAAGGTTACCTGCAGATAGTTCCTTTATGACCCGGTGTGTCTGTCTGTCGGAGGGAGTTCTTTAGCCCCTAGAGTCAGCTTGGCTGACATGCAGGGCAGGCTGGAAATGCTGTGGAGGTAACAACTCAGGAGCAAGCCACATCCGGTGAGGAAAAACAATAGAGGACAGATAATCCTGTTCCTTACCCTTCAGTGGGATAATTTTGAGGTGTGTTCTCCACAGTTTTGCAGAAGGCTTAGAGAGACTGAGTCACAGTTGTCCTCAGTGGTAACCTGCTCATTAATGCATCCTTTATTTGGTTTTCCTCCTCTCTCTGACTTCCCTTCCCCCTCACTGTGTTTTCTGGGATAAACTCCCAAATAAACTACTTGTACCAAAATCCTTGCCTTGGGATCTGCTTTCTGGGAAATCAAAATTAAGACAACCCCTGTAAAGGGAGGAGGCCATCTTCCTGAGTGCCCCATCAAGACCACAGGGACCAGGGGGAGATCTTAGACCCCAAAACCACATTGTGACAATATCTTTGCTGACATCCCACTTTATTTCCTTCCTTTTTTTTTTTTTTTAAGAGATAGAATCTTTTTCTGTGGCCATGGCTGGAGTGCAGTGGCATGATCATAGCTCACTGCAGCCTTGAACTTCTGGCGTTAAGCAATCCTGCCTCAGCCTCCCAAGTAGCTGGAACTACAGGTGCATGCCACCACACCTGGATAATTTTTTTTGGTAGAGACAGGGTCTGGCTCTGTTGCCCAGGCTGATCTTAAACTCCTGGTCTCCCAAAGCACTGGATATCCCACTTTTTTCTTCTTCTTCTTCTGTTTTTGAGACAGTGTCTCTGTCACCCAGGCTGGAGTGCAATGGCACGATCTTGGCTCACTGCAAGCTCTGCCTCCCGGGTTCAAGCAATTCTCCTGCCTCAGCCTCTTGAGTAGCTGGGATTACAGGCACTTGCCACCATGCCCGGCTAATTTTTTTGTATTTTTAGTAGAGATGGGGTTTCGCCATGTTGGCCAGGCTGGTCTCGAACTCCTGACCTCAGGTGATCTGCCTGCCTCGGCCTTCCAAAGTGCTGGGATTACAAGCATGAGCCACTGCACCCGGCCTGGATATCCCACTTTCAACCTTTGCACTTGAGAAATAACAGAGTCTAGTGTTGGCTTCTGTGGAGTGTTGGGACTCCCCTCAGCTGACCAGTTCACTGAAACTAAGGAAGAGCCTGACAAGTGTATGCTCAGAACTCCAAGCAAGAAACAGTGGGGGCTTTCTCAGGGCTGATGGGAAATAAAAAGGACTAATTAGCTAGGAACTACTTGGCTTTTAAGCAACCAAACCACATGGAGAATCTCAGGTCCCAGCAGAGCATCAGAATATGATTCATAGAATGCTGTGCATGTATAAAAGTTCATAAGCATTCCATGTCAACATACTCAGCCTGCCAAAATCCAGAATTTTTTGTGCCTTTTCTATCATTTTCCCCAAGGGTAAGATACAAGAAGAGAGGTAGCAAAATGTCACAATCACAGGACCAGGAGCAGTGGCTCATGCCTGTAATCCTAGTGCTTTGGGAGGCCAAGGCAAGAGGATCACTTGAGGCCAGGTGCCTTGGGCACATAAGGATACCCTGCCTCTACCCCCCTCCCCAAATAGCTTAGCATGGTGGCCTGCACCTATAGTCACAGCTACTTGGGAGGCTGAGGTGGGAGGATTGCTTGAGCCCAGGAGTTCAAGGCTGCAGTGAACCACGATTGTGCCACTGCACTCCAGCCTGGGCGACAAAGCAAGACCCCGTCTCCAAAAACAAAACAAAAAAGTGGCAATCAGGAGAACTTCCCAACAAACCTGCTGGATCTGTCCCCCAGTGTGGGGGATACAGATGGGAAATCTGTTGAGTAGAATTAAATAGAAGTTGATGAACTAAAGAAGTGTGTAGAATTTGAGGGCTCTAAATTGGGGGTTAAGATCCCCTGGGTCCTGGGACTTTTTGACTTGCTGTCACACTCCCCTCAACAACTTTTTTTTTTTTTTTTTTTGAGAAAGGGTCTTTCTTCATCTCCCAGACTGGAGTGCAGTGGCGCAATCACAGCTCACTGCAGCCTTGACCTTCTGGGCTCAAGCAGTCCTTGTGCCTCAGTCTCCCAAGTACCTGGGACCACCGCCGCCTGTCAGTACACCCAGCTAATTTTTAAAAATTATTTGTAGAAACGAAGTCTTGCTATGTTGCCCAGGCTGAACTCAAACTCCTGGGCTCAAGCAATCCTCCCACCTCAGCCTCCCAAAGTGCTGGGATTACCAGCACATGCCACCACACCTGGCCTAACATTTTTGTTTTGTTTAGAGACGGAGTTTCGCTTTGTCACCCAGGCTGGAGTGCAGTGGCACCATCTTGGCTCACTGCAACCTCCGCCTCCCAGGTTTGAGCAAATCTCATGCCTCAGCCTCCTGAGTAGTTGTGACTACAGGTGTGTACCACCATGCCTGGCTAATTTTTTGTATTTTAGTAGAGACAGGGTTTCACCATGTTGCCCAGGCTGTCTCAAACTCCTAAGCTCAGGCAGTCTGCCCGCCTCAGCCTGCCAAAGTGCTAGGATTACAGGCATGAGTCACTGTGCCTGGCCTGGCCTAACATTTTTGAAAGTGTGGCTGCATCACAAGAGACAAAGCTGCTGTGACCCAGGTCTTATGCTTCTGGAGCTGCCAAGTGCAAACAATAGCTCAGCCACTGGGCACTGCCTGTGACGGGCAGCATCTATGGTAGGTGGCAGCTAGAGGCCCCACAGCCTAGGAAGGGCCTCCCAGAAGTTTTTATTTTGACTTAGAATCGAGGCTTTCAGTCTCAGCTTTGCCAGCAGCTGAGACCCATCTGAACCAAGGTTTCTTCTGAGAAACAAGGGTGAATTTGGACTTAAGGCATGTCATATTTGGCATGGTGTTTTTAAGTTTCTACTCAAACGTTGAGACATTTTATATAAAAGTCCAGAATTTGGGGCCAGAATTTTCAGGCCAGGATGTTCAGAGAGGCTTTGAGGAGAACCCCCAGCTGCTCCTAGTGCTAGGATAGAGAGGTGGGAGGGGTAAGGTAAGAAAGGCCAGAGATGATATCCAAGCTGCTGATGTTGCCAGATTGTTTTGAAAACAAACAACAAACAGTGGGGAATCTGGTCTACCCAGCAACAATTGAAGGTGAGTACTGGCTGCCGTTTTAAACAGGACTAGCCCTCTCCAGCTCAACACAATCCCAACCTAGTGTGCTTCCCTTATTTAAGATTCCTGACATAGCCTTTGAGTTCATGTTCCTTGAACTAGATGGTTCCTTCAGCTCTAACATGCAATAATAACAACAGGCCAGGCATGGTGGCTCATGCTTGTAATCTCAGCACTTTGGGAGGCCGAGGTGGGAGGATCTCTTGAGCCCAAGAGTTCAAGATCAGCCTTGGAAACATAGTGAAACCCCCATCTATACAAAAAGTAAAAAATTAGCTGGGTGTGGTGGCACATACCTGTAGTCCCAGCTACTAGGGAGGCCGAGGCTGGAGGATGATCACTTGGTCCCAGGAGTTGAGGCTGCAGTGAGCTATGATGGTGCCACTACTACACTCCAGCCTGGGTGACAGAGCGAGACCCTTTGTCAAAATAATTATAATAAAGATGATAACAATAACAATAATAGCTATCATTTATCAGTGCGCCAGGCCCTATGGCAAACAACTTGCATATGTTAACTTGTTTCAGACTTACAAAACCGTGTAGGGTAGGATTATTAGAAGAGAAAGCTGAGTTTCAGACCTGTAGGAAAGTTTGCCCAGTGTCACTGGCCAGTAAGCAACAGAGCTAAGACTTGAACCTGGGGCTGCCTAGGTCCAAGGCATGATTCTAACATCACACTATCCTGCCACTATTAGAGTATCTTTGCCAGCCTAACTTCATTGCAGCTGGAGCCAGAATAGCAGCAAGTGTTTTATAAATGTAAATACCCCATATTCAGGGGACAAGCTGTGGAAATGCAGGCGAGTGTGTGCCCAGGTGGCAGGAGATCAGGAGGTAGGGAGATGATGGGGAAATCGCAGGTCACAGCATCTGGGCACCTGAGGCCAAAGTGCTTCAGGGTTGGCCTCAAGAGAAGACAAGAAAGATGAGGTGGGGGGAGGAGAGAGGAGGCCAGGCTGTCTGAGAGTCCCTGGGGAGAACCTCCAGGTGTTCCTCCTGCTGAGATAGGCAGGTGGGAAGTGAGAGAAGCGAGCGCTGATGACTGAGCTGCTGGCGTTCGCAGGAACCTAACTGACTCGGTGGTTGGAGCGGGGGAGTGAGGTTAATGGGAATCAGGAGGCTCTCTGAGCCCCGGGGCCTAGTCTTCCTCGTTCTTGTTCCCCTCTCCTTGCCTGAGTGGTCTGTGGTGACCAGCCAGGTTCCTTTACAGGAAACAGCCCAGCAACCTTACAGGGGGAAAAATGGAGTCCTCCTTAGGTGCAGAAACACAGCAACTTACCTAAGGTCTTGGGGCCCCCTCCCAGGGCAGTGCATCGAGGTGGGACGTGAGAAGAGAAAAGGGCTTGTCCAGAGGCGCGCGGTTCCACAGCCCATAAGGTTGGGGGTGGCCCGAACCTGAAACGGAGCCTTGGCCAGGATCCTGCAACCAAAGTCTGAAGCGCCCCCCGGTGGGGGCCGAGAGCGCTGCAGGCAGGTGGCGGCGCGGGGCAGGCGGGCGGGCGAAGGGAGCTCCGGCTACGCAGAGAACGCGGTGCGCCCCCTTCCCACCTGCGCGAGGGCATCCTGCCCGGGGGAGGAAAGGCGGGAGTCCGAGGCGGGTCGGATTCCCAGCCAGCTCCCTCCTCACAGGAGGCGGCCCATTATCCGGCGTCGTTAAAGAGCAATTAGATGGAAATTAAGCCGAGAACAAGTATTGATTATCTCATTAAGGCCGGGGGAGCCCGCTCAGTCGGGGAGAGTTTACCGCCGCTCACCCCATTATCTGCAAGGTGAAAGCCTGCGGTCATCAAAACCCAGTGATGTATCGATCTTGCCCCCATCCCCAAACCCATTCCACCCCTCCCCCCTAGAGTAAGTGGGTTCTAGAGAGGTGACACCAGGGGTGTGATGAGCTGGAGGAAGAGCTCAGGCCCCTACTGTCTCTCTTAGCACTTTCTCTTTAGTTCCCTTTATTTCTTCAGTTTCTGGTCCCAAATTTCTTTCTTTCTTTTTTTTGAGACGGAGTCTTGCTCTGTTGCCCAGGCTAGAGTGCAATGGCGCGATCTCGGCTCACGGCAACCTCCGCCTCCCGGGTTCAAGCGATTCTCCTGCCTCAGCCTCTCGAGTAACTAGGATCGCAGGCATGTGCCTGCCACAACACCCTGCTAATTTTTGTATTTTTAGTAGAGACGGGGTTTCACCATGTTGGCCAGGATAGTCTCGAACTCCTGACCTCAGATTATCCTCCCGCCTCAGCCTCCCAAAGTTCTGGGATTACAGGCGTGAGCCACCGAGCCCGGCCCACATTTCTTCTAATGGTGGGGAGGGAGGGAAACCAGAGACAGTTCACCTCTCTCCGAGATTGGAGAAAGAGGACTTCTGTGGTTTTACATCCAAAGAAGAGAAACTGGAGTTGAGATGTAATTGAAAGAATTTGCCCCTGTTGACACACAGTACAGGGCACCCCTGCGCCCCGAACTCCTTTACCTCCCAGGAGAGGTTGAGTTCTGGGTCACCATCATCGCCAAAGGAAGAGATTCCTAGGACAACCCCACAGGCTCCCCAAAGCCCAGCAACTTCAGAAGTCAGAAGGGGCTTCCTTGGGGTCCCTGATGGTGTGATCTTTGTAGAAAAATCACAGTGTCGAAGAGGAAAGTTTTCATCCTGGCTTTGCTTCTAACTGGCTATGTGACCTCCTGCAAGTCACTCTGCCTCTCCAGACCACAGAGTCCTCAAAAGAATGGGGCCAGAAGAGCCCCAAGGCTCCAGTCCAAGTGCCTAGTTCCCTGCTGGCAGGCACTGGGGAGGCGGCTGTGTGCTCTGCTCCACCTGCCTCAGGAGCTCATGGTCCCAAGGGGGAGAAGACGCTGAACTGACATCATGGAAATCAGTGTTACAATTATAATAGGAGTCAGGAGAAAGAGTGCAGGTGCTGTGAGGAAGTTTAAGCAGCCAGGAGGCTTGCACAGGAAGCAGATATTCCAATAAACAAACCGGGGACAAGCCTGTTGCCCACTCATTCATTCAACACACAATTACTGAATGCACATCGGAGCCCCTGGTGAGCAAAACTGCGGCGTCTTCCCCCTGGAACCCACAGTCCAGTGAGGGAGCCAGACATCAATGATATAATCGCCCAATAATTGCCGCACAAATAAAGGCAAAAGCACAAATACGGTAGGTATGCTGAAAAGTATGACGGGGCGCACGGAGAGAGAATAAGAGAACTGAATTGAGGGAGGGCGGGGGCCAAGGAAGCCTGTCCAAAAAAGCGATGGTCGGCCATCATTTAAGGTTGGAAGTCCTTAAATCGAGGCAGCAGGAAAGCTGGAGGAGTCTCCTGGAGAGGGCGAGCCCTTCTTCCCCGAAGTGCCAAGACTTGCCTTCGAGCGCGCCCAGGTCGGCGACGCAGCAGAGAACACTGACGCTCGCAATCCCATTGCTGGACTCACCTGAGAGCCTCAGGTGCGCGGGCGAGTGGTAGGAGGAGAAGAAAGGAAGGCGGAGTGGAGCGACAGCAGCGGCAGGTGGTGCGCCCAGCCCGTGCCGGGTTGGCTCGCGCGAAGCGAGCGCCGCCGCCGCAGTATCTGGGCTCATCTCCCTGCCCCGGAGCCGGGCAACTATTAATCTTGGTTGACGGTTTCTAATGTCCTGGTTGGGAGGCGGGGAGTGCGGCCCAGTCCGCCCTAAAGGTAGAAGTGGTTAATGGGCCTCTTCATCACCGCCAGGAGCCGGTACCTTGCGGAGCGCGAGGGGCGCTGCAGCAGGTGAGCTGCAGAGCTGGCGGAGGCCCTTAATGAAGCTGCCCGGGCTGGGGCGGACGGAGAGGGAAGCCGGGGGAGGGAGGCGGTTCCAGGGGTGAGAGGTAGGTTCGTCCGCCCCGACAGTCCAGCTTTGGGTGTGTGGAGTGGGGGAGCTCACCTGGGCGCCCTTTACCTGAGGGGGCCTTCTGAAGGCGCAGTGCTGGGGTAGGATGCTGAGTTAGGCCTGCCTAGATATGGATCTTTTCTAAGGTGACAGGAGTTGGGTGGGATTGGGGTGGGAAGGGGGGGTGTCCGATAACCCGGGTCGTCCTGCAATAAGCGAGGACCAGACACAAATTGGGTGCTCCGAAATGTTTGCTGACCTGCAAGGCCTGTGCCTCACGTGTGCAGGGGAGAGATGTTAGGGTCAAGTGAGAATTTCGGGACCTCCGGACCCCAGTGATCAAGAGCGTCCTGTCTTTTTACTGCCGCTCCCGTTCCTTCTCTGTGACTCAGTTTCCCCTCTGAGGCGGGTTTTCAAGCTCCCCAGCCCTCCAACTCCCAAGCCCGTCCCCTCCTCCAGCATAAGCTAGTGGGACCTGTCCCTAACCCCGTCCTTTCAATGCAGTCACCACCACCCTCGCCCCCATCCTGGCCCAGACTGCTGGGAAAGAAGAGGTGGTCCCACCCAGCCGCGCTGGCGCCACTCCATGGCCCTCCGCTGGGACCCGCTGCCTCCCGGAGACCGGGCTTCTCTGCGGGTTTGGCTGTCTCCCGTTTGCTGTCAGCTTCTCTCCCGCCCTCTCCCGCCTCCAGCTGCATCAGAAATATATTGTATTCTCACCTAATCCTGTTCAATTACAGCATAATAAAACACATAATAAAAACCTAATTCATTTTTCTCCTGCGCCCCCCATCTCCCAGCATGTTCTTGCTCGGGATTAAAAATTTGTCTTCATGTTTGTGGCACGCAGTCCCAACGCCTCCACATATTTAATGTATGAGCTGGGGACCCGCGGGCTCTGCGGTCTTTGAGCCGGGACGGCGCCTGCCAGTCACCTGAGGATGCCGGCAGGAAAGAGGGAGGGGTGTGGACCTGCGTGGAGCCCCAGCGGTGCCCACTCCCCTCCTTCTCCTGGATGAGGCGCTTGAAGGCCCCGAGGTCTCCAGTGGCGGAGAGAGATAGCACATCCTTCCCTTCCAGCAGACCCACAGTAGCTTCCAGTAGTCACAGCTTGGAGCAGGTCCTCGGGGATCGAGTTGGGGAAAGAGACTCCGCCTACCTGGTGCCGCTCGGCGGGAGATACAGAGCATAGACACAAAGAGGGGCCCCTCGGTCCTCAGCCTCCATTCCCTCCTCTGTCTCTGACCTTCTGAGATGGCTTGGCCTGGCCTGGCCAGTGAAGCTCTGCCTTCCCTGCCTGGACCACCATGCCCAGTCCCGATGGGTTCCCTAACACCCTCTGATCACATTGTAAACAACCTTGAACTGCTGAAATAAGGTTAGAACTTCCCACCAACAAGGGAAAATTTCCTGCAAAGGCACAGTACCTGGTGGGTTTACAGAGGGCAGGTCTGACACCCAAATGCAGCCCAGTGATATTCCTTTGTTTTCTTTTCTTTCTCTTTCTCTCCCTTTCTCTCCTTTCTTTCTCTTTCTTTTTCTTTCTCTATTTCTTTCCTTTTTCTTTCTTTTGACAGGCTCCACTCTCTTGTCCAGGCTGGAGTGCAATGACATAATCATAGCTCACTGTAACCTCGAACTCCTGGGTTCAAGTGATTCTCCTGCCTTGGCCTCCTGAGTAACTACGATTACAGGCACATGCCAGCACACCCAGCTAGTTAAAAAAAATTTTTTTTTTTTTAGAGATGGGGTCTTGATATGTCCCCCAGGCTGGTCTTGAACTCCTGGGTTCAAACCATCCTCCCACCTTGGCCTCTGAAAGTGTTGGGATTACAAGTGTGAGCCACAATGCTTGGCCTGTATTCCTTCATTTCTTCCTTCATTTATTTAGGACAGAAGTTCTCAAACTTTCTACATCCATAGAACCCTTAGTTTTTCAGTAATTTTTTTCACAGCACCTTAAGTCAAAAGAAATAGCTAACAGCCGGGCATGGTGGCTCACGCCTGTAATCCCAGCACTTTGGGAGGCCAAGGCAGGCGGATCACCTGAGGTTGGGAGTTTGAGACCAGCCTGACCAACACAGAGAAACCCCTTCTCTACTAAAAATAAAAATTAGCCGGACGTGGTGGCATGTGCCTGTAATCCCAGCTACTCGGGAAGCGGAGGCAGGAGAATCGCTTGAACCTGGGAGGCAGAGGTTGTGGTGAGCCAAGATCGCGCCATTGCACTCCAGCCTGGGCAACAAGAGTGAGACTCCATCTCAAAAAAAAAAAAAAAAAAAAGAGAGAGAGAGAAAGAAAAGATCATTAGCAGTGATGAACAAATCCAGCAGGATGAACCAGACTCAGAAGACTTGAGAATTTAGAAAGTAATGCTGCCAGGTAGAGTGCAGGGTGATGTTTTACCTGATACCGTCACTGACCAGCATCACCATCCCACCCCACTGTGCCTTGGTGCCTTGGAAAGAAGGTCATGAAAATGAAATCCTATATCACTAAGGCCAAGCAACACAGCTGTGGGACCACTCTCTAGGAACTGGACAACAGTACGGTGAAGTTGTCTCCCTTCCAGCCTGCCTTAAGCGATAGCAGCTTGGTGCCAGCCCCAAGAAGCTGCAGATGTGAAGGGTAGGTCAGCCCCACAGGGAACTGCCAAAGGAACTAGGCATTGGCTTGTGCAGGGAAACAGATAAACAACAGACTTGGAGAGAGTGGCTCTGATTACACATGAGACACTCTCTCCAACACCCCATTCTCTGCATTGGAAACTCCTGAAGAGACAAGAGAAGAGGGAGGGAGGAGCTGAGTTCTTCCTTCATCTTGCTGACTATAATAACTAGGGGGCAAGCGTCACTTCCTCAGGGGATTTTTCAAGGCATGCTACCCCCAAGATTCTGATATGACTCCCTGGGAGGACATCCTTCCCCATCCTCCAGGCTGAAAATCACTAAAGCTGTGAGCCATCATTTGTTTTGAAGGTGTCACATTTTTACGTTTGTTGAGGTATAAAACAGATTGAGAACCACTGTGTTTGTGACCTTACCTGAGATCAATATATGGGTGGGAATTAGGGCACATTTGGATTCCTCATTTATTTATTGAGCAAATAAGTATTGAGTACCTACTGTGGATCAGGCACTATTGTAGATGCTGTGGGCATTTAAAAGTAAATATATGAATTGGTGTTTAATGGGTATATAGTTTCAGAATTGCAAGAGAAAGTTCTGGAGCCTGTTTCACAACAATGTGAAAATATATATATGTGTGTGTGTATATATATATATATATATATATATATATATATATATATATATATGTAAATTTTTTTTTGAGACAGTGTCTCCCTATATTGCCCAGGCTGGTCTCAAACTCCTGGGCTTAAGGGCTCCTCCTGCCTTGGCCTCCCAAAATGCTAGGATGACAGGTGTGAGCCACCATGCCCAGCCAACAATGTGAATATAGTTAACATTATTGTACACTTAAAAATGGCTAAGATGGTACATTTCATGTTATGTGTTTTTTACTACAATTTTAAAGTGAAGATATGGTGCCTGCCCTCAGTGGGGCTTTCATTTAAACTGGAAAGAAACATCTGTATAGGGCCAGTAGTACATGTTGTAGTAAATACCAATCAGGGTGATTCCCAGTTCACAGCAATTGCCCTTCTTTGGTTACAGCCTCAACGTCAGAGGTAAACCTGAATGTCCAATGTCCTTGCCTGTTGACCCTGACCCCTGGCCACCTCCTAGGGGTACACAACTGATCTAAGCTGCTCCAGTTTTTGAAACTTGGAGTAAGCAGGGATAATTCTGTTATACAATGTTCTTAAGGGTTTTGTTTCGCAGAGATTTCTGTACCTCACTTCCCAGATGGGGTTATGTTACATAGATTTTCCAGTAAAAGTGTTAGGTTGGTGCAAAAGTGATTGCAGTTTTTGGCAATACAAGGCCTCTTTTCAAGGGGATTGCCATGCCCATAAACTCCAGCTGCTGACACCCCCAAAGTTGGCTTTGTCCTTTCCAGTCCTATTGTTCACCTCCATCTCTGGGTATGAAAACTATAGCAGAATCCTTCCAATATCTCCCCCTATTTACTGAAGCTAGCCACAATTATTTTCTGTTGGTTTCAACAAAATAATCTCAAAACCCAAACCAAAGTGTTCCTTTTGGGAAATAAAAATTGTCAATTGATGAGGACTTGCTGGTGATAGAGGAGGAGAGGTCGGAAGGAAAATAACATAGCTGGTTAATTTATAGGTTAACATAGCAAACTCTTGCCCCATAAGCAAGCACTTCAGCCTGAAGGAGCTTCTCGTTTCTTTATTAAAGGCATGGGGTTATTTTCCTACTGGATGTGTTGGATGTGGGATTGTGTGTGTAGTCCAAGCTATGCAAGGTTCCTCCTGCCTTCTCCAGGTCGTTATTTAGTTGCAAACATTGCTGGTCTGAGAAGACAGGAAGGAGGAAGCTATGGGAGGCTGTGGCCTGGAGCGGAGGCTGCCTTTGTCTGGCAGCCTGAGCTGACACTGGAGCCTAGGAGAGACCCAATGAGGGAAAAGATGTGTATAATAAAAGAAGAGAGAAGGGAGCATCTTAGGAAACTCCCCTTTTGGGGATAATACAGCTGAATCAAGATTCCTCCACAATTCCTAGCAAAAGGTTGTCCTTCATGCCTTTCGGGCACGCGCGGTGTCCCTGCAGGTGAGAGGGTAGCTTCTCTGTTCACCCAACCGCCCATTTCTACCCAGCGCCGGCCACAGAGCCACAATTAAGAGTTCAGCAAACGTTTCCTGGACTGTTAGGCGCAAGGGTGGAGAGAGGGAAAGGAGGAGGACGGCGCCGAAGAAAGAGCCAACAGCCTCAGAGGCAGCTGAAAAAAAAACCTGGGCTTGGGATCCAGGAGGAGAGTCCTCGCGTGATTCCTCGAAAACCTCGCGGATTTTTGGGCAGGAAGTCAAAGGGCTGGCGCTAGGGAATTCGTGGGTTTCGATATTGGAAAGGAGGGAGGGGGACTTGGTGGATTTAACGGCGCAGGATCGAGGTCAGCGGGAAGGCGGATCTGAGACGTAGCTTCCAGGCTCCGACCCGGAAGGTGAGCGAGAATCGGGGCCTGAGGTACTAAAGCCGTTGCTCGGGAAACGGGAAGGAGGCGGAGCCGAGCCTAGCTTTGACTGACAGGGACCACAGCAGGGGCGGGACTCTGCTTCTGACTGTTCCCAGAAGGTGGTGGCTTACTTTTGACCGCGAGGGCCCGGGGGCGGGGCTTGAAATGGACAGGCTTCACTGGGAGGAAATGGGGCTTGGCTCTGACCTGTAGGGCATCAGACCCAGCAGGACTAGGCCAGAGTCTGGCATAGCCCCACAGTGCCAGAGTTGAAGCTGGTCCTGATTACCTGTCCTTAGGAAGCAGGTGTCATTGGTTCCGGTGATCCTGGAAAGGAGCAGAATATCCCTACTTGACCACCTCCCTATGGCCAGGCTAAACTTAAAACATGGGCAGGGAGAGAGGGAAGGTTGTGGTCTTTCGGGTCTTCATAATAGGCAGGATGGGGGCTCTGGAGCAAATGAGGCCAGGCAAGGGGAAGAAGATGGGAGGGAAGGTCAAAGACACCAATTCAGGCTTCCAGAGAAAGTTCCTAAAGTCTGAGGTCTGGGAGGAAGACAGGAGGCCCACCCAAGAATGGGGCAGAGCACTTTCTAGTGAAAAACGTGCTGCGTCAGCCCAAATGCTGACTTCTGAGGAAATTTCCAAGTATAAGGAGGCAGTTTGGAAGGTATGATTGGCTAAGGTTTGTCCCTAGAGAGCCTGTGATGTGCCCTATAGCTAACTCTTTTGACGTGTTTGAGAAACTGGTGTGGAATTAGGAAGGAAAGATGACAGAGAAGCCCACTAGTGCCCTGGCCAATCTTTTCTCTGACATGGTTTAGTGATACCTGTGGAGCACAGATAATTCTGTTATAAAATGTTCTTAAGGGTTTTGTTTTGCAGAGATTTCTGTACCTCACTCCCCACATGGGGTTATGTTACATAGATTTTCCAGTAAAAGTATTAGGTTGGTGCAAAAGTGATTGCAGTTTTTGGCAATACAAGGCCTCTTTTCAAGGGGATTGCCAAAGGCCAAAAGTGTAACTGCAGAAAGAGCTTTAAGAGTTGACTAAGGATTCCAGTGGGCTTGGTGATTGACAGGACAGGATGAAATTAAAACTGGTTATCTAGGCCGGGCACGGTGGCTCACGCCTGTAATCCCAGCACTTTGGGAGGCCAAGGCAGGTGGATGGCTTGAGCCCAGGAATTGGAGACCAGCCTGGGCAACTTGGCAAAAACCATCTCTATAAAAAAATACAGAAGATTAGCTGGGTGTGGTGGCACGTGCCTGTAGTCTCAGCTACTTGGTAGGCTGAGGCAGGCGGATCAATTGAACTGGTGAGGTTGAGGCTGCAGTGAGCTGTGATCCATGATGGTGCCACTGCACTCCAGCCTGGGTGATAGAGTGAAACCCTGTCGCAAAAAAAAAAAAAAAAAAAAAAAACAGAAAGAAAGAAAAGAAAAGGAAAAAAAAAAAGGTGAAAGCATCTACATTCGCCCTCTGTCTTAGTACATACTTGGGGGTGCCAGAGGGAGGACTGATTTTCTAATCTCAGAGCTCCCTCTGCTGGGGCATGAGGCTCCCTACACAGGGGGAGGAATGAGACAAGACCTGGACTTGGGGAGAGTCCAGGGAGAGACGGAAGGCTGCAAGCAGGGGACTCTTTCTGGGCCCTCAGGACGTGGAATCAAGTGAAGACCAAGAAGTAGACAAGTTTGCAGTTTATTGAGTAATGGCTGGCTTCACAGATGTTATCACTGGGGGCGGTTGATAGGGGGAACAGGAAAATGCTCTCAGAGGTTCCCACTGAAGCCCTTTCATCTGCCCTGCCCCACCCACCACTGAAGCCAGAGGTCATGGGAGTTGGGATCTAACTACACTCTGTGAACTTACCACCACCCATTCCATCCCCAAGCCCATATTTTATTTGGACTAGCCACTGATGCCCGGGCCCTTCCTCTTCCAGGGGGTGGGAGGGTGGAGGTGGGGACAGGACCAACCCTCAAGAAAGAAAAGAGGTTAAGGTGGGGGTTTTGCTGAATGTCTAAGAAATGTCAGTGGAACAGGCTGGGCACAGTGGCTCATGCTTGTAATCCCAGTGCTTTGGGAGGCCAAGGCAGGTGGATCACCTGAGGTCAGGAGTTCGAGACTAGCCTGGCCAACATGGTGAAACCCCCATCTCTGCTAAAAATACAAAACTAGCAAGATGTGGTAGCACACACCTGTAATTTCCACTACTCGGGAGACTGAGGCAAGAGAATCACTTGAACCCAGGAGGCAGAGGTTGCAGTGAGCCAAGATCGCACCATCGCACTCCAGCCTGGGCAAAATAGTGAAACTCCATTAAAAAAAAAAAAAAAAGTCAATGGAACACAAAATTCCCTGTCTTAACATTGTACATTCGGGGCCTAGCTGCCCTTGAGGATGTCCTAGTTACACCCTCTCTGATACCTGTGGAGTTTAAGCACCATTCCTACCGCTGTGTCCCTTGGGAGGGGGTGCAGTGGAAGCTCTTAAAGGGGAATGCTTGCTCTGCCTCTGTGGCTTTTTGTTTGGGAAAGGGAGTTGGGATTGGAGGATTTAGATTTGAGGTCATGATGTCAGAGCACACCAGGAACTCCCAAGGCTGTGCCTGAAGATGCCCACGCTGTCAAGTAGGGTGGTGGGGGAGACAGCGAGGGCAGTACAGGACACAGGCACTCCTTTGTCTGGTAGAGAGGAGGAGGGGAAATGGAGCTATTCCAGGATACAAGGGATGGCACTGAGGGATGCATAAGTCCCCTGCCTCCCTTGTCTCAACATGTTCTCCTCTGCCAGCCCAGTCAGCTTGGGGAGCTAGGTATCAGAAACCTGAAGGATTCAGCCCGCTTTGTCCTACTAGTGTCTATAAGTCTCTGTCCTGAGATCCTGGGGCTCCTCCTATTTCTAGAAGGGATGAGGTGCCATCAAAAATAACTTGGCTGGTGTAACAGTTTAGAGAAGGAAGTCACACCTGTAGCCTGGCTGGCAGGCAGGTGGACATGAGGCTGAGAAGGGAAGCCAGATGTCAGAACATACTAGGCTAGCATGCCTGCTTCTAGCTTTCAGGACCCAATGTACACATACACATGTGTATCATGTATGTATATGCATGGACACTCAAGCACAGGAGGGGTTATGTGCTCTGATCTTTGAAACCAGAGAAGGGAGGAAAAGCCTTATGGAGGTCCCTCCCCCACCCTAATAGGTTGCTACCCTCAATTGCCATCTGCCCACCAAGGCCCCTGCCCAGTGCTAGGCAGATAGCCAAGTGGTAGGGGTGACATGACTCCACTAAAGCAGCAGCCCAAGGAAGTGAGGGAGGGGACAGAGGCTGACCCTCCTCAAAGCCCCTTGTTGTAGTAGACCACTTCAACGCTGGGGTTTTGCTCATGGATCTGAGCTCTCAGCTCTGGTTCCAGGTTGCTTATGTGTATGGAGCTGCAATAGAACAGCACAGGCCAGTTAACGTCCCCTGAATCCAACCCCACTCAGGCCCAGGGATTGCCATCCCACCTCCTCCCAGGCTGAAAAATCCTCTCCTTCTACTGCCAGAAGGACTGGCTCACTGTCATTCCCCCACTCCCAGAATCAGTGGAGTGCCTGCCAGGCCTCCTCCTGAACACCCTGGAAGACCCTAGGTCAGCTGGTCCAGAGATGCAGAGTCCAATCCAGAGTCCCCCACCCAGCCCAGGGACAGCACTTACCTCTTCTGGGGGAATAGGGCACAGCACAGGGGGGTTGCAAATACCAGGCTGGGGGAGACAAGTGTTGGAAAGGTTTGTAAAGCTTTGGCCTTAGGGTGTTCCCTCCCTGCACCCCACCCCATCCTTGGAGATAGGCCCTAGGGGTGGAGATTGATAAAAGCTGAAAGGACCTTTTAGGAATAGTAAACCCAACCTGGACATCAGGTTCTGAGGAAAGAGAGCCCCACAACCAGTAAGTGGCAGAATCAGGAATTAAATGGGCATGAATCTCCTGGATGGCACCAAAAGGTACATTTCCATGGTTTCCTCTTATAGATGAAGACTGGAACCCCCTCACTAGGATCTTGACCTTCAAGGACAGGGACCACCCCGTAACACACAAAGTAGACCCTATAGTTGTTCCAAACACACACCCACTGAATGTATGAATGGATGATGTCTATAAACATCTTAAAGACAATCCATACCCACCCACATCCACCATGGACAAGGCACTCCCACACACCCCAGCTAACTCCTTGCACACTTACCAGAAGCCCACCAGTCCCACCTGCAGGGGTGCCCCCAGCCAGGGGCGGCGCTGTGGAGAGACAGAAAGACAATGGAACGGCTTGTGTCCCCTGCCTCACTGTCACCCCATTTCACCCACCATAGCTCTATCCCATCAGCCTTGCCTTGGAGCCCTTAGACCTGTGGCCGTTTTCTTTCTCCCAAGGCAATGACAGGGCTGGGACCTCCAGATCACGCCCTTCCACTCCAGCCAGGCCTGTCTGCTGATCACCCTCCCCGGCATCCCATGACCTCTCACCTCTCAGAATTGGTTGCCATGGCACTCCCTGGCCCTTTTTTTTCTTCCCTCACTTCCTCCAGGAGCTGATTTCTTCAGGAAACCTCCTGTGAACCTCCACTTACCTCTTCCCATCCCAGTGGCATGAATCTGACCCTTTCCAAGCACATCTCTTCCTCGGCACTCTTCTCAATTTGCTCTGGCCACAGGGACCACCAACCTGTTCCTCAAATGTGCAAGCCCCTCCTACTGCAGTGCCCTTGCACTGACTGTTTTCTGTACCCCAAACACTCTTCTCTGCGTTATTTGGCTCTCTCCTCATCCTTTGCGGCATTAAAGACCCCTTCTCTGATCATCCTATCTAAACAGCTCTCCCCCATGAATCTCAATTACACTACCCCCATTGCTTTCCTACAAAGCACATATTACACTTTCTAAGAATGTATTTATTGGGTGCCTCCTTGTTTATTGGTTTCTGCATCAGACTATAAACTTCATGAGGACAGGGGCCATAACCATTGTGTTCAGTGCCATCTCCTCAGCCCTAAAACATGCCTGGTGCATGGCACTCAATACATTTGTGAATAAATGATTCTGTGAATGAGCCAGAGCTTGTTCCTGTGCTTTGCTTTCGTGTCCTGTTCATGTCTGTGTGTGCGTGTTCACCCGTGTGTACCTCTCAGTATGGAGGCACTAGGGGGTAAAAGAATGAGCATGAGATCAAGCATGACTATGACAGTCCCCTTCTGTGTGTCAGAAGCCACTGGAGTAACACTGATGAAGTTGGTTTCCTTCCTTTGTCCTCTCCTCCTGCCCCTGCAGAGTTCCTTCACCCCAGCCCAGTTCATTCTTGCTGAATGAACGAAGGTGGAGGAGGCGGTGCAGGGGTCAGGAGAAGGGCTGGCAAGTCTTAGAGAATCAGGCGAGGCTGGAGAGAGAGTTGGGGCCTGGTCACTTCTCCCAGCCATCGCCCATTCCAGGACAAGAGAGGTACAGTCGCCTACCTTCAGGAAGTCTTTCTTCTCCAGAGTGTCCATGATCAGTGGTGGGATGGCTGTGGGGAGAGCAGGGCCAAGAAGGAGAACATTAGTAGTGGAGTTAAAGTCAGGAACTGTGAAGGGTGACCCCCCTCAAAGCTCCTCCCTCTCTCCCCAGAGTCCTCCAAAGTCCCTGAGAACTGCACCTGCTTCTCTCAGAGTCTCCTATGCCCCACCCAGCCACTCCCGCCTTACCCATGGCAGGAATCGCCATGCAGATTCTTGAAATCACCACCTGGAAGATTCCCTGCTTGGCTGCAGTCACCGAGTAGCCAAGCCTCTGACCTGCCTCATCAGCCACCGGGATGCCCACCTGCAGCTCTCTGCAAGGGAGGGGGGTTGGGGTCAGATCACAGGCCCCGGATCCCACCTGCAATGCCCGAATGAGCAGCGGCTCCTCAGGGTCCCCTCACACACCCCAGGCTCAAAGGCTGGTTCTCCCACCTGAGGATCCCAGGGTCAGACTGAGCCAGGGCCCAGCAGCTCATGTCTGGGGAGGGAGAGGGATGTCCCCATTCTGAGGTGGTCTGCGTGGATGGACAGTGTGCTACATTCTGGGCATGCACATGCCAGGAGCCGGGGTCACTCACCTCTGCCTCATCAGGGGGATGTTGATGCAGTTGGCAGCTGCCACTGCTGCAAAGGGCACAAATCTGCCGACCAAGGGGGGCAGGTGCTGGGGAGGAAGGGTGTTGTTCAGTGGCCCTAAGGGCCATGGGGTGGTGAGGGACTCTGGGGAGATATAGGGGGCATATAGGTCAGAACTGGAGGTGTGATGAGGAAGAAGGAGGCAGATAGAGGATGAATGGGGTGGTCAGGGGAGTGAGGGGCCTTTACCTTGGTGAGGGATTTGAGTCCCAGGGCCGTGGCCACAGCTCCAGTGGTGGCACTCACATAGGCTGTCCCCAGCTGCCTGTGGGTGGAAAAGCCAGGTCACGGGGAGAGGTGACAAGTCCAGCAGGTGGCCCTTTCCTTTAGGGATATGCCAAGTCCTCAATACATGAGGCATAAAAGGGGAAGCTCCTTGCAGAAGAAGCCTTCCCTCCATCTCCGGCGTAAACTTGTCTAGAAGCCCCAGTAGCACCCTGTGAAGAGGGGTGGGTCCCCCACAGCATACATAAGAGGACCTCATGCCTTCAGTTAGGCAGGGTAATTCGGGGTGGGGCAGGCTGAGGAGAGGGCGCTGAGCACTGGCTGCATGGTCCACAGGGAACCGGAGAGAAAGGAGAGGGCACTGCAGGCTGGGAGGAGAGGGTCAGATGGGACAGTGCAGCTGCTGCTGGGGGCTGGCTCTCACCTCACAGTGATGGGAGTGTCACCACTGCGGTTGGAGTAGTTAACAATGGCATTGAAGGACTGATTCACCCACTGCCAGAACACCACGGTTGGGGTCTTCCTGAGGGAACAAAGACACTCACTTCTGCCCCGTCTACAGTGGCCCTCATCTTTAGACCCCTGTAATGAAACCAAAGGTTATTCCCCAAGCCTAAGAAGGGACCCAGTTAATGGCCCTAGAACCTGTTCTGGTAACCCCTATGTACCCCCACCCCCATTTATACAAACACACCTACTGTCTCTGGGGTGAGAGACCTCCTGAGGCTGAATTCTGAGGAATGGAAGCGATTCTGACACAATCTTTCACTCACCCAGTTGGCCCAGACAAGAAGCGCACCTAGTCAAGCTATGCTCTAGCTTAGGGCACTGAAGAAGGGGACGTGGGACAAGACCTGCCTGTAGAATGTGAGCATGCAGCCAGTGATGGTCATGTTCATGGGCACCTGGGCTGACATGCGGCCAATCAGGACCACCTTCTCCCCTGTGTCCGGATGGAAGGCGGAGTCATACACATACTTGGCCCTCCACAGCTGGTCCTCGGTGATCCCTGGGGTCACCACGCCGGCCCTGCAGAAGTTGGCAAGGAGCAGACAGGCTATGCCAGGGGGCAGATCTGCCCTCACAGGCCCCACCTGCCCAGCTCAGGGTAACTCTGGACAGAGAACCAGGAACTTCAGCCCCCAGTCTCAGCATAAGGAAGCTCCTTATCTTTGGGAGAGGGCCAAAGTTTCCCAGAAGTGGAGGCTCCTATTTCTATTTCCCTTATAGCCACACAAAGAGGGGTACCCTTCTGTTTCTGCCAAAATGCTGGGTCAGGGATGATGGTGGTTTCCAGTGGGTCAAAAATGGCTGCAAGCATTGCAAGAGTTTTTCCTCCCAAAGATAAGGGGATTTCCCTCCTATCTTCCTGGGACTCCACTTTGAGCACCTCTATCCTTGCAGAGGGTGACCCCGCAATGGGATAGATCCCTGTAGAGGTTTGTGATGCATAGAGCAGCCCCTCCCATAAATATCAATGCCATCTTCTCAACCCAAATGCCCTAAAATCCTTTGGGTTAAAGCTCTGTGATGCCAACAGACGGGGCTAGAGAGTGAGGGGATTGAGGGACAGGGTCACTGTCAAGCTTGAGGAGGCAGGTACAAAACATATTATATTAATCACAGAAAATGAGATCCTGGCACACAGGGTCAGATTGAGGGGTGGTCACCTGTAGTTCTGCACGATGTTCCGAGAAGCTTCCAGCTGTGCCCCGGACAGCAGCAGATTTCGAGGATCAGTAACAGTGAAAAAGTGCCGGGCTCTGCCCAGGAAAGTACTTTGGTCCCAGCGAGGTTCCTGGATGTTGATGTCTAAAGGCAATTCACCCATTTTCTGCAGGACAGAGATAAGGGTCAGAGCGGGAGTCCAAGGGTCCAAGGGCTCCAGCTAGGGGAAATCTTTGGTGCCCCTGCCCTGGCCCCTGAGCTTATCATCAGTCCCTTCAAGAGCTCAAGGTGACTAGATGTAGGGAAAAGAAAGAGAGATCAGACTGTTACTGTGTCTATGTAGAAAGGAAAGACATAAGAGACTCCATTTTGAAAAAGACCTGTACTTTAAACAATTGCTTTGCTGAGATGTTGTTAATTTGTAGCTTTGCCCCAGCCACTTTGCCCCAGCACTTTGACCCAATCTGGAGCTCACAAAAACATGTGTTGTATAAAATCAAGGTTTAAGGGATCTAGGGATGTGCAGGACGTGCCTTGTTAACAAAATGTTTACAAGCAGTATACTTGGTAAAAGTCATTGCCATTCTCTAGTCTCAATAAACCAGGGGCACAATTAACTGCGGAAAGCCACAGGGACTTCTGCCCTTGAAAGCGGGGTATCGTCCAAGGTTTCTTCCCATGCATAGTCTGAAATATGGCCTCGTGGGATGAGAAAGACCTGACCGTCCCCCAGCTTGACACCCATAAAGGGTCTGTGCTGAGGTGGATTAGTAAAAGAGGAAAGCCTCTTGCAGTTGAGATAGAGGAAGGCCACTGTCTCCTGCTTGCCCCTGGGAACTGAATGTCTCCATATAAAACGCGATTGCACATTTGTTCAATTCTGAGATAGGAGAAAAACCGCCCTATGGTGGGAGGTGAGATATGTTTGCAGTAATGCTGCCTTGTTATTCTTTACTCCGCTGAGATGTTTGGGTGGAGAGAAACATAAATCTGGCTTACATGCACATCTAGGCATAGTACCTTCCCTTGAACCTAATTATGACATAGATTCTTTTGCTCACATGTTTTTTGCTGACCTTCTCCTTATTATCAACCTGCTCTACTACTACATTCCTTTTTGCTGAAATAATGAAAATAATAATCAATAAAAACTGAGGGAACTCAGAGACCGGTGCCGGTGCAGATCCTTGGTATGCTGAACGCCGGTCCCCTGGGCCCACTGTTGTTTCTCTATACTTTGTCTCTGTGTCTTATTTCTTTTCTCAGTCTCTTGTCCCACCCTACTAGAAATACCCACAGGTGTGGAGGGGCAGGCCACCCCTTCAACTAGGTAGGTAAGCAAGGGTGTGGGGAGGAGCTGTTTCCTGGGCAATGTCCCAGCCCAGGGACCTGCAGCCACTGGAGGAGGGGGAAGGGAAGACCAGAAACAGGAAAACAGATCTCCTTGTGCTCTATCCTGGTACAGATTTTCATGAGTGAGGATTTACATATATGTGGTTGACACATAAGCAGCAACAAACATCCCAGCCACGTGTGCTACAGATGCACAAGAATATATAATATATATATTACACACCCATGCTCAGGTGAGCTTTAGGCCCCAGCTGCACTGAGACCTGGATACAAACCCCCAAGGCTGTTTTGGAAAATGGCACAAGACATCCCACACTCCAGTCCCTGATTGGAGGAGAGCAAGGCCTTACTGGCCACCCAGGGCTTATCTGTTCCAGATCTCAATCAGGGGACTCTGATGTCAGCCATGTGTGTGCATGTGGGCACGCACAAGTCCTCTCTACAGACCCATTTTTCTCCAACTCACACTGAATGACCCCAGGCTCTCCCTGGTCCCTGGCCAGGCAGGGCTGGCACAGACACTCATCCACCTCTCTCTGGGCCACTTGCCTCCGGATAAGAGCAGGATTCAGTGGCTGCTCCCTCCACCCAGCACAGAGAGGAAAGCCTGGTGCAGCCATCTGGCTGAGTTGGGCAGAATCCTACAGAATGACTAATCCTCTCCAGCCACACTTCCTCCCGCAGAGGCAGAGACGCCCTCCCCTCACACTCACATACCCACACACAAAGACACTATCATGCACACCCTGCCCAGACATACAGACAGAGTGGAGGTGTCCTGTATACACCGGCCTTCAAACACCTTTACAGGCGCACACTGTGCCCATCTGCAGACACTTGAATGTGTGACTACACACAGCCCCACCCTGACATTCCTCCCCCCAACCTCCCTTGTGCCCTGTGGACTTGGACCTCCACAGAGCCGAGGACATTGACTGCACCAGGACAGACAGTTTCAAGGCAGGCCTCCTTCTCTGACCCCCATTCCAGAACCCCGCCCGCCGGGGAGAGCGAGCACTTACGCTTTCCATCGCTCTCTGAAGCTCTCAGAACCGCCTTCCTCTCTGCCTCCGCTGTCGCCGCCGGGCCCTCCCAGCCATCACGCGGGACGTCACGCGTGACGCCGACCAGCAGGGAGGGGCAGGAGCTTCCCGGCCGCGCCCACCCGGTGGGCACGGGGATTGGCAGAACCTGAGGGCGGTGGGTGTCATTCGAGGCGATGCCCCCAGCCTGGGCCACCTGGACCAGGCCCTAAGCTGCTTCCCAGAGCCAATCCCACCTCGGGGATCAGTTCTGGCCCCCTCCCCAGCCAAAGGGAGGAGGGGCTGGAGCCGCGGGCGCTGCTCCCTTGGTTTACAGTCCCCTGGCGGGCCTCAGCAGACCCCCAGCCCTGCAGCAAGCGGTCTAGGTGCCCAGAGAGAAAGCCCCGGGCGCAGGTGGGCGGTGTGGAGGGGCGGTCCTCTGCTGGCGCGCCGGGAGGGACTCGGGTTACCGCCTGGCTTGTTTACTTGATGGCTGCCTTGGCAATGGCCTTTGGCTTGCTTGTCCCCCTGGGCTCCTACCCCAGTATCCACAAGCTCCTCTTGTAGCAGCGCGGCATTCGCATCACTTCACAGCCCCGTTCCTGTCGTGCCTGTGCCTCTTCTATGTCCCCAGCCCTCTCCCTGCTCCCCCTCTGTAACCCCTAGCTCCACTGTGTCCCTGGTCTCCTTACGCTCCCAACCCCTAGCCCTGCACCCCAGACCGTAGCCCCACCCCTGAGATGTGGAGGGGCAGACGACCCCAGGAACCTCGCGGTCTGCATCCGAGCAAGTGCATCAGAAGGATTCTTAGGATTCTTCCGGTCCTGGGACCAGCTGCCCCACCCTGCGACCATTCCAGAACTGGGTAGCCAGAGACGCCTTCTGACAGAGGAGGAGGATGCAAGTGAAGAAGGCACCCCCTCCGCCACGCACATACTCACAACTCACCCAGCCACCACACAGAGCACGCCTGCAGCAAACTCAGGCTCACGTCCCGCTCTGCCCCGTGACGTCCCTCCACGGAGGCCTCAAGGGTGCCCAGGGAGGGGTGGCAATTCCAGGAGCCCCGGTAGCTGGCTCGGCTCAGAGAAGAGGTGGTTCGAGCCGGAGGGGAACAAGCCAGACCCAAGCCCTAAATTTGCGGAATGAGCTAGGGCGTCAGAACCAGAACTGGGGTGGGTAAAGAACTCCGCTGCCCGGGACCAGGTAACGCTCGGCTGTCCCTGGCGCCTAAGGGAGGTGCCGGAATAGAATGACTGGCGGCCCTACCAGCCAATGGGAGCCCGGGGCGGTGCAGGCCAGCCCAATTCCCGCAGCCTCCGCGCAGCGTGGGTGGGGTTTGCCGGCTGCGGCAGTAGCTCTCGCCTGCGGGTGGTTTGACAAGGCTGGCGGCGCCACACCAGCGACCAGGTGAGGCCGACCAGGCACAAAGGGGTGGGGGGCCTGGAGGGCCGAGTTGATGTTGGGGTGCTTCATTCTAGGTCCCAGAGCTTCTCTGAGGGAACTGGCCCTGGGTTTTGCGCGGGATGTCGTGGGACCCCTCTCCAGCAGATCCTCCCCAAAGCTTGGGAGAGGTTCATGCAGCCTCTTTAGACCCGGAGCCGCAGCCTGGAGCCCGCGGGTGTCTGGGGGTCTTCCTGGGCCTCAGCTGTCTAAGGTCCTGAAGCCCTATCCTCGAGGCCCAGCCCGCCCCACGCAGCCCCCGCCCCACCCCGGGCCACCTCCATGCCCGCATATGCATGAGAGAGGTGATGCCATGAGCTGTCCTGACCTCTCTTTTGTCTCACACCTCTCTAAGCCCCAGGGCCCGCAGTAATCCCAACTCCACTCTCAACCTCTACTGAGGACTGGGGACGGGAGTAGATGACTCAGCCCCGAGCAGGAATGAGGGGTGAAAGGTTCCCACCTGCCTTGTATAAAGTCAGCGAGAGTCCAAGATGGTGCCTGGACGGGGCAGTTCTCTGGCCTAGGGTGAGACAGGAGGGGGGCCTAAGGCATGGGAGGGCAGGATGCTTAAACCAGGGGGAGGGGTGGAAGTTTTAGGGGGCAGCAGGGGAAACATTTACACCCCTCCCTCATCCCTGCTCTCCCTGCCCAGGCCTGGAGCTCACACTTCTGAGAGGCATCGCAAGCGAGGGCCTTCACGTTACTGAGACCCCAGCCCCGCACAGAGGCTCATGGAGCTCGAAGCACGCAGGGCTGGCCTCTCCAGAGCTAGCAGATTCCTTCTGGACCTGTAGGGTGCCGCCCTAGCCCAGCCGCCATGGCGCAGGGTTTCGCAGTGGGCTTCGACCCACTGGGCCTAGGAGACCTGAGCTCCGGCTCTCTGAGCTCCCTCTCCTCCCGAGGCCACCTAGGCAGCGACTCAGGCTCCACCGCAACGCGATACCTGCTAAGGAAGCAACAACGGCTGCTGAACGGGCCCCCCCGCGGAATCCGAGCCTCATCGCCCATGGGACGCGTCATCCTCATCAACTCCCCCATCGAAGGTAGGGGCGGGACCCAGCCACTGGCCTGGGTTGGGGAGGGTGGGGGTAGGGGACAATGGGAACTCAGCAGGAGGAGGCAGAGCCAGTATGATTGGGGGAATTCAAGAGATGGGAGTCACAGGGAGGTGGCAGGCCGCCTGGGAACCCATACACTCTTCCTCACCTGCCCTTGGCCTCTCCTCCAGGCCAATCCTGCAGGGGTCCAGGGTCGTAGAAGGGTCAGAGGAGGGAAAGAAGGCCATGGCAGCAGGGACAGGCATGCGTGTGGTATGCTAGCCCCTGGTGGACAAGGCAGGGGATTGAACTGGCCTCTCTCCCATGGGCTCTGCCCTTCTCCAGATCCATTGTGTGTACTTCTGGGGGATGGGGCAGGATAAAGAAGGACATCCTCCATCAACCAGTCCATTGTGTGACAAGCTCTGTGCTGGGCTGCGAGGAGTCAGTGCCCAAGCGGGTAGACAGAATTCAGGGCTTCCGTGCTGAAGGAGGGGAATGAAGGCAGCACAGCAAATGTTCAGAAGAGGAGGGTTGAGGGTGGAGAGGGAGCTCCATCAGGGAAGGGGAGACCTAAGCTTATGTAGTTGCTTAATGCCGCTTCATGGAGCACAATTCTATACCAGCCCTGGGGAGGTGTTACAAGGGACCTAGAGAGAAATCAGGCTCCCTCTTCACCTTCCAGGAATCTACAGTGTAGCAGGACAGAGCAATAAGAACAGCTGGTGGCAGGGGTGAGCTGTCACCAACAAAGGCTGGAAGTGAAAAGCATGGAGCATGGTAGGTGGGCACTTAGGAGCCAGCCTGGCTGTAGTGACAGATGTGAGGTGACTAACAGCTGATGAGCAAGACAGGACCTAGAATGCCAGGTGCGGAGCCAGGCCCCCTGAGTCTGAGCTTTCTGTGAGCAGGACCAGATAAATATCTCCAGCTCCTCTCCTCTTTCTTAGCCAGCAGAGCTCCCCTGGCTGGATCCCAGACTGGACTGTTCAGGCCCTGCTCCTCCCCCTCTGACCCAGCAGGGCATCTCTCTTCCCCTCCCTAGGCCACTGGAGCAGGGTGGGGCATGTTGCTCAGGGAGCAGGCTTTCCTCCACCAGTGCCCTGGCACGCTCACCCCTGTCATACACCAGTCTATGCTTCACCCTCTGGTGAGCACAGGGCACTGCTGAGGGTCACCACGGTCATTCTGGTGAGGGAGCAGAAGTCCCCAGAGGAGTTAGGAGACATTGGGGAAAAGGGAAGCAGGCACCGCATAACTGTCTTTATTAGTCCCATTCTATTAAAAGAACTATGCTATACTCCCTCTGATACACTCTTTCTGTTTCTCTCTCTCTCCCCTTCCCTTTGCCCATGTATGATGCAAGCGCTGTTTATAACGTCTTTTTTTTTTTTTTTAAGAGGGAAAGGGTCTTGCTCTGTCGCTCACCCAAGCTGAAGTGCAGTGGTGTGATCATAGCTCACTGCAGCCTCAAACTTCTGGGCTCAAGTGATCCTCCAGCCTCAGCCTCCTGAGTAGCCAGAACTATAGGCATGCAACACCAAGCCCAGCTAATTTTATTTTATTTTATTTTTTGTAGAGACAGAGTTTCACCATGTTGCCCAGGCTGGTCTTGAACTCCTAGGCTCAAGTGATCTTCCGGCCTCAGCCTCCCAAAGTGCTGGGATTATAGGCATGAGCCACCATGCCTGGCCTATACTGTCCCTCTAAAGATCCTCTTCCAGGGGTTTCATGATTGCTTTCTCCCTCTGCCTCATGCTAGCGCCACTGTGCAGCCAAGGAAGCAGCATCTCCTAGCAGTGAGGGACTGAGGAGTTGCTCTGACCACTTGGCTTCTCCTCTGACTGGACTGGGACCCTCTGAGCTCAGAATTCTCCCCTCTGCCTGAGAACAGGTATCTCCCAAGTCACCGCAGCCTGGAACCCTGCCCCATGTTATTATTTAGATCACTCCCGGGGAGTAAAGTAACTGATAAGGAATAAACGGTGACATTGCCACCTACATCGGCCCCATGAGATCCCACCAGCTCCTTAAATTCAACTGGTCCCAGAGAAAATGCATTACCTTTAATCCAGGAAAGCATTACCCTTAATGCATTTCTCCTCACTCTCCTAGTTTGACCATCCATCCATCCATTTATTCTTTCACTTATTCAAAAAAAATACCTATCAAATACCAAGCACTGTCCAACATATTGGAGATATACTAGAAGAGTATTACGAAGTCCCCACCATGATTGAACTTATGGTCTAGTGAAAAGAGACAGATAAATCACAAATAAGCGAACGACGACAAAGGATGGGAAGAGTCAGAATGTGATCATCTGATGACATGATAGAATGGTGCTTCTCAAACCTCAGATGCCTCAGAATTGCCGGGAAGGCTCATTCAGGGATAGATTGCAGGGCTCAGTCCCAGAGCTTCTGGTCCAGTGGGTCTGTGGTAAAGCGAAGGAATTCCCGTTTTTAGCAAGTTCTCAGATGACACTGACGCTGCTGATCCAGGATTACGCTTTGAGAAGCCCTACAAGAGGTACTCACTGGGAGGAAGGGAGGACACTCCAGGAAGCCTTCTCCAAGAAAGTGGTGTCTGAGCCAGGAGGGGAACGAGGAAGAGGAGCTGACCTTCTAAAGGCCTGGGCAGGAGCACTGCAGGCAGAGGGAACACTGGAAGGGCTTGGCCTCCATGAGGAACAGGAAGATCAGTGTGGCCAGAGCTCAGTGAGGGAGGGGAGGGTGGAGGGGAGGGCGGAGGGGTGGGCAGAGGAAAGCCCAGGCAGGGCCTTATAGGGCATGGTGAGGAGACTGGAGTTCTAGAAGCAGGAACAGGTGTTGAAGTTTTTAATCAGGGAAAAGACATGAGCTAATGTAAAAGCTGACTCTGGGTACTGTATAGAGAATAGCTAAAGGCGGCAAGAGTGGAAGCAAGGATAGTGCCGGGGCTGCAGTGGAGCACCTGGGGGAGAGGCTGGGGCAGTGGAGGTAGAGAAGATTCCATCCTTGCAGGGCTCAGGCTCCTGGAAAATCTCAGATTTCACATTCCCTGACCTAGGGCCCTAGGGAGGCCCCAGTGAGGCCCTGAGGAGAGAGGGTTGGTAGCAAGGGAGTAAAAGGCTCCTTGGCTAAGGCTGAAAGTGTCCTGAGATCTGTGTAATCTAATCAGCTGGGAAAGCCCTGGCCCCCCACATCTGTCCTGCACCACCCCTCCCCCCAGGCTGCCCTCGGGGATTTCTTTCTGAGCTGCCCTGGCCGTGCCCTGTAACCTGACTTCTCTTAGATCAAATTGAAGTGTGTGTGTGTGTGTGTGTGTGTGTGTGTGTGTGTGTGTGTGTGTGTGATTTCTCCCTGTCAAACACCTCTAGAGTAACCCTTACCTATGAAGAAATCTCAGCTTCTCACCTGGGACCCAACTTACCCCTCCAGCCTTCTTGCTTTTCTGTAACTGGAAGGCCTCCTCAAGGGCCCACAGCTGAGCCTCCCTGGCTCTTTCCCCCTCATCAGTGCCCCCCCTTACCCCCCACCCATCAAAATCCCACCCATCAGAGTCCTTACAGAAACCTTACCTGGCCTGGGCAAGGTGGCTCACACCTGTAATCCCAGCATTTTGGGAGGCCGAGGCAGGTGGATCACTTGAGGTTAGGAGTTCGAGACCAGCCTGGCCAACATGGTGAAACCCTGTCTCTACTAAAAGTACAAAAATTTGCCCGGCATGGTGGCACATGCCAGTAATCCCAGCTACTAGGGAGGCTGAGGCAGGAGAATCGCTTGAACCCAGGAGGTGGAGGTTGCAGTGAGCCAAGATTGAGCCATTGCACTCCAGCCTGGGAGAAGAAGCGAGATTCCGTCTCAAAAAAAAAAAAAATTCTTCCCCGACAGGTTCAACCTTTAGGAACCCCCTTCCCCGCCTACTTTCCCCAGCGTGATGGAGAGGGCCGCCTTGGGCACATACGTATTGCAGTGTGGTGTGGTCTGGGGTTTCTTTCCCTTTGTAGCCAGGTAGTTCCTAGAACTCTGACTTCCAGAATCACAGAGTCTAACAGATGGGAGGACCCTCAGGGATTCCATAACATCCCAGACAGAGATTTGCTGGGTCCCAGCTTGCATGCCTCCAAAGATGGGAGGCTTACTATCTGTCTTAGAAAATCTCTTCCATTGGCCGGGTGTGGTGGCTCACGCCTGTAATCTCAGCACTTTAGGAGGCCAAGGCGGGCAGATCACGAGGTCAGGAGATCAAAACAATCCTGGCCAACACGGTGAAACCCCGTCTCTACTAAAAATACAAAAAATTAGCCGGGCGTGGTGGTGGGCGCCTGTAGTCCCAGCTACTCGGGAGGCTGAGGCAGGAGAATAGCGTGAACCTGGGAGGTGGAGCTTGCAGTGAGCTGAGATCGCACCACTGCAGTCCAGCCTGGGCGACAGAGCGAGACTCTGTCTCAGATAAATAAATAAATAAATAAATAAATAAATAAATAAATAAAATCCCTTCCATTTCAAGGCTGGGGTGGTGGCTCACTCCTGTAATCCCAATGCTTTGGGAGGCCAAGGCAGGTGGATCACGAGGTCAGGAGTTCAAGACCAGCCTGGCCAATATGGTGAAACTCCATCTCTACTAAAAATACAAAAATTAGCCGGGTGTGGTGGCACACGCCTGTAATCCCAGCTACTTGGGAGGCTGAGGCAGGAGAATCACTTAAACCTGGGAGGCCGAAGTTGCAGTGAACCGAGATTGCATCACTGCACTCTAGCCTCAGCGACAGAGCAAGACTTTGTCTCGGGGGAAAAAAAAGAAAGAAAACCCATTCTATTTCCAACAGCAGAATGTTTTAGAAAGTTTTTCCTTACAAAATCTGCCTCTGTCTAATTCCACTGTGTGAGCAAGAGTACTGCAGGCAGGTTCTGTTTACACAGATGAAAACATCTAATGCCTTCCACAGGGTAGCTCTACAAGCATTTGAAGATAGAGCTAATATACTAATTTATGCTGCAAGCTGATGAAGCCAGACACCCTCAACCATCCCCCATAGAACAGAATCCTGAACCTTCTTGTCTGTCCATCTGACCCTGGGAGTATCAGAATTGTTTATTAATTTGGCTTACCCCAGGCCCATGGGCATGTGAAGCTCAGAAAGCACTGATACACACACACACACACACACACACACACATATTAGGAAGGAAGGAGAACAGTATCTTTTTTTTTCTTTTTCTTTCTTTCTTTTTTTTTTTTTTTGAGACAGGGGTCTCACTCTGTCACCCAGGCTGGAGTGCAGTGGTGTGAACACAGGTCACTGCAGCCTCGACCTCCTGGGCTCCTGCCTCAGCCTTCCGTGTAGCTGGGACCACAGGCATACACCACTACACCTGGCTAGAGAATGGTGTCTTTAGCATAGAGTCCTGTCCCGCTGATCTCACCTTCTTTCACACCTTCCTGGCCCATGGTCTCAAAATCACTCAGAGCGGGCAGGATATGCGGCTCATACCTATAATCCCAACACTTTGGAAGGCCAAGGTGGGAGAATTGCTTGAGGCCAGGGATTTGGGCCAGTCTGGGCAACAAAGTGAGACCCTGCCTCTACAAAAAATTTAAAATTAATCCAGGCACAGTGGTGTGTGCCTGTAGTCCTAGCTACTTGGAAGGCTGAGGCAGGAGGGTTACTTGAGCCCAGGAGTTTGTGGCTGCAGTGAGCCATGATCACACCACTGCACTCCAGCCTGGATGACAGAGCAAGACCCTGTTTCTTTAAAAAATAACATAAAAATCACCCAGAGGGGCCTTAGAAATGGGCTGACCTGCCCCACTGCATTTAGGCCCCTACGTGCCTGTGTGACTGTGCCCAGCAACCTAGCCTTTGCAGGCCCCAAGTTGGGGAACCCAGGGGCCCTCTGTGCCCACAATGAACATGGGGGCATCCCTAAATCCCTGTCCTCACAGCCAACAGTGATGAAAGTGACATCATCCATTCAGTCCGGGTGGAGAAGAGTCCAGCAGGGAGGCTGGGCTTCAGCGTGCGCGGGGGCTCAGAGCATGGCCTGGGCATCTTCGTCAGCAAAGTGGAGGAAGGCAGCAGTGCAGGTAAGCAGAACCCCCAGGCTGAAGTCCACGCTTAGGATGTGACTCCAATCTCAGTGAATGGCAGGGGATGCTGCTGTCAGGGACAGACGGAAGAGTCCCCAGCTCTGGAGGGCCTGATTGATGGGGAGACAGGGCCAACCCTCAAGTCAGAATGGTTTAAGGGACAGATCCCTAGGCACTGGGAACACTCAGCCCCTGCTCTGACAATCCTCACTCTGATTGAGAAGCTCAGTTTGACCCCAGGGAGCTCCATCTGATGGGGGAGGCTCAGCCCCACCCTGGGGACCCATGCCAGCCACTCCCATCCTGTGGTGCAGAGCGGGCTGGCCTGTGCGTGGGGGACAAGATCACGGAGGTGAATGGGCTGAGCCTGGAGAGCACCACCATGGGTAGCGCCGTAAAGGTGCTGACCAGCAGCAGCCGCCTGCACATGATGGTTCGGCGCATGGGCCGTGTGCCGGGCATCAAGTTCTCCAAGGAGAAGACCACGTGGTGAGCAGCAACTCCCTCATCCTAGCCCTGGCCTTGCCCCAGCCCACCCCAACCCTACCAACACCCAAAACCCACTGGCAGGAGAGGCTTCTGTTCCTCCTGCTCGCTGGCTCAGGAAACGCAGGGGATCCAAAGGCCTGACCTCAAAATAAGGAGAGGCTGCATCTTTCCCCTGCCCTCCTCCAATAGCTCTGCTCTCCCAGATCCCAGTGGTTCTGCTGCCACATTGCCGCTGCTCCTGCTGTGAAACCCAGAGGCAAAACACCACCTCTCTACAGGGGTGCTGTAAGGATTAGAAATGGGGCCTAGCCTGGGCAACATAGCAAGACCCCTTCTCTAAAAAAAAAAAAAAAAAAAAAAAAAAAGCCGGGCATGGTGGCTCAAGCCTGTAATCCCAGCACTTTGGGAGGCTGAGGCAGGTGGATCACCTGAGGTTGGGAGTTCAAGACCAGCCTGACCAACATGGAGAAACCCCGTCTGTACTAAAAATAAAAAATTAACCGAGCGTGGTGGAGCATGCCTGTAATCCCAGCTACTTGAGAGGTTGAGGCAGGAGAATCACTTGAACCTGGGAGGCGGAAGTTGCAGTGAGCCGAGATCATACCATTGCACTCTAGCCTGGGCAGCAGGAGTGAAACTCCATCTCAAAAAACAAAACAAAACAAAAACAAAAAAACTGGGCATGGTGGGCATGTACCTGTAGTCCCAGCCATTCAAGAGGCTGAGGTGGAAGGACTGCTTGAGCCCAGGAGGTTGAGGCTGCAGTGAGCCATGATCACACCACTGCACTCCAGCATGGGTGGACAGAGCAAGACCCTGTCTCAAAAAAAAAAAAAAAAGGAATGGTCCTGGCACATTGCAGCTGCTCAATAAAAAGAGGCAATTAGGCTGGTTTCCCAGCTAATGAACCTATGCCCCACTGCAGGTCTCAGGCCTGGGGAGTCCCCCAAAGGCAACCCCCACTTTCCCTGCAGTTGTCAGAACTGCTGGGAGGGTGGTGGGTGGCAGTGGATGGAGGACCCCACCTGAGGGCCCCCTGCTGTTGTCCAGGGTGGATGTGGTGAATCGGCGCCTGGTAGTGGAGAAGTGCGGTTCAACACCCTCCGACACCAGCTCAGAAGATGGTGTCCGGCGCATCGTCCACCTATACACAACCTCCGACGACTTCTGCCTGGGCTTCAACATCCGTGGGGGCAAGGAGTTTGGCCTGGGCATCTATGTGTCCAAGTGAGGGCTGAGGCAGGAAGTGTCTTCGGGTAGAACTGAGAATGGGGTCTGGAGTGGGGCCTAGGCTGGGATGTGGGGATGGTCAGCAAGTGAGGCCTGGCCAACCACCTGTCTCAGTGAGGGCCTGGGAGGGGGCGGGAGGCCCCAGTAGGAGGGTCAAGGACCTTGACTGGTGCAGTCTTGTGTCCAAGAGAAGGGGGTCTGGAGTGGGGTAACGGAGGGCAGGCCAGGGGCCTATCAGACTGACGCCTGTCTGGCCTCAGAGTGGACCATGGTGGGCTGGCCGAGGAGAATGGCATCAAGGTGGGGGACCAGGTCCTGGCAGCCAACGGTGTCAGGTTTGACGACATCAGCCACAGCCAGGCCGTGGAGGTGCTGAAGGGCCAAACGCACATCATGCTGACCATCAAGGTGGGCAGAACAGTGGGGGTAGGGAGAGGTGAGGCTAGAGTAGGGGCTTCCCAGACCACCCTAGTTCTTAATAATGCTCTGCAATTTATGACGTTCCCACAGCCACTAGAAGGTAGACAGGCATTGTTCTCATCCCTGTTTTGAAGAAGAAGAAACAGGTTTAGAGAGGCACAGCAACTCACGAACAGGTCACTTACTCAGCTGGTCAGTGGCTGGGCTTGGTTCCAGTCCTGCTCCCCACAGTGCTAGAGTGGTGCCCCCTTCTTATGAAGGGTGGAGGCCTAGGGTTGAAAGGAACAAATGTCTTGCCCAGAAGGGAGGGGTGGTGGCTGCGGTTTGGACAGGACCTGGGTGATGGGCATCCCCAGGGCATACAGCTAGGAGGGCTGGGCTGGGGCCAGAGGTTGGATTTCACGGGAGGTGGCTGGATTCATTATTCATGTGGGTCTCACACTTGTCTGAGGATCAGGTCTTCTCATTCCGGCTCCTGGAGGATGCCACCTCACTCTCCCCTGGTGCCCAGCCCTGGCCCCTGCTCTACCTTTCTGCTTCCCTAAGCCTTCACTTGGGGTGAAGGCTTCACTGGGTGCCTCCTCTGCCGCCTTCCCCCGCCAATTTCTACCTCTCCCCCATCCCATTTTTCCTTTTCCTTCCTCTCAGATTATCCCAAACATCTTTCCTCACTCCCACTCTGCCCCTCATTCATTCAACAATATTTTTGAGCACCCACTATGTGCCGGCCACTGTGCCAGGTACTGGGGCTGCAACAGTGAACAGGACAGATAAGTTCTCTGCTACTGGAGGGAGACAGACCAATAAACTAGATGCTTGCAGATAGTGACAAATGCTCTAAGGAAATTAACAGAGAGATGGAATGGAGTAATTCAGGAAGGCCCCTGTATCTCAGGGTCAGGGCTGCCTCCAGGCAGAGTGAACAGCAAGTGCAAAAAGGAACTTGGCACGTTCAGAAAGAAAGTGGCCTGTGCGGCCAGAGCATGATGAATTTGGAGGACAGAAATGAAGTTGAAAGTTTACTCCCATCCTGTCACCCCCGCCCCATTCTCACTCTCCCTCCTCACTGCTCCCCCTTCCCTCCTATGCCCACCATCCCCTCCCCAGGAGACCGGCCGGTATCCTGCCTACAAGGAGATGGTTTCTGAGTACTGCTGGCTGGACCGACGTAAGTGGCTCAGATCTCCCAAGGTTGGAGGGAAAGGGCTGAGGCCTTAGGGTGGGGCCCGGCTCTCTGAAGAAGAAAAGGGCCAGGCTTGGTGGCTTACACCTGTAATCCCAGCATTTTGGGAGGCTGAGGTGGGAGGATCGCTTGAGTACAGGAGTTCAAGACCAGTCTTGGCCATATAGGTAGACCTCGTCTCTACAAATAATAATTTAAGCCGGCCGCGATGGCTCACGCCTATAATCCCAGCACTTTGGGAGGCTGAGGTGGGCGGATCACCTGAGGTTGGGAGTTCGAGACCAGCCTGACCAACATGGAGAAACCCAGTCTTTACTAAAAATACAAAGTAGCTGGGCGTGGTGGCCCATGCCTGTAATCCCAGCTACTCGGGAGCCTGAGGCAGGAGAATTGCTTGAACCCAGGAGGCAGAGGTTGCAGTGAGCAGAGATGCCATTGCACTCCAGCCTGGGCAATAAGAGTGAAACTCCATCTCAAAATAATAATAATAATAATAATAATTTAAAAATTAACTGGAGTGGTGGTGAGGGCCTGTGGTCTGTGCTACTTGGGAGGCTGAGGTGGGAAGATTGCCTGAGCCCAGGAGTTTGAGGCTGTGGTGAGCTGTGGAGCTGTGATTGTGCCACTGCACTCCAGCCTGGGTGACACAGTGAGAGCCTGTCTCAAAAAAAAAAAAAAGCCTGGCGCGGTGGCTTATGCCTATAATCCCAAAACTTTGGGAGGCTGAGGTGGGTGGATCACCTGAGGTCAGGTGCTCGAGACCAGCCTGGCCAACATGATGAAACCCCGTCTCTACTAAAAATACAAAAATTAGCTGGGTGTGGTGGTGGGCACCTGTCATACCAGCTACTTGGGAAGCTGAGGCACAAGAATCGCTTGAACTCAGGAAGTAGAGGTTGCAGTGAACCGAGATCACATCACTGCACTCCAGTCAGGGCCATAGAATGAGACTGTCTCAAAGAAAAAAAAAAGAAGAAGAAGAAAGAAGAAGAGGAGGAAGAAGAAGAAGAAGAAGAGGAGGAGGAGGAGGAGGAGGAGGAGGAGGAGGAGGAGGAGGAGGCAGAAGCAGAAGCAGAAGGGGAAGCAGAAAAGCACAGGAACCAAGACCCTTCACACAGTCCAGAGCTATTTCTGGGCTCCCCTCTGAGAATCTGCGGATAAAATGCAGGCTCTCCTAGGGTCTGGAGTCCCAGTGGGTGATTTGAGAAGTGACATGCCTTAGGTCAGTGGCAGCATTTCGGAGCAGCGGGTTCCTCACCACTGCGGTTCTAACCCTGGCTGCTGCCTGACCTTGCCTCCTCCACCCCTAAGCCCAAGGGTGGTCTGCAAGCCGGGCAGGGCTCTGAAGCAAGCCCGCTGATCCCTGGCTTCTCTACTCCCTGCAGTGAGCAACGGGGTGCTGCAGCAGCTGTCCCCGGCCTCTGAGAGCAGCTCCAGCGTCTCTTCGTGCGCCTCCAGCGCCCCCTACAGCTCGGGCTCCCTGCCGTCGGACCGCATGGACATCTGCCTCGGGCAGGAGGAGCCCGGCAGCCGCGGCCCAGGCTGGGGGCGGGCGGACACAGCCATGCAGACGGAGCCCGATGCGGGAGGCCGGGTGGAGACCTGGTGCAGCGTGCGGCCCACAGTCATCCTCAGGGACACCGCCATCCGCTCGGACGGCCCCCATCCCGGCCGCCGCCTTGACTCTGCGCTCTCTGAGTCTCCCAAGACGGCTTTGCTGCTGGCCCTCAGCCGACCCCGGCCCCCCATCACGCGCTCCCAGAGCTATCTGACCTTGTGGGGTACGTGGGGGATGGGTGGCGGCTGCTCCCTCCACAGCCTCTGGTCCAAAACCTGTCTCACATCCTGTCCCGGGCTCAAACCTCCCTTTGCCCCAGGCCTTGACGAAGCCCTTGCCCAACCCAAGCTCCAGGCTGCTCAGACCCTGCTGTGGGCTCCACTTTAAATTAGTCCTGGACCCCACATTCACCCTTAGTCTCAGCCCCTGTTCCCCGAACCAGCCCTAACCCCAGCCCCTGGATCCTGGAGTTCCCAGGCCTATTTACACACACAGTTGCTCAAACACACGCACGCATGTGTGCCCTTCTCTAACTGGGCCTCAAGGGAGATTCCTTACATAGCCACAGCTGTGCGGTGGGGAAAAGGGTCAGAAAGTCGGAAGAGGAACCGCACTCTCACCCCGGCGTAGCTGCAGATCCTGTCTGCCCTCTCCTCTCCCTTCTCTCTGTCCCTCCCCACACCCCTGCCCCTCGTCCTTCCCTTCTGCCCACCCCTCCAGCTCCCCCGTTGCTCCCTCGTGTCTGCAGAGGAGAAGCAGCAGCGGAAGAAGGAGAAGTCGGGGTCCCCTGGGGAGAAGGGTGCCCTGCAGCGCTCCAAGACGCTGATGAACCTCTTCTTCAAGGGAGGGCGGCAGGGGAGGCTAGCGCGGGACGGGCGCAGAGAGGCCTGGACACTGGACAGCGGGAGCCTGGCCAAAACTTACCCTCGCCTGGACATAGAGAAAGGTAAGTAGTGGGCTGATCAAACAGGAAGGCAAAGTGAAGTCCACTAGCTTCGGCATTCAGCAGTTCTGAGTTGAGATCCCACACCGCGTCTTACCAGCTGAGTCCCTACTCAACCCCTGAGAGCCTCAGTTTCCTCATGAGTAAAATGGGGGTAATAATACCTATTTCTTTTTCTTTCTTTCTTTTCTTTCTTTCTTTCTTTCTTTTCTTTCTTTCTTTCTTTCTTTCTTTCTTTCTTTCTTTCTTTCTTTCTTTCTTTCCTTCCTTCCTTCCTTTCTTTCCTTTCTTTCTTTTTCTTTCTTTTTTTTTTTTGAGATGGAGTTTTGCTCTTGTTGCCCAGGCGAGAGTGTAATGGCACCATCTCAGCTCACTGCGACCTGCGCCTCCCACGCTCAAGCGATCCTCCCACCTCAGCCTCCCAAAGTGCTGGCATGACACGTGTGCATCACCATGCTCAGCTAATTTTTTTGCATCTTTTTGTAGAGATGGGGGTTTCACCCTGTTGCCCAGGCTAGTCTCAAATTCCTGGACTGAAGCTATCTACCCGCCTTAGTCTCCCAAAGTGCTAGGATTACAGCGTGATCTACCACACCTGGCCAATCCCAACTACTCTGGAAGCTGAAGCAGCAAGATCACTTGAGCCCAGGAGTTTAAGACCAGCCTGGGCAACATAGCAAGACCCTGTCTCTAAAGAAAAAAAAAAAGTAAAAGAAAAATAAAGCACGTCTTGGCTCAGCTGCTGATTTAAGCTGGGTCTAAACATCTGAGCAACATCATCAGACATCTGTCCCCCTCCATCTCTCCCATGAGTTGACTTCGCTATTGTGGGGCTTTGCCCACCTGGGGGTAAGATGACCTCTATTGCATAGCAACCCCAGGGGAAAGTGCTTCTCCTTAAATAGTTCCAGCTGAAGTCCCAGGGTAGGCTCTCCCTGGCCCAGCTGAGATCCTGTGCCATGCAGAATAAATCGCTGTGATGTGGGAGGGAAAGTGCTTTTGTTGGCCAGCCTGGGTCATGTACCCACCCTGGAGTACACGGGCTAAGAACAGAGTGGGGTGGGTCCCCAGGGGAAAATCAGGGTGCTGTTTTCAGAAGAGGGGGGTGGATGTCGGATCAACAAAACAACCAGAGGATGAGGAGCTGGACCCTGCTTTGCCCTGGGGTGGGATGTTCTGGGGTCTCAAGGTGATTGTACCATGGGAGAGACAATCCCTTCCAATTACGGCTGCCTGGCCCCTCTCCGTCAGTGCATCTCTCTTCCCACAGTTCCCAAGTCCCTGCCCTCTGCTGGTTCTCCTCCCACCTCTCTGGCCACTCCTCTATCTCCTTCCAAGGCTCCTCTTTTTCCCTCTGTCCCCTGAAGGTAGGTACTTCTCCAAGCTCTGTCCCTGAGGTTCTTCCCTCCATACATTTGCTTCCAAGTGAATTTGCATAAGCAGTGCTCAGACTGCACCCTGTTTTGATCCAAAACCGTCCTGACTCCCCATTGCCTATGAAGGAAGTCCATAGCCTGAGCATTGCCTTCAAGCCCCTCAGGGCCAGGCCTCTTGCCTCCCTATCCCACCTACTTCCAGTCTGAATTCTCCATTCCAGCTTGTCCTGAGCCCTCCTGAACCCCATTTTCAGACTGGGGGCCAAGGCCTGCAGCTGAGCCTCTTTCTTCTTCATAGCAGGGGGCGTGGGCCCGGTACAGAAGTTTGTCACCTGGAGACTGAGACGTGGTAATTCATGCATCCCTTTACCAAGGCCTAGTTTACAGTAGAGCGGCAGATGAGGGTGCATACTGGGGGCCAGCTGAGTGGCTCTGGACTAAATTCAGTCAGGGTCAAGCATGGGGGATCAGGCAGCTAGAATGGTATGTATTGGGGGCAGCTAAAAGAATTGGACTAAGCTGACTAGGAAAGATAGGGTGGCAGACAGATATTGGGATGCATTTTAGGAGCTTGTGTTGGGACTCCCAAAGATATATTTGGGGGTGATGAGGGAGCCTGTGCTGGGCCTCCACTGGGCAACAGACTACTATGACAGTGCATGTTCAGGGGGCCCTGGGGGCACTGGGCTAAGACCCCATTAAGAAACAGACTGGTATAGGGGTCCATGTTGGGGCTGAGGGCTGGGGTTTGTGCTGCATTGGTGGGCAGGTTGCTGTGGGCTACCATGGTGGGGAGCATATAGGCTAGGCTAGGATTCTGCCCCAGGTACCTGGGCTCTCAGCTGGCCAATTCTGGGGCCCAGCCCTGCTGAGGGAAGCCCCTCTCCCCTCCCCTGATGGTTCCTGCCCTGCAGACCAGGAGAGGGGCCGGGCCCTGCTGTCTGCCAGGTCTGGGAGTCCCTCCAGCCAGCTGCCTAATGTGGATGAGCAGGTTCAGGCCTGGGAGAGCCGGCGGCCCCTCATTCAGGACCTGGCCCAGAGGCTGCTGACTGATGACGAGGTGCTGGCTGTCACCCGCCACTGCTCCCGGGTAAGCCTTCATCCCATCCGCAGCCCTGGCACACGGTCCTTCAGTCACCCAGCCCATCATTCATTCAGGCCACTGTCCACTGACCAGTGTCTGGGCTTGACACCAGGAGGCTAGTGGTCAGTAAAATCAGAAGTCACTCCTGTCACACACACACACACACACACACACACATCTGCCAGCTCACAGGAAGAAGAGCTAGAAAATCACTAGAACCTAAACGCCCATGGTGATGAGTCACATGAAGAGCTGAAGAAAAAGAACATGAGACGGTAACCCAGGAGACACACATTAGATGGTGTGGGCTGGGAGGCCCTCCTAGAGGAGGTGATATTTAAGCTGAGAAGAGAAGGAGCGGACAGGTGCCACGTGGGGAAAGTGAGTCCCTGCAGTCGCCTGCCTCTGCCCTCTGCAAGCCTCCATCCTTCACTGCATGCCACCCTCTGCTCCTAGGTCAGCCAGTAAGCCTGGCTTCATGCCAGGTCCTCTCCCCTGTTGCCCAAGTAAGTAATCCTTTGCCTCCCCCAACACCTAAACTGTCGTTCTCTGTTCTCTTCCACTTCAAAAAGAACCAGAGCGCCCCAGGGTGGAGAGAGAGTCAGATTTGAAGGAGTCTCTGGGGCCCACCTGTTGGGGAGGCTGTGGGGCACAGGTCACTCACTCCAGGACTGGCAGGTCCTCTCCTGTCCCTGTCTCAGGAAGGCCTGTGTGTGTACACTGGGCTCTTTGTGAGGAGTCTGCACACTGTGTGTGAGGGCGAGCTGGGGGGTCTTGAAAAATTGTTTGTGGATTCCCTCACCCTTCATCTTACTCAAAGTGGGGCTGTGTTGTATGTCTGTGTGGTGTGTGCACTGGCGTGTCTGTGGGGTACCTGGTTTGTACTGATATGACTGCATGATTGTGTGTGTGTGTGTGCATGTGAGCAAGCACGTGTCTGGCTAGCGTGTGTGTGTGTGTGTGTGTGTGTCCATGCATTGTCACCTGGAGACTGAGACATGGTCATTTATGCATCCTGTTATCAAGGCCCGGTTTGCAGCAGAGCTGCAGATAGGGGTGTGTGCTGGGGGAAGCTAAGGGGCTTTGGGCTAAACTCAGAAAGTGTCACCCTTAGCTCCCAGCGCTAAGTAGGGCAGCGTGTACCAGCCTCCAGTGGGCCGGCAATGCAGGCTTTGGCCACGAGGTGGGGCTCTGGGTCTGTCTCTTTGGAGGCTCCTTTTCCCTCATCCCTCCCTTCTCCTCTGCCCAAACCTCCCACTTGTGCCCCCATACCACCTGCCGAGCTCAACCACCACCCAAACCTGACCCAAGCCCCCCACACCAAGAGATCAGACCCTCTGCGATGGAGCCCTGGCTGGAGTGATGAGTAAAGTTCTCCTAGTGACTGGGGCATGTAGCCCTGAACTCCAGGCTTCCCTTCTCTCCCCATGTGAGCCATCTCTCTACAGCTGCCAGACCAGGAATCAGAAACCCCTGTCTGGTTGGCCAGGCACGGTGGCTCACGCCTGTAATCCCAGCACTTTGGGTGGCCGAGGTGAGCGGATCACCTGTAGTCAGGAGTTCGAGACCAGCCTGTCCAACATGGTGAAACCCCATCTCTACTAAAAATACAAAAAAAAAAAAAAATAGCTGGGCATGGTGGTGGGCGCCTGTAATCCCAGCTACTCGGTAGGCTGAGGCAGGAGAATCGCTTGAACCCTGGAGGTGGAGGTTGCAGTGAGCCAAGATCGTGCCATTGCACTCCAACCTGAGAACAAGAGCGAAAATCCATCTCAAAAAAAAAAAAAAAAGAAAGAAAAGAAACCCCTGTCTGATCGCTGTACACTCCCCAGGCCACCTGGTGACCCATTGTCTTTGGCAGAGGTGACCCATTGTCTTTGGCTCTCACATTCGAGGTCCTCCCAGATTCAACTCCCTAACCCACCAACCTCCACTTTCCCACGGCCGCCGCATAGGTTTATACAGGTTACAACCTGCACAACCTCAGAGACGCTACTCATATAGTCACAGCCTGTGCAGCAGCCCTGCAGGGAGGCTCTTCATGGACCCCATGGCCACGTTTAAACCACTATCTACTCGTTTTTCCACACCACCTTTGCAACACTTTCTTCCCAACTTTTGTGCTGTTCCCTACGTCTATCTTCTAAGAGTCAGTCAAAATACCACCACCTCCATGAAGCCCACTGGGATCTTCCCACCTTCCTCTGAGACTCCCTGTGCCCCATTGCCCATGGTTTGTAGTTCACCAGGGTATGTGACTCATCTTCCCCTCGCTCCCACTAGACCCAGTTCCTGAAGATCTGAGACAGGATCATTGTGCCCCTGCTGGCCAGTACAGGGCCTGGCACTTAGTAGGTACCGAATCCAAGTCCATGGACTTAAAGCGTGTGCACATATGAGGCTGGTTCTGCACCACATGTGTCTCTCCAGACAAAAGGGAATGTATTATTGATATGTGTATGTGTGAGTCGCTGTAACTGTGTGTGGTTTGGGGCCACACACATCATTTGTATTGTATTTATTTCCAGATATTTATGAATGACTCACTCTGACCACCAAGGCATGCTCTGTCTCTGTGCCTGTGCCCATAGAAAGTGTTCTATGCGTGCGTGTCCCTGACTCAGTCTCCCTCTTGCCACGAGGGGGCGATGTGCTGTCCAAATGGGATGGCTCCCAGTGTTCAGGTCTTCAGAGTCAGTGGGGTGTGGCTGGTGGCATCCGGGCAGTGCCAGGCAGAAGGGGCTCCACCCCGCCCCCCTCCAAGGGAACTGATTGGAGAGGCCCTTCCCCAAGGCTCCTATTCTAGCCCCGAACAAAGCCTAATTTGTAGGTCTGTGTGCAGACATATGCTGGGACAGCCAGGCACACAGCCTAGAGTTTGGCTCAAATTCCTTCCTTCTGCCTGGGATGTGGGGGTGGGGAGGAGAGTCCACTCCCTGCACATCCTTTTCCGGCACCAGAGCAGGCAAGAGTTAGACTTCCCGGGTTCCAGTCCCTCTTCACACTTCCTTATCTGTGTGGCTTTGAGTGAAGTCCTTCTCTCTGAGCCTGTTTCCGCATCTGTAAAACGGGAATAATTAATGCCATTTCTCAGGGTGGTTGCTGAGAGACAGTATGTAAAAGGCTTAGAAAAGTGTCTGTCCCAAAGCTGTTATCGATGCTGTTGCCATTTATTGCAGGTCTGTTATTACTGCAGGCTTCCACCCTGTCACCAAGATCAGACCACCCTGTGGCAGCTGGGGGTGGAGTGAACCTTTCCCAAGGCACGCAGGGCTGGATAGGTCCCTACATGCGTAGAAGAAACACCTGCATGCCCTGGTGTCCCCCTCACTCAGCTCTGGAAGCCCCCACTGCTGTCTGACCTGTGCTGCCTCTATCTGCAGTATGTGCACGAGGGAGGCATAGAGGACCTGGTGAGGCCCCTGCTGGCCATCCTCGACAGGCCGGAGAAGCTGCTACTGCTGCAGGACATCAGGTGGGAGGAGGTTGCAGAGAGGGCTTGGGGGCAGGAAGGGGATCCCTGGTACCACCCCCAACCTCCCGAGGGCTGAAGGGCATCCTGGCACCTCCGGAACTGAAATCCTGCCTGCCCCTCCCACCCCTGCTGTCTCTCGCCCTCTCCCAGGAGTGTGGTGGCCCCCACAGACCTGGGCCGCTTCGACAGCATGGTGATGCTTGTGGAGCTGGAGGCTTTTGAGGCCCTCAAGAGCAGGGCAGGTCAGCAGTGGGGGGCGGGGCTTCTGGGTCCTGAGCCCTGCTGGGGGTGGGGATGGGACCCCGTGGTGGAGAGGGCTGCAGAGATTGCCGAGCCCCTTGAGCTGCCTCCGTCCCGGAGCCTGGCGGGGTACCTTGCCGCTGACCTGTTCATCTCTCCAACCAGTCCGGCCTCCTGCTTTGAGACCAGCCCGGCAGGACACGCCACCCAAGCGTCACCTTATCACCCCCGTGCCTGGTCAGTCAGAGTCCCAGAGCCCAGGGAGGGGCACAGCCCTGGGGAGATTAGGGAAAGGAGGATGGGCCTTCTACTTCTTTCCCCACTAGGGGCAGTTGTGGCTTCCAGGCACATTGTGGTTCCCTGAAGGAAAGCTCTTGTCCACCAGAGCCATTTTATCACATCTGCTGGTCACCACCTGTACTATTACTTAATAGTTGGTTTGAAACCCACTCACTTTTAAAATCTAGTCTCATTCTATGCAGTAACCTCTGAGAAATTACGTTTGGTGTGCTAGTCGTATTTTTTCTTAGACACATTAAAATAGAACGGTAACGATTCCAGCAGGAAGCATTAAAATGTAATTCTAGGCCGGGCGCGGTGGCTCACGCCTGTAATCCCAGCACTTTGGGAGGCTGAGGCGGGTGGATCGCTTGAGGTGAGGAGTAGAGACCAACCTGGCCAACATGGCGAAACCCCGTCTCTACTAAAAATACAAAAATGACCTGGGCTTTTTGGTGCACGCCTGTAATCCCAGCTACTCCGGGAGGCTGAGGCAGGAGACTCGCTTGAACCTGGGAGGTGGAGGTTGCAGTGAGCCAAAATCGCGCCACCACGCCTGGGCAACAGAGTGAGATTCCATCTCAAATAAATAAATAAGCGATTCTAATAGAACATGTCTGTCTGCCTCCCCGGTGGGTGGGCCGCACTGCAGTGGTGCCTGAACAAACTCGGGCCTGGCTCTCACAGGCCCCACACAAACCAAAGCAAGGCCTGGGTCCTGGAGAGGGGAGGAGTGGGCAGCTGACCTTGGCGCTCTTCCCCAGACAGCCGCGGAGGCTTCTACCTGCTGCCGGTGAACGGCTTCCCGGAAGAGGAAGATAATGGGGAGCTGAGGGAGCGGCTGGGGGCCCTCAAGGTCTCCCCAAGTGCCTCTGCCCCTCGCCACCCCCATAAAGGGATCCCCCCTCTACAAGACGTGCCAGTAGATGCCTTCACCCCCCTCCGAATTGCCTGCACACCCCCTCCCCAGCTACCCCCCGTGGCTCCCCGGCCCCTGCGGCCTAACTGGCTGCTGACAGAACCCCTGAGCCGAGAGCACCCTCCGCAGAGCCAGATCCGGGGCCGGGCTCAGAGCCGTAGCCGCAGCCGTAGCCGCAGCCGCAGCCGCAGCAGCCGGGGTCAAGGCAAGTCTCCAGGTAGACGCTCCCCATCCCCGGTGCCTACCCCTGCCCCCAGCATGACCAATGGGCGCTACCACAAGCCTCGGAAGGCCAGACCCCCTCTGCCACGACCTCTGGATGGGGAGGCAGCCAAGGTGGGGGCCAAGCAAGGGCCCTCGGAGAGTGGAACTGAGGGGACGGCCAAGGAGGCAGCCATGAAGAACCCCAGTGGCGAGCTGAAGACAGTGACACTGTCCAAGATGAAGCAGTCCTTAGGTGAGTCCACGTGGGACTGGGCCCGGCAGAGGACACTAGGAAGCCTGGGCCTAGGAAAAGAATCTGGAGGAGTATTGGGCCAGGCGCAGAGGCTCACACCTGTAACCCCAGCACTTTGGGAGGCTGAGGCAGGCGGATCACTTGAGGTCAGGAGGTCAAGACTAGCCTGGGCTACATGGCGAAACCCCGTTTCCACTAAAAATACAAAAGAATTAGCCGTGTGTGGTGGTGGGCGCCTGTAATCCCAGCTACTCAGAAGGCTGAGCGGGAGAATCACTTGAACCCAGGAGGCGGAGGTTGCCGTGAGCCCAACTGAGGTTGCGCCACTGCACTCCAGCCTGGGTGACAGAGTAAGACTCTGTCTCAGCCGGGCGCGGTGGCTCACGCCTGTAATCCCAGCACTTCAGGAGGCCCAGGAGGGTGGATCACCTGAGGTCAGGAGTTCAAGACCAGCCTGACCAACATGGAGAAACCCTGTCTCTACTAAAAATACAGAATTAGCCTGACATGTTGGCACATGCCTGTAATCCCAGCTACTAGGGAGGGTGAGGCAGGAGAATCGGCTGAACCCGGGAGGCGGAGGTTGCGGTGAGCCGAGATCGTGCCATTGCACTCCAGCCTGGGCAACAAGAGTGAAACTCCGTCTCAAAAAAAAAAAAAAAAAAAAAAAAAGACTCTGTCTCAAAAAATAAATAAATAAAAGGGAATTTGGGGTATTGGGGTGCAGTTGGGTGGGGTCTAGATTTGAGGGGCTGGGATCTGGAGGATTTTGGAATGAGTTGAGATTTGAGTAGTAACAGAATGTAGGGATGTGGGAGAAGTTGGGGCCTTGGATTTGGGGATGGGATTCTAGGTTTCTCCAGGGAGCTTGCATTTTGGGGTCCGGCTGCACTCTCACACGGTGTTTCTCCCTGTCACTAGGTATCAGCATTTCTGGGGGCATTGAGTCCAAGGTGCAGCCCATGGTGAAGATAGAGAAGATCTTCCCTGGGGGGGCCGCTTTCCTCAGTGGGGCCCTGCAGGTGGGTGAAGCATGCCCTGGCCCACCCTCTCAGAGCACAGCTGAAACCAGGCAGGAGGTGGGGCTGGCCATGCTCAGCTTCCAGCCAGACATGTTTAGCCCGGGTTGTGGGAGGAGGCTTGGGGTGAGGGGGTTCAGGTGAGCAGGATGAGCAGGCCCAGGGAAAACTCTGTCCCCTCATGCTAGCCTGAGCCTGAGCCCCAAGGGACAAAGAGCCCTTGTCTGTGCCCCACCCTGCCCCCAACAACTGCAGGCACAAAAGTCTCATTGTCCATCCCCTCCACCCAGATGGGGGAGGAGTGTCCTCATGGGTGGAGGTGAGAAGATGCTGCCTTCAGGTTGGGGGCTGATGCAGGGTGACATGAGGAGGGAGGGATGTGACTCTCTCACCCCACCCTAGGCTGGCTTCGAGCTTGTGGCAGTGGACGGAGAGAATCTAGAGCAGGTGACCCACCAGCGTGCAGTAGACACCATCCGTCGGGCTTATCGAAACAAGGCCCGGGAGCCCATGGAGCTTGTGGTCAGGGTCCCCGGGCCCAGCCCACGGCCCTCACCCTCTGACTCATCAGCCCTTACTGATGGGGGCCTTCCTGCTGACCACTTGCCTGCCCACCAACCCCTTGATGCTGCTCCAGTTCCTGCCCACTGGCTCCCAGAACCTCCCACCAATCCCCAGACTCCTCCCACTGATGCCAGGCTCCTCCAGCCAACTCCCAGCCCAGCCCCCTCCCCAGCCCTCCAGACTCCTGATTCTAAGCCCGCACCCTCCCCACGCATCCCATGACCCTCCCCCTAACCTCAGATTCACCCACTGACTCCAGCATCCCGTTATCCCCAGGACCTCTCCTACCAACTTCTTCAGGACTCTCCAGCTCCTGCCCACCCTGCCTCCTCCCAGTGCCACACTGGTGGCTCACATCTTTCCACTTTCTTCCCTCCTCAGCTGTCATTAAGGCTCTGCCTTAGTGTCCAAGGACAAGGTGCTAGTGGGCAGCCTGTGTCACCTGCACTCACTGCTCCCCAACCTCCCAAGCCAGGATAGGGGGTGAGAAAGCCAAGGTCTGGAGCTTGGGATTGGTGGGCACTTTCTCACATGCTGTCCCTTATGAGTCGCCCAAGCCTCCAGGGACACAGACTCTCAGACAGGGCCCTGAAGGGGTCAATGCATCCATTCCTCAACCCCAAGCAGCATTCTGTGCAAGGAAACGGATGAAAGGCTTTTCTAGTCCCTGAAATCCTGAGAGATCATTTCACGTTGGGGTCCACTAAGACCTCAGACATTCTACTGGATTTGTCCTTCCTCCATCACCTTTTCTCCCCAAGAGAGCTCTATGAGGGGGAGGAGAATAGCCAGCAAATGGTGGGGGGGGGGGGGTCAAACAAGTTCCTGTACTCTTTATCCAGCACATTCACATTATTTTTAAACAAAAAAATTTTTTTTAATTTTTTCTTTGGGTTTGTACAAGAAATTTACAGTGTGAAAAATATACAAGTGAAAACGAGGCCATAAACCTGGGTGAAGGGAGAGGCTGCTTGGTCACAAACACAAATAAACAAGACATTTCTGAGTTCTTCCTTTGGTCTGACTTCAGCCCCCTCACTCCAGGAGAGAGGCTGCAGAGCTCAAACCTGGGAACCGAGCCCAGGCCCGGCCCTGTCCCCCAATGTGGGCAGGCACATCCGGAGCAGCTGGTGCCATCTGGCTTTCTCTGGCTTTGGGGTCGGGGGGAATGTGAAGAGGAGGGAGCCCCTTCTTCTTCCCTGCTCCCCTGGCTGGAGTGGGCTGGAAGCGCCTGTGAACAGGGTTGGCAGTGGCACTGGCAGCGGTGGGGAATGAAGTGGGTAGTAACAAGAGCCTCTGGGTAACAGTGAACACGGGGACCTTTGAGCGGTCTGATCTTGCTCCTCCAAGTCATAGGGCCACCCTGAGTTCTTGGCAGAAGCCCAGAGGCCTGGATCCTAGGAGACAAGTGGCTTTGGGGCCCTCAGCCTTTGGGGCCATCCGTGGACCCTGGGGCCTAAGTGGATCTGCAGCTGCTGCCCCTCTGGCAGAGCTCCCTACAGAGCTGGTTGCTGAGGGCCCTAGATCTCAGTAGCAGTGATCTCCTCCAGGCAGATGCAGGGGGCCTGCTCGGCCAGGCCCAGGTCAGCGAGCTCCCGGGCCTCCAGCTCCAGGCTGAGCTGCTGCAGCTCCTGCTCTAGCTGCCGGTTGCGCCGGTACATCTGGATGTAGTTGTGCTGCAGCTGCTTCTGGTAGCGGATCACCTGCTCCTTCTCTGCCTGCCAGGCCAGCCGCTCCCCCTCAAAGCTGTCCCGCTGCTCCTCACCCCGCCGCCGCTCCCGCTGCAGCTCCACCCGCAATCGCTCCACCTGGGCCCGCAAGCTGCCCCCAACCCCGGCTGCTGCCCGCTGCACTTTGGCCTCATCACTCTCTGCCAGGAGGAATGGGTCAGCGGTGGCAGGTGGCACAGGGGGCTCCCGGAGTCCGGCCGCCTCAGCATCCAACTGCCCAGCTTTCTCCCGCAGCTGCTCAGCTTCCTGGCGGTGTCGCTGCAGCTCCTGGGAACAGGCTTCCAGCTCCAGCTCCCGAGCTCGGGCGGCCTCCTGTAGACCCCGCGCACGGCCCTCACTGACCCGCAGCGTAGCACGGGCCTCCCGCAGCGCCACCCGCAGAGCCACCAGCTCGCTGCCCTTCTGCACCAGCTCTGCCTGAGACTCTTTCAGCTGCTGCTTCAGCAGGGAGATCTCGCCTGATTTCTGGCACACCTGGGGGTGGGAGGAAGTGGGGAAGGATGGTGAGACAGGTTCTCCTGGGGGGACAGGCCCTGCACATCATGCTGGGCATTTGGGAGAGAAGAGTCCATCTTTATCCCCATTTTACAGATGGAGACACTAAAGCAAGTCTAGTGACATGTCCAAGGTCATACAGTTAAGATGGGGCTTAAGTGGAAAGCAGACCTAGAACTTTTTGCTTCAAAGCTGGTGTCTTCAAAGCATCACAAGACACTGCAAGTACCACCAAGCCCTGGGGACTGGGGACTGGGGACTGGGTCCTGGCAAGTGCTGCAGGAGTGGGGACAATGGAGGGCAGTGCCCAGGTGCCTGCTGGAGAGGTACTACAGTGACCTAGTTAAGAGCTCAGATATTGGAGCCAGACTGCCTGGGTTCAGATTTGGGGCTTCAGCCTTTATGGGCCTCAGTTTACTCATCTCTAAAATGGGGAGACTAATGGTAGCCCCCTCAGTGTTGTTATAAGGATGAAATGATCTGTTCCATGTAACATGCTTAGAATAGTGCCTCCACACCACAAGCACCACATTCTTACTACTGGCTGGAAGCGTGGCTACGTGCCACTAGACAAGGCCAACAAGGAGACCCCCCTCCCAGAAAGGGACAGAGGGGAACCTCATCTCACGGAGGTGAGAAAGGGGAGGACCTCTGGGGGTGGCAGGCTGAGGGAGGGTGGGGCTGGGCCCCTTTTTCCAGGGTTTCTCCCTGTGTGACCCTGCTCCCTGCCCCTCCTGGTCTGGCCCACCTCCCACTTGGTCTCCTCAAGCCTCGGCCCGAGCTCCCGCTGCTCCCGCTCCAAGGTGGCGCAGCGCCGCTCCAGCTGTTCGCGCTCCTGCAGCAGCTGTGCGAAGTCGTCCTGCAATTGCCGCTTCTCCTGCTGCAGCTGGAACACCTGCAGCTGCAGCAGCTGTTGGGCCCGCTGTGCCCGCTGTGCCTGGGCCGCACAGTCCTCTCGCAGGGCCTCACGCTCTCGCTGCCAGTGCCGCTGCCGCTCCTCGTATGCCTGCAGGCGAGAAGAGAGACCTGGCTCCTGGGCAGTTTTCCCAACTCCCCACTCAGTGTCTGCTCTGGCAGCCCACTTCCGAGGGCTCAGGAAGGGTGGATTCCATTAAACAACAATAGTAATTGCAACAACAATACTAACTGCTTTTATGATGATCATAGAAACAAACACAAGAGCAAGCAGACCGGGCTCGGTGGCTCACGCGAGGTGGGTGGATCACTTAAGCTCCGGAGTTCGAGACCAGCCTAGGCAACACAGCAAAACCCTGCCTCTCCAAAGACCAAAAATTAGCTTGGTGTGGTGGCATGCGCCTGTAGTCTCAGCTACTTGGGAGGCTGGGGTGAGAGGACTGCTTGAGCCCAGGGGGTTGAGGCTACAGGGAGCTGAAATCACGCCACTGCTCTCTAGCCTGGGTGACAGAATGAGACCTTGTCTCAAAAAATAAAAAAAGCAAGCACTTGGCCGGGTGCAGTGGCTCACGCCTGTAATCCCAGCACTTTGGGAGGCCGAGGCAGGTGAATCACTTGAGGCCAGGGGTTCGCGACCAGCTTGGCCAACATGGTGGAAACCCTGTCTCTACTAAAAATAAAAAATAATAAAAAATTTTAAAAAAGGCAAGCATTTATATAGCACTTCCTAGGTACCAGGCATTAGTCTAATCACTTTACACCTTTTGCCTTATTTAATCCTCATAATAATCCTACGAAGCTAGAAATATCCCTATATAGATGAAGAAATAAAGGCTGAGTAAAGTTAAGCAACTTGCTCAAGCCCAAAAACTAGTATTTGGCAGTGGGAGGTTTGAATCCATGCACTCTGACTCCTTTCCACCCCACAAGTTTTGTTTTTTGTTTTGAGATAGAGTCTTGCTCTGTCGCCCAGGCTGGAGTGCAATGGTGGAATGTCAGTCCATTGTAACCTCCTCCTCCTGGGCTCCAGTGATCCGCCCACCTCAGCCTCCCAAGTAGCTGGGACTACAGGTACATGCCACCACACTTAGCTAATTTATTTTTAGTAGAAATGGGGTTTCCCCATGTTACCCAGGTTGGTCTCAAACTCCCGAGCTCAAGCAATCCGCCCACCTCGGCCTCCCAAAGTGCTGGGATTACAGATGTGAGCCACCACACCTGGCTACTCCACACATTAAACCAGACAACTGGTGGGGAGGGCAGGGGGGTCACAACTACAACTACCCAACCCCCGTTCCCTGCCAAAATGGAAATGCCGCTTGCATCCCAGGGCCTTGGGATGTCCTGCCATGCCCCTTCCCCATCATTGCCTCTGACCACACCTGGCACATGGTAGCCTCATTCTCGTCCAGACTGTCCCGCAGCTGCTGAAGCTCTGCCTCCCGGTCTCGGAGCTTTCCTTCCAGGACACAGTGCAGCAGGGCCTCATCCGAAGGAGGTGGAGGCGGGGGTGGTGGTGAGCGCTCCCCACAGGAGCTGCTGTCAGGGGAGGCCCGAGTACCACTGCCCAAAAGCCCCCCAGCCACACGGCCCCCTAGGGAGCCTGTGCTCTTGCTGGAGGAGGACCGGCCACTGTCTGAGTGGGAGGGCCCAGTAGGGACCCCTCGGGCTGGCCCAGGCAGTGCCCCTCGCCCAGAGCCATGGGAAGGCAGGTGCCCGCCTGGGGAGCTGGTGGTTGGCTCGGCACCTCCGGTGCTGTAGGTGGGCAGGCTGGACAGTGAGTTTCGGCCAGAGTCGGATAGCGTCCCTGATGGGCAGCCACTGGCCCAGCCACTAAATGCCAGGGGTTTGTCAGCAGCTGAAGAGGAGGAGGAAGAGGAGGAGGAGGAGGCAGGGCCCCCAAACAGCTGCGTCAGGCTGCCCTGGCTCCCAGACAGCCCGGTGGCCCGAGGACCCATGAAGCTAGGCAGGGACGGAGCCCCTCGAGGTTTGGGCAGCACTGGCTTGAAGGCTGTTGGGCGGATCAGGATCTTCTCCATGTTCTGAAATGAGGTGCCATGTGACACTGGAGATGAGCTGCCCAATCTTGCAGAGCCCTTATGACACTCCCTGCCCTCCCGTCTTGGGTCCCCAGTGCCCATATATTCATAACAATTGCGGCCACTGGTGGAGGTGGCCACCAGTGTCAGCTTTGTGTCAAGCAATTTGAAAAGTTTATCTCCATTATCTAAATATGATCACTATCCCCATATTACAGATGAGGAAATGGAGGCTCAGCAAGGTTAAAGGCCTTGCCCAAAGTCAAACGTATAACTGGTGCAGAATAACCAGAACGTAAGCAACTAGCACTTACTGCGTACATGCTACGTGCTAGGCACTATGCTATACATTATTTGACCTTCATGTCAGTTCTAGAAACTGAGGCTCAGGTTAAGTGACTTCCCTGAGGTCACACATCCAGAATGAGAGAGAGCTGGGATTAGGACCCAGGTCTGGTGAATCTGGAGCCCACACTCTTTCCTCTATATAAGCTTCTAAATTCCAGTTTCCCAAGCGAGGACTCCCGTTCTACCCAGGCCCACAAGGAAGAGCCGGTCCTCACCTTCTCCAGCTTTCCAGAGACAGGGATGAGCTTTGGTGGTGGGCCGCGGAGGTGGGCATTGTGTGCCCGCTGCTCTCGGGCATCCTCAACATCACTGCTTGGGCTGGGGGGTGACTCTGTCCGGAAGTCCTCATTGATGTAGGTGAAGCTGGTGACAGGGACAGCCTTCCTAGGGGGCACAGCTGGGCACAGCGGCTCCTGTGCCTCATAGCCACCCCGTAGCAGGCCATCCTGCTGGCGGAAGAAGGTGGGCCCAGGAGGGCCGTGGTGGCGGGGAGGAGCTGGCCCCCCGGGACAGGGCCGGCCTGAGATAAGGCTGCTCACACTACCCATGACTGGAGCTTGTGGGGCAGTGGCAGCTTCAGGAGCAGGCTCCAGTGGCACTGGCAGAGTCTGCACAATGGCCATGGTGGCAGAGGCTCAGGCCTGGCCAGCGGCCTCGCAGGCGACCTGTAAGCAGGGCAGTGGTGTCAGAGTCCCTCCACCTTGAGACCCCTCCTGACCCACTGATCCTGACCAAACACCTCCTTGACATCAGTAACAAGCCCTGATCCCCACCAAGACTCCCCCTTCAAGTGCTGGAATGAATCTCAATTCCCCCTGGGCCCCAAACCACACTGCCCAATGCTGGTCTGAACAGGGCTGAGGAGTGAATTCACTCAGCAGAGATGCTGAGAGGCATGGGAGGCCTGGATGATTACCGCAGGGCCACCTGGCAGCAAAGACCCAGGCCCAAGCCCAATCCTGCATCCTCCACAGAGGCCAGGACTCAGGTGAGGGAGGGGCCTTCTCTACCAGCTTGAAGCACAGGTCCCTGGTCCTCTCAGCCAGGTGGCCTCATTACAGGGCAGTTTGGGCAGAGGTACCTCAGGGGTGCAATCAGCACCTCAGATGGTAATTAGGGAACAAAGAGCCAAGGCCAGGCAGTGCCCTGCCTCCCTCTGCTGGGCCTCAGTTTCTCTCAGACAGAAAGGCGGCTAAACTGCCTCTCTGTCGATCTGGCTAAATAAGAAACCCGCGGCTCTTAGGGAGTCCACAGGTGTCCTTTGGGGTCTCCTGCCTCCCAGAGGTGGATGCAGGCTCATACCAGTTTCCATGACAACTCCTAGCCTCTGCACACCCAATCGGTGAGGCCTGAAGGCCTGAAGGAGCCTCCACAGGCTCTGCCCCACTGCCAACCTCTCTGAAACCCTACAGCTTCAGAAGGTCCCCAAACTAACCCTGAGGGGAGGAAGGTAGATGCCCTGCCTTCACCTCTGGAGGCTGCTCCAAAACCTCACTTCCACAGAGCCCAGGCAAGAGGGCTCCACCTCCCCAGGCTCTGCTCCTTCCTGGAAGCAGCTGCAAGCCTCCACCCGGAACCCCCTCCCTAGTCCCAGTCCCGAGGCCGCTGATGACCAGGACTTAGGCATCTGCTGAAGTCATCATGCAGAGCGGGGCCAAGAAGTGGACAGAGAATTGCACTGGGAGTAGGAGTGTGTGCATTTAGTTATTTGTTGTGTGACTACATGCACAGGAGCATGAAAATGAACACGTGTGTATGAAAATGTGTGTGAAAACATCATGTGAGTCTATGCATGTTTGATATATCAGTTCATTCACATACATATGAGTTCATGTGTGAATTCACATGTGTATATCTTAGAAGAGTATGTGGATCAGGGGTCATTAGAAAGCCTGTGAAAGTTATAAATGTGGATCTAACAAGTGAATTTGTGGTGTGTGGGAGAGACGGTGCCTGGACAGACTTGTCAGTAAGTTCATGAGTTTATGTGTGAGCTCCTGTGTTTGTGTGTGACTAGGAAGGTGAGTGGTGCAGTGGAGCCTGTGAACGTGGGCACGCAGGTATGAGAGTGGTGGGAGCCTGGGTGGCTTGAGGGCCCATTGGTGGGGGGAGCCTGTTTCCTTCTCTCTTCGGCGTGTGGGGAGAGGTGGGACATTATCTAACTCCTTTGCCTGATCTGTTCCCCTTCTTTCTCGCATGCCCTCCATTAAATCCACCGCCCTCCTTCCCACCCAAGTCAAAAGACACTGCGAACCAGGAAGAGGTGTCCACGCTGGGGCAGGAGCTGCGGGGAGCTGGGGGAGGGGTAGGCCAGGAGCAGGGAGTGACCACAGGCCCCTCTGTAGGGCTGGGGCTCAGACCACCCCACACACCCCAGCCCCCAGCAGAGCAGATAGAGAACCCCCTCCCCTCCCCTCTCTGGGCCCACTCCAGGGTGTGGAGTGAACAGTGGGGAAGGGACTTCTTAGGGGGCCAAGGGGGCTGGCACCTCTGTTGCATTTCCCCACTTCAGCGAGCACGGAGAAAGTGAAAATTGAAGGAAGGAGACAGGCTCAGAGAAAGACAGGGACCCAAAAGAGACAAAGACTCGGAGAGGCCCGAGGGTCAGGCCGACAAGGGGACAGCCAGCGGGACCCAGTGAGCCAGGGCCCCCCAACCCCACGGAGCCGAGGGCCCATAAGTCCAAAGTGCCACAGAGCCGGGCCCTGAGAGCCACACATCCAGGGAGCCAGAGCCAGGAGTCTGGAAAGCCAGGCCCAGCCAGGCCGGCTCCCGCTCTTGGAGCCCGAAAGAGAAGGAGGGGCAAGTGGAGGCTCCATTTTGAGAAATGCGTTTGTGGCTGTGGGAGATGGGAACCCCTCATTCTCCCCAGCACTCCCTGAGCAATCACTCTGGCCCAGGAGCACCCCCCTTTTAGTGGGCTGAGGAGAGCAGAGGGCTGGAGCTGGTTCAGGGCCGGAGACGGATCTGAAGAGTTGGGGAAAGTCTCCCTCCCACCCAAACTCCAAGGACCAGTCAAGCGGGGTCAAGTCTGCGATCACGAGTTCCCATTCTGCGGCGGGAAGCCAGGAGCCCCTGACCCATTCTCCAGAGTCCAGCCCCCCTTCCAGAAAGTGGGGGCGACTGGGGAACGCCGTCCCCCCGGCTGGATTCCACCGCGCATAAGTTGGGGGCTCCCCAGGCCGCCTCCCAGACCCGGCCCCCCTCACCTCCGCCGCGCTGCTCCATGCTCAGCCCCAGGCCGCCCCCAGCGCTCCACAGGCGCGCCGCCCGGCCCCGGCTCCGGCTCCGGCCCCGGCCCCGGCCCCGGCCCTGGCCCGCGCGCCGCCACTCGGAGCTGCCCGGCCCAGCCCCGCCTCCGCCTCCGCGGCGCCCCCGGCCCTGGCCAGCCCCCGCCCGGTGCGAGTGGGCGGCACCGCGCAGGGGAGGGTCCGAGGGGCGTCTCCGCCCCGGGGCGCGGACACGCGCAAGCACCCGCGTCACGCGAATCCGCCGGGGCGCACGTAGGGGCTGCTCGGCGGCAGTCGGGAGCCCTCCCTCCGACGCCCTGTGACTGCGTGTCTGGGGGCTCGGTTCGGCTCGACGCGGCGGCGGCGGTGGTCACCCTCAACCCCAGCCGGGGCCCCGGGGCCAGCGGCAGCTGGTCATTGTTCCAGCACAAAGGGCCACGGCGCGGCGGCGGCCGCCCCTCCCCCTCCGCTTCTCCAGGCGAAGCTTCCCTGACACGCTCTCAGCCTCAGAGTCCCAAGCGAGAGGCCGATGGCCGGCCGTCCCCCACTCTCCGGTGCCGGGACCCCGCGCCCTAGCCCGAGTAGGAGGCCGAGGCTCGATCCGCGCCTGCCCCACGGCGGGTTGGAGGCGGCAACCTGGGCTTCGCGGAGGCGACGCCACCTGGCGGCCGGCTCGGAGAACACACCCAGCCGCCCCCAACACGCGGGCCCTGCCCCACTCCCCGGCACGGTGCCCTTTTCCCCGCGAACCCAGGCCGGCCTCTGGCGCGACCGCGTGCTCCCCAGCCTCCCCTCGGGATCACTTGCTAAGAGAGAGGTCATTTATCGGAGAGGAGCGGCCCCTGGCTCCCCAACAATCACTGGGGCGAACCGGTGCAAGCCTACAGCCCAAACCTACACCAGCCTCACGGCAGACAATATTCCACTTCCTCAGGGTCAAGTAGTCTCACCTTCTCGCACACAATACAGTCTCCCTAACACCCACAAGACCTTTCCCACATGCAGCCGCAGTCTCAGCCGTCACGTGGGTCCGCGTTCCTTCTTTCCATAATCTTCCAGTCCACCTCACACACAGACACGGTGTCACAGGCCTGTTGGGCACAGGCTTCCACAACAATCCGCAGTCCTTCGCACCCAGTCACAGTCTCAAGTGCACTTAGTCTCCTAACCATCTTTCACGCATTGACAGCCTCTATTCACAGTCACTCACACAGACAACTTCTTACACGCCGTGCTTCACAAATATTCTACCGCACAGCCTTTCCCCTAGGGGTCTCGGTGACCCGGTCAGGTCAGCTGATGCCTGCATCCCTGGGCAAAGGCAGCCTTTCTCCCCTAACCACCCCCTCCCCCGCAGGGCCAAGGCCTGCCGGAGCTCGCCCGGGCCCCAGGAAGGAGCATCCCCCCCTTCCAGGCCACAGCCCTGGCCGGCTCTCAGCTCTATTTTTAGCTCCATGGACAGGGTTGTTTTTCTTTCTTTTTCCCTGGAAAGGGAAACACAGCCCAGCCACCCTGACTCACCCCAGACCCTCAGCCTCACAAGAACAGACTGAGCCCCTCTCCCCAGCAGAGCCCCCTCCTCTGGCCTTGCCCTGATCCCTGCCTCCTGGGGCACCGAGAGCCTCCTCCTCTTTCTGGCAGCCTGCCCAGCTCAGGCGGCAGCTGGGCTCAGCGTGTGTGTAGGGGTAGGGGGTGGGGCGAGGAGGAGGCATCGGGCTACTGCCCACTCCCTCATTCCCTGGGGGGAGGGGCTCGTCCTCCTTTTTCTAGGGGGGCAGGCCCACTCTGGTATTGAGGGAGCGTTTACACTCATGCATTTTCTGGGGGGAGGAGACTCCGACTCCCGCAAGGAGTGGAGGTGAGGGTAGGAAGGGGACCCGCAGGCGCTCAGGCAGCTGCTCTCTGGGCTGGCGGTAACAGGCGGGGGCAGCTGTCCACTGCCATCAAGGGCCTGTCTCCGAAACCTTCAGGGATGCAGACACCAAGAATGTGCTGGGGAGAAGGACGTCCAGGAGCCCGAGTTAACCCCAGCCCTGCCCAGCAGCCGGGCCCTCCTGCTCCGCCCCGGCTCCAGGGGGCGCTGTGCTCCGGTTCCCGGGAGAGGGCTTATCCCCGCTCCAGGCGGAGAATGGAACGCCGTCCGGCCTGGGACCAAGCAAACGCGCCCCGGACTAGGGTGGATTTCCGCCCCGTGGTTGGGTTGGGGGCACAGGCCACTGGTCTGCGGAGCTGTCACGTGCTCGGCGTCTGTTTACGTCTTGGTCTTCACCTGCGGGAGGCCAGGAAGCAGGAACCTCCGGGTGCGTCCCACCCGGCCCGCCCCCGTCGGTAGTCACAGGGCTGCCCCTTTCCCGCACCCAATACGCGACCGCAGAGTGCCCTGCCCGCTGTGGGTCCGCGCGGGCCGGCTGGCGCTGTCCCTGGGAGTGCAAGGGTGGCCAACTGGGCGCGTCCTTTCCGAGTGCATGTGTGTTCGCGTGTCCCAAGTGCGGGCGTGGGTCTGTGCACGCGTGTGTGGGGCCCGTCGGCGTGCGTTTTCGTGTCACTTCCCTGTTCGGACTCTTCGCGGGGACCCCACCAAGTGCGGACCCCCCTCCTCACCCCAACCCCTAGCTTCCCTAGAAGCGGAAAGTTCGTTCAGGAGCGGGGATGAGCGGGAGGCGGGAGTTCCTGCACCTCCGCCGCCCCACCACTCACCCAGCGCCACCTGCGCCTCGGCTCCAGTTCCGGCCCCGCTCCTGCTCCAGCGCGCCCACCTCCTCGCCGCGACAACGCCGGCTCCCTAGCCGGCTCCGAACTCTAGGTTCCGAACTCTGGGCTCCCGGCTCCCAGCTCCCGGCGCCCGCCTGGCCCGACCTGGTGGAGCGGGGCGGGGCGGGGCGGCTCAGGCCGCGCCCCCCACCCAGGGAGGGGAGTGGTCTGCCCCGCACTCCACCAGCAGCCGACCCAGTGCCCAGCCTAAGAGTGACTCGACGGTGGCCGAGGCTGCCCCTCTGGCCTCTGACTTCACAGCTTACTGGATTTGGTTTTTGACCTGGGGAAGGGGGCGAGCATCACGTGACCGAGAATTCGGCTACCTGGCTGCCTTAAACTAAGCTTAAACTAAGAGCTTGACTCTGCCACCCTCCCTGCTCCGATGGGAGCCCAACCCGGTCCACTCTTGGCCCAATCCCCAAATACAGGGACAACCCCTGGGAAGCAGACAAAGAAGGCTCAAGTTTCACCAGAGCAGCTCCCACCTACCCCTACCACGCACACACCTCAGCGTGGGGCTGCCCAGGCAGAACCAGCACAGCCCCCTCCCTAGAGTAGGTATCTGCCCAGGTGAGCAGGCCTGCGGGTTCTGACCCCCACGGGGCATGGCTGGGCTTCTCGAAGACTCATAAAGTCCCACCCACAGGCACAAACAGGAAGTTGGCCTGTATTGCAGGGAGGCCCCAAGGGCTCCCTCCCACCATGGCACTCAAGGCAGCATGTAGGAAGGTCTACAGGTATCTGGCCCATATGGGCTACAGGAGACCTCGGTGAGTTGTTTTTTGAGACGGAGTCTCGCTCTGTCGCCCAGAATGCAGCGGCACGATCTTGGCTCATTGCAACTTCCGCTTCCCAGGTTCAAGCGATTCTCCTGCCTCAGCCTCCAGAGCAGCTGGGACTAGAGGCGCGCACCACCACGCCCGGCTAATTTTTGTATTTTTAGTAGAGACGGGGTTTCACCATATTGGCCAGGCTGGTCTCAAACTCCTGACCTCGTGATCCACCCGCCTCGGCCTCCAAAAGTGCTGGGATTACAGGCGTAAGCCACCGCACCCGGCCGAGTTGTTTCTTCTTAAACCCATCCACAGCAGAGAGGAAGCTGCCAGAGGACCAAAGCTGTCCCCTCATGGCCAAGTGTGACATACATTATCAATTAGAGGACAAGGCTGTAGATCCAACTGGACCTGGCTTAGCCAGGCCTTTCCTGAGATCTCAGGGAAATTTTTTTTTTTTCCTCCCAATCCACCGAACCTGTGAGTCAGGGAGATTCTTAACATCCAGTTGGGTGTAGACAGACCAGTCCTATCCCAGGGAATCCGCACAGGCCCTAGGGACCCCCCACTGCTTTCTAGAATCCAGGGATCTGAACAGACTGGGTGGAATCATGATATGGGGTATTTAAGGCAGGTATGGAATAGAACGTGTTTGTGCAGCGGGTAGGGCTGGGGGGAGTATTAGCTTCCCCTCCCCCTCATCATTCTGGTTTGTGCTGTGTGGGGGTGTCTGCTAGAAGGGTGGGGCAAGACAAACAGCCAAGTCTGTATCTATCCCTCTATCCCCAGTTCACAGAGACCTCACAAAGGTCCCCTACTGGAAACCCCTAAAAGATCTCCTGAGAACCCACCAGGCATTCTAGGGAGACAGGAATGTGGAACCCACATCCTTACAGGTATGACTGATATGGTATTGTGCCTCTGGAAGGCATGGCTGCCGTTCAGCGTTACAGACTCTGGATGAGGCCTAGACCAGCCAACGGCTGGGAATGATTACTGCGGGATTAGGGAGGCCTGGCTCCAGCCAGTCTGGGAGAGACCCCCAAGAAGGGAGGCCCTGGAGGAGCTCTCCCCACCCCCCCAGGTTCTTCCTCACAGAGAGCAGCTTTCCAGCAGCCTTGCTCCGGATGTTTCAGGAGACATTTGTGACCAGAGTTCTCACACTCCAGAGACCACAGACCCCTCCATCGGCCCCAGAAGCCCCTTCATAGGTTGAAAGGAAGAGCCTGACAAGGCAGCCCTGCTTCCAAACGGAGCAGGAAACCTTCCCCCAACCCTTACAAAAGGATTCTCCCCAGCCCCCTCAGAACATATTGCATTCTCACGACTCTTTCAGGCAAATCCAAAGGGAAACTGGGACTTTGGGATATCAGAGGACGAGAGATGAGAAGGTGTCATCATTTAGGAATACTTCTGACAGTCCCTCTGGGTCACCTATTTTACAGTCTCCTCCACGGCTTGTTAAAAATGAGGATTACTGTACCCGTCCTCAAATCCAGAATGAGAAATGTACGTGGTGGAGGATGGGGGGAGAATGGGGCCTAGTTTCTGCATTTTTCACAAGTCCCCAGGAGTTCTGGCACGCATTAGCATATGAGAAACACGGAGAGGGTACAGGAGGGAGATGGATGGGGGTGGACAGAATATGTTGAGTCTAAGTCCACTTGAGAGGTGAGTGGCTCACATCACAGAGGAATGGCCAGTCAGGCAGGGCACTGGGCTCATGTGGCCCAGTGATGAGTACCTGTGCCAGGAATCACTCGAGATCCTCAGGGAAGTTAGGTATGAGGACAGATCATCTTGTCTTCCCTAGGCCAAGAAGAGATGTAAATGGAAGGTGGGGTGTGAAGGCCCTTTAATGTCCCTGCTTCCTTGGAAGCCCACCGCTCAAAGGCTGCAAGCAGTGGGAGGGGACCCGTCCATTCCCAATCCCGAAAGGGAAATTCAGCTACGGACTGGGGAGACACCTGGTGGATGAATAAGAAAAAGCACAGAAACAAAGGCAATGGAAAAATTTTTTAGTAAAACTGGAAAAGGCTCTATAAAATGTCCTGACTCCAGCAGTCTTGAGGCAGCACACAATGGCATCAGTGTCTAGGTGGCAGGCACTCCGGGCTGACAGCTTCCTTCTATGGCTCTATGACCAAGCAACCCAGCCCGAGGCAGCTCCCACCAGTGAGGCCCTGATATTGCAGGGCTAAGCACCTAGGATCCAATTCTAGTACATGCCACCTCATGCTAGGCTCTACAAAGTGGGGAGCAGAGGAGCTTGGTACCCACTGTATCACCCTTTGACTTTGAAAGCCTAGGCTGGAGTTTCGCATGAAGTCCCCGATTCCCCTCCAGGTTCATGCGGCCTGACCTCACTGCCTTGAATCTGACCTGCTCATTCCTACCTCAGGGCTTGGATTTCCTTTTCTCTCTGCCTGGGTCCCCTTCGCCGGATGTTCACGTGGCTCTCTCCTTCTAGTTGTTTAGGCCCCAGCTCACATGCCCTCGGCTCAGAGACACCTTTTCAGACCACTTATCTACACTAGCCTGCCAGCACTCTATCGCATTTCTATTTTCTTTACAGCATTTTTCACTAAAACTAGGTTTTCTGCTAATTTGTTCATTGCTTGCTTGTCTCTTCCGCCAGAATGCATGCAGGCAGGGACTTTATCTCTCTTTTCAGTGCTGTATATACAGGACCTCAAACAAAGCCTGAGCAACACAGTAGTTTCTCAGTAGTCTGCTACATTGAATTTTCTCACTATGGAAACCTGCTCTAGGTTAGGCCCCTCAGACTGAGAAGGGCACACAGCTCAGGACCACAGGATAGAGGAGCCCTTGCAGAGTTTTATGCTCCAGCCTATCCTATCAGGCTCATTTCAGTGACCAGCTCTGCACGGCCTTCACTTTGAACGCTTGGAGGTGTCTGGCTGGTCGGGAGTGGGGGCCTGGCCTGAGCAAATCTCAGAGTTCTGTGTCGTAGCCCCCTTTTTGCCAGAAGAGGGCTTTTTGGCCACTGGTCCAGTGTCATCCTTGATCTTCTTGAGCCGGGCCTTGTTCTTTGGTGGAATGGAGAAGGTGAGGGAGTTCTTGTTGAACTCAAGCGGGAAGACACCTACATCTCCATCAAAGCGGTTCTTGGACACCTGCAGATACCGTTTCCCTGGCCCGGTTACCAGCTTCCTGTCCTGCAGGATCAGAACATTGTCTGCTTCCTGGCTTGCCTGGGGAACAGGGGGCAGAAGGAGGAAAGCAGGAGTAAGAGGACATGAGCAAAGCAGAAAGGGGGGCTGACAGGGCAGGGAGGAGTGATAAGAATGGGGAGAGGGGCTGGGTACAATGGCTCACGCCTGTAATCCCAGAACTTTGGGAGGCCGAGTCGAGTGGATCACGATGTCAGGAAATCAAGACCATCCTGGCTAACACGGTGAAACCCCATCTCTACTAAAAATACAAAAAATTAGCTGGGCATGGTGGCATGCACCTATAGTCCCAGCTTCTTGGGAGGCTGAGGCAGGAGAATCGCTTGAATCCGGGAGGCGGAGGTTGCAGTGAGCCAAGATTGTGCCACTGCACTCCAGCCTGGGCAACAGAGCGAGACTCCGTCTCAAAAAAGAAAAAAAAAAAGAGAAAGAATGGGAGAGGGAAAAGTACTTCCCCCCATGACCAAAGCTCTTTGAACTACTGACCACGATGCTGGGGCCACTCAAATCTTTCAGTTCCCTGACAAGCTTGCTACTGTTTCAGACGCTGCCTGTGCTGTTCCCTCTCCTTCTCCACAGCGGGCCACCCCACTCAACCTCAGCTTCTTCTCTTTTAGGTCTCAGTCTAAATGTCACATCTCATGAAGGAGACCATTCTTTTTTTTTTTTTTTTTTTTTTTTTAAAGACAGGGTCTCAGCTGGGCACGGTGGCTCACGCCTGTAATCCCAGCACTTTGGGAGGCCGAGGCGGACGGATCATGAGGTCAGGAGATTGAGACCATCCTGGCTAACACGGTGAAACTCCGTATCTACTAAAAAAATACAAAAAATTAGGCGGGTGTGGTGGCACATGCCTGTAGTCCCAGCTACTTGGGAGGCTGAGGCAGGAGAATCACTTGAACCTGGGAGGTGGAGCTTGCAGTGAGCCGAGATCGCGCCACTGCACTCCAGCCTGGGTGACAAAGCGAGACTCCGTCTCAAAAAAAAAAAAAAAAAAAAAAAAAAGATAGGGTCTCACTCTGCTGCCCAGGTTGGAGTGGAGTGCAGTGGTGTGAGCACGGCTCACTGCAGTCTCAACCTCCCAGGCTCAAGCAATCCTCCCACCTCAGCCTCCTGAGTAGCTGGGACCAAAGGTGCATGCTACCATGCCCAGCTAATTTTTAAATATATATATATTATATATATATATTTTTTGAGACGGAGTCTCACTCTGTCACCCAGGATGGAGTGCAGTGGCGCGATCTCCGCTCACTGCAAGCTCCGCCTCCCGGGTTCACGCCATTCTGCCTCAGCCTCCCAAGTAGCTGGGACTACAGGTGCCTGCCACCACGCCCGGCTAATTTTTTTTTTTTTTTGTATTTTTAGTAGAGACAGGGTTTCACCATGTTAGCAAGATAGTCTCGATCTCCTGACCTCGTGATCCACCCGCCTTGGCCTCCCAAAGTGCTGGGATTATAAGCGTGAGCCACCACGCCTGGCCAATTTTCAAATATTTTTGTAGAGACAGGGTCTCACTACATTGCTCAGATTGCCAAACTCCTGGGCCCCAGCAATCCTCCTGCCTCAGCCTCCCAAAGTGTTGAGATTACAGGTGTGATCCACTGTACCCTGCCATTTTTCCACTTCTGCATTACTCTCTTTCCCAGCTCCATGTTTGTTCCATCATGGCACATGATTTGTGCTCCTTGCTCTGAATTCCCTAGGCCCAGCCCAGGCCTCGTATGTAATAGGCATTCAGTGTAACACTAGAAGCTCCAGGATTGGGCTGGTCCTGATGCCCAGAAGGCCCTCACATTTATCTGATTGTCTAATACCCATTGTCTACCAAACCTCAACCCAACCTTTGTTGTCACCTCCTCTGGAAGTCTCCCAGATGTCCCGGGCTGACTCAGACATCTTTTCTCTTTGCTCTCCAAATACTTGTGCTGCCTATCATACTCTTATCATACTGAATTGCAATCACTGTCTTACTGTTTCCCCAGGAGAGGATGTGAGCTCCTGGGGGACAAGAAGAGCATAAGAACCAACTATCAGCCTTTGTATTTCCAGCACATATATTCCTCATGTCATGGCCCCAGAGGCATTGCCTCCTGCCTGTTCGGATGGACAGTCAAGACGATTAAGGCTGAATGAGGGCTGTCCCTGGTCACACCTACCCACTCTATTTTCCAAAGCTTGAGCTCCGCTAAAGGCCACTCACTTTGGCTGAGCCAAAAATGGACGCTGTCTGCAGTTCCTTGTCATCATCCTCTTTCCGGGGGTGAATGACCAGTGTCACATGGCAGTTATTGTCTGTTGCAAACTTCCGAAAGACCCCGATGATGTAGTCTTGAGCTGCGATCCTACGCCATCCCAACAACACAAAGAGCTTATCAGACACAGAAGGACAAGAACATACACATACTCTTGATCCATTCACATCTCCCCACAAACTACCACAACCCACTCTACCTCCCTCTACCCAAGGACTCACACTCAGATCCCTGTCCATACATCCTGCTGCCATACCCCACACCTCCATATGATACACATGGGGGTGGTACGTGCCTGCACACATCTCAGAAAATAGGAGAGCACAGCATGTGTGCCTAGAGGCCAGCTGCCTGAGAAGTGTGTGTTGTATGTCCAAGCGGGCTCAAGCTAGACAAGAGAGGATGTCACCGTCACCTGTCTGTGGACAGCTGCTCGTGACCCATCATGAACTGCAGGTTGTCGATGATCACATGACAAATGTCATAGACGTAGACTGCATGTTGCATTGTATCTATTACAGTCCTGGGAAGAGGAAAGGCAAGGAATTTGACAAGTTGTCTCTAGACCACCCCAGGCAGAAGAACTAGCATCCTGAAAACTCTCTTGGCTGCCTCCTCTGCCCTTCTATTATTATTACTATTATTTGAGACAAGGTCTTGCTCTGTAGCCCAGGCTGGAGTGCAGTGGTGTGATCACAGCTCACTGCAGCCCCAACCTACTAGGCTCAAGCGATCCTCTTACTTTAGCTTCTTGAGTAGCTGGGACCACAGGCATATGCCATCACCATGCCCAGCCTAATTTTTAAAAATTTTTTTATAGAGAGGGGTGGTCTCCCTATATTGCCCAGGTTGGTCTCAAATCCCTGGGCTCAAGTGATCCTCCCACCTCAGCCTCCCAAAGTGCTGGGATTACAGGCGTGAGCCAGTGTGTCCAGCCCTGCCCTCTCATTCTTTGAAAAACTCCAAACCTAAGGAGATGGGGGAGTTCCTACTGGAGCTGGAAAAGGAACCAAAGGTTCCTGAGTGCTGGGATATGTCTGGGAAAGCAAGGTGGCTGGAATCTGGGAGTCTCACCTGATGCTTTGCTGTCCATGGAAAGTCATGAAATAGAGGGGCAGGTCCTCAAAGCGGTCAGCCCAGTGATCATATTTGTCCAGTTGATCTTCCAGCCGCCCCTCGGCAAACTGTGTCAGCATGACCCGGGCTAGTCTCACATTGCTGATCTCGAAGCTACCCCACAGTGTGTTCACCCCCTGGGAACACAAATCCAGGGCATACTCACTGATGAATGTCGTCTTTCCACTGCCTGTTGGCCCTGCAGTGGGGTGGAACAGACCTGGGTGAGGAGGAAGTCCTACCCTTGAAACCAAGACATAGGTCAGGGCTTTAAAACTGGGGGGAAAGGGCCAACCTTCTTTTCAACATTGTCATGGCCCAAACCCACTTGCTTTTGTCACCTGATCTTCTGCCCCTTTACTCTAAGTAGTGATTTCTCAAAGGGTTACCTGTGAAGACCGTCAGCTCGCCCTTTCGATGTCCCTTCAAGATACGATTGAGGTCTGGAAAGCGGCTCCAGCGGAGGCCAGCTGCTTGCTCCACATTTGACAGTTCTCCTAGCACCTCCTCCCGAAGCTGCCGGAAAGATACGATGGACTTGTGCCAGGCAGGCAGGGCGGTACGAAGAATACGAGAAAGATTGAAGCCTCCGTTCAGGGCCTCCAGGGGACGGGGTTGCTGGTCTCCTGGTCGCACCAAGAAGCATCGTTTGGGGTTCAGTTTTCGTGCAAACAACTTGGCGGCTTCCCAGGACCGAAGGTCATCCCCCAACCAGAATACAATCCGCCGGAACTGTTCCAGGTAAGGGAGTAAGGCAGGGGGTAAGCAGGTCGTTCCTCGGGGTAGAGTAAGGGTAGGCAGCCCCGTGGACTGGTTCAAGGCCAGGCTGTCAAGCTCACGACTCGTCAGTACCACCTCAGCATCTCGACGACTAATCAGTGGTAATCCAAACAGATTGTGGTAGGCGCTGGGTCGGGGAATAGTGGTTTCCTCGTAGCTCACTCCATCCCCCTGGCATTTAGCCTCTAGGAGCTTCAGGCCTCGTAATCCTGAGCCCCCAGGGGAGAACCAAGGGAAGACAAGACTGCGAGCAGGTCGCAGATATCGCACACTGAAACGCTTGAGTGTGTCATCTGTAACCTTGGTAAGGCCAAACATTGTATCAGCCAGCTGAACCTCCTCCTGATCAGGCAGCTCCCAGAGAGGTATTGCTCGGTTCCAGATCCTCCGGACCTCCTCGCTGTCCTCAAATTCTGGTGCCTTGCTAAGCAGAAACCCCTCCCTGGCCCCATCCCCTCGCCCCTCCACGCTGGCCTGGAAGTCTTCCCAGCTCCCTTCTGCTAGGCTGGTCATGCAGAGAAAGTGGCCTGTGGTCTTGTCAATGAAGAGGCTGAAGGAAGTGGTAACACCAGTCTGGCCTTTGAGCTGTGAAGACTCTGCAAAGGGGCTCAGTGCCCGCAGGCAACTGTGACCATCCTGGAAGGGGATCCCATGCCCCCGCAAATACTGGCGGATTTCAGTTGCAGTTACAGGCAACACTGGCATATCCAAGGCTTGGAGAGTCTCCTTCCTGTAACGTCTGCGAGGAGGGCCTGGGGCCAAGTTTCGGGGCAGGCCCCTCCGACCCATCCACTCCCCACGCAGGGGTAACAAGATACGGAGGGGGTACCCACTTCGGAGGAGGACCCACATTCCTAGCCAAATGTGGGAAGTCACTACTTGAAATGCCTTAGGTGCCTGGTTAGCGTGCCTTCACTAGACCAAACTCTAGGGATATCCCACGCAGCACTCTGCAGAGCTCACTCTAGGTGCATTCTTTCTCTCCATGAATTTCTCCTCTTCAGCCCCTCTACGTTGCTGCTTCACACATATGCCCATCTACACGACCCTTTCGCGTCCACGTCCTTCTACAATGGCTCCCCCACCTCTATGGTCCGTTAGTTAGTTTCTCTCCGCCACCTCACCTCTATGACCCTCTATACAGTTCCTCACTGACACAGTTTCTTTGCATCATCTTCTCACCTCTACTGCTCCTCCACAGCATCTCCTCGTCGTCCTCATTTCTATAGTCATCTGCATCCTTTTTGTAGTCCCTTTGCCCTAGGCCCCGACTAGAGACCCTCTTCCGCTTCTCCTTCCCCTCACTGGGACCTCAACACGGCGAGAGCACCCAGCACGACTCCCGCCAATCCCCCGGCCCAAAGGAATGCCAGTCTCTATCCTCCCCCGTGTCTTCACTCCGCTCTACTACTCCGAGCTCCGCCGCGCCGGCCCCCAGCCCCAGGTTACCACTTTTCTCTCTCCCACTTCGCCGGCAACGTGAGTCTCCCGCACATGCTACTCGCCTTGACCTCGGAAGCAAAACTCCGGGAGCGGTCGTCCCGGAACCGGAAGCCTCGAGGTTTAGTCCCGCCCCCCTCTCCTCGCTGCTTAGGCTCCGCGGCCTCCAAGCTGTAGCTATGACGGCGCGCGGGACTCCGAGCCGCTTCTTGGCCAGCGTTCTCCACAACGGACTGGGTCGCTATGTGCAGCAGCTGCAGCGTCTGAGCTTCAGCGTCAGCCGCGACGGCGCCTCGTCTCGCGGCGCCAGGTGAGCCAAGGGAAGTGCGCAGGCGCGGGTCGGGGTGGGTGTGGAGGTGGCAACGACTCCCCGGGTAGGTCGCCCCCAGTCAGGGGTCATACTGCTCACTGTCCCGGGTCGCTTAGGGAGTTCGTGGAGCGGGAGGTGATCGACTTCGCCCGACGGAATCCAGGGGTCGTAATATATGTAAACTCGCGTCCGTGCTGCGTGCCCAGAGTAGTGGCCGAATACCGTGAGTGGGGCCGGGCTCGGGCTGGAGGGCGGGATCAGGGGCTCGACCCGCTATCCTCCTTCTCGCTTGGTCGCACCGGCCAGCTTCCACCCACTCTCACCCCTCTTCTGCCAGTTAACGGGGCTGTGCGCGAGGAGAGCATCCACTGCAAGTCGGTCGAGGAGATCTCGACGCTGGTGCAGAAGCTGGCCGACCAGTCGGGCTTGGACGTGATCCGCATCCGCAAGCCCTTCCACACCGACAACCCTAGCATCCAGGGCCAGTGGCACCCCTTCACCAACAAGCCGACCACGTTCCGCGGGCTACGCCCCCGAGAGGTTCAGGATCCTGCCCCAGCCCAGGTGCAAGCACAGTGAAGAGTTGCCCCACCAACTGCAGCCCCAGGCTTTGGACTGTTACTCCGGTAAAGGTGGTTCTTCCCCTTTGGGATTCCAAGCCCAGGCAAATGGAACCCATCAATGGGCAAGTTGACAGAGGTTCTGCTTGGGATAATGAAGAGCTGCCTGTTTCTTTCCAGTGCCTGCTTCTGGGGGCAGTGACCTTGTGAACCACTCATTTTTATGCAAGTGGCATCCCTAAAACCTGAGATGAGGAAGACTTCAAGGGTTTTACAGGGCCCTTGTTTTTTAAATCCAAATTGATAATAATGATCTCAAAACACAGTGAGAGGTCTGAAGGCTGGCTTCTGAAGAATCCCTGATGTCTTATTGGAACAACCACTGAGCTACGGAGAGCTCTGCTGTGATGGGCTAGGCACTTTATATCTGTGTGAATACAGATTTATAAAACAGGTTAATAAACTTATCCAAGGTCACATTTCAGGTCTGTCTTCAAAATGTGTGCATATGTTAAGCACAAGCCTCAGTTTTCATTATTTTAAAACTAGACGCAGAACATATAACAACTGTCAGGTGGTTAGTATCAAAGGCCAAGTGATTAATCTAGGCCTGACCCCTGAAAGGGAGAGGGGAGTGATTCTCAGACCAAGTCCTGGCTGACAAGCTTTCTCTGGTCTTAGCTATACATCTCCTTCCCCCCACGTCCCTCTTTGTGCAGAAATAAAATCCATGTCCCTTGAGCCAGCTGGTGGGGGGTGCTGAGAACCTTGGGGAAGGGCAGGAAGGCTGATATTAATGAGTATTTTCTAATCTTAGTTTAAAAAGGGGGGATGGTGGGGAAATGAGAGGCAGGAAATGAAAATCTAGAAACCCCTGTAAGAATTCTTGAACTGTTGTCATTTTCTTGTCATGCCCTAACACCATGATCAATGAATAGTGTGAACCTTACTAAAGAGGCCTGTGTGCCTGCCAAGGAGTCAGGATGGAAGCGGAGGATCCCAATTTCCTCTGCAAATAGTTGTATTGGGGAGCAGAGCCAATCCTGGAGGCAGATATCACCTTCTGTATAGGCTCAGGAGCCTGTCCCCTGGTGATCAGGGGTGGGCGCATCTAGATGAAGCAGACTAGTCATAGCTGTGGGGAAAAAGGGTGTTTATTAACCAACGGCAGGGGGAGGAGCTGAGCCCAGGCTCCCCACTCTGTCACATGCCTGTTCCACCCACCTGGTTGTAAGTGGGGGCATTCCTAAAGAAGTGTAGCCATTCTCACAATAAATACATTCATTGTGGGGTGGAGGTGGGAGAGGTTGGGTGAAGGGCAGTAAAAACCCGTGGGATTCCACGTTCTCAGCTACAAAAATAACAGTCATCCTCACCCGAGGGGAATGGGGGAGCTCAGTCAGAATTGATTGTCCCATATAGGCCTAGAGACTTCAGAGGCCCCTGGCCCCTGAAAGTGCCCCGGTGAGGTAGGACAGGGGTAGGAGCTAAGCGTCCAAACTCCCAGCCTCTGCCCTTTGCATAGTTCCAAGAATGGGCTTCATGTGCCAGTTGAGACATCAGATTTCTCCTCCCTTTCCCTGCTGTAGTCTAGAGGAAGCAAATGCTTGATTCCCCCAAAAGAGAGGCTGGCTCATTGAGTGCAGTGTTGGTCATCCATCCTAGGCAAGGGCCTGTGAGGACAGTTAAATGGGAGGGGGATCTCCCTCTGAAATGTCCACGGACTAAACCCAACAGACAGGTCCAAGACAGCAAGGGAGGCTCAGAGGTGCATGTGAGTGGAAATGTAAGCACATGTGTGATACAGGTGTGTGTTACCACATGTGCATGGGGATGGGACATGCCTGGAGCTCTGTCTCTCATACTCTTGAGAATGACCAAGGAGAGTGGGGAGGCTGATTCACAAGGGCCACACAGGAAGGGAGAGGAGGGGAGTGATGCAGTCTTACCTCCCCAGGCTGGCCCGTTCCCAAGCTCTTGACAAAGAGGTCACCACATGGGGCTGGGGAAGAGGACCAGATAGGATGTGGCAATTGGGAGGGTACCCCAAGTCCAGAAGCAGGGATGAAACAAGAATGCACCAGGAGAAGGTGAGGGTGGGGGCACTGCAGCCCAGCCGATAAACATTCTTCCATGTGTGCATGTGAATGTACGCAGGGCTTAGGTGGCTGGCAGAGGTCTTGTCTGGTTTCAGGACCATCCAGCACACAGGGCCATGCAGAGGGTGGTGACATTGAGCCCATATGGACCTGCAGAGCCCTGCCTGGGAGAAAGAGAAAGGGTTTGGGCAGATGAATGGAACAGGAGGATGGAGTCCTCACCTATAAGTGTTTAGGTTAGGGGATAGGAACTGGCTCTGGGTCTGCAGGGCACCTGATCCTGAGGGAGCACCTACCTCTGAGGAGCACCGATGGGCCTGGGCTGCTCACATGTGGGTCTGTGGAGACTGAGGAGGGGGCTTTGGCTGGGCCTGACTGGCCAGCCCTACAGGGACATCAAAAAGTTGGGAGAAGGGTATGGAGTGGGGGTAATGAAGGGAGGGTGGCTGTGTTAGGGAGGCAGTGGCCCAGCCTGGGACAGATAGGCTGGCTTGGAAGAGCATTTGTTCTGGGAGGCTGGGCTCAGACAGAGCTCTCATCTAGCTGCTCCACGAGCTGCGTGTGCTTCCTTTTTTCCAGGATGCGGCTGAGTTCCTCGGCGAAGGAGCAGGGCCCTGCTGGTACTCCATTGTTGCTCTGCCTCAGAAGCACATAGCTATTGCCATTCATCCTCCGCAGCCGGCTGGGCAGTGCCACCAAGCCATTGGTCAGCTCAGCCGGTGGCGGTGGGGGCGGTGGGGGTGGTGGGGCTGGGGCTCCCTCCCCAGGGATGATCTGGAGACAGCTGCCCTCCAGGCCCCCAGCCCCCTCATCATCACCCTCATCTTCCTCTCCAGGACACTGGCCTGAGACTGTCTGCAGTTGCACCGCAGATCCTCCTGCCCGGCTGGCCCGACCCAGTGAGTATTTCCGTCGGCGCCCTCGTCTGCCTTCCCGCAGACAGGCCACATAGAGGAGGGAGGAGGCCAGGATGAGGCAGAGGCCACCAAGCGCGGCAATGGCTAGCACATAGAGCAGTCTCACATCAGGTGCCAGCTGTGCCCCAGGTGTGGCAGGGGCTTTTGGAGCTGGGGCAGGAGTGGCTGGCCGGACTGTGAGACTATAGGAGGCCAGCAGGGTGCGGAGGCCATTTTCCTCGGCATAGCAGCCATAGTTGCCACTGTGCTCAGGCTGTGCATCTGTAACCAGCAGCCCGTCCACGCCCACACGGTAGCCACCCTGCCCATCGCTCAGGCCCATGCTCCCATTGAGTAGCCACAAGGCCCGGGCCAGGTTGGATGGCTGGTCACAGGGCAGGAGGACATCATCACCCCGGAGCACAGAGCGGGTCTTCAGTGGTGGTGGTGGCCCTGTGGGGTTTGGGGGAGAGGTCAGTACCAGCCCGTCCCAGGAAGGGATTAGAGATGGCAAGCCAGACTGTTCACTGCCAAGTCCCTGGCACCAAGCACAGAACCCAGAATCACAGTGACAGCTGACCCAGGCTCTGTGCTCATGCTTCCACAGAAGGTTCACGTTGGCCCTTCCCAGGAAGCAGGCAGTGCCTTGGGCCCTTTTCCATTCTCTCTCCATGCTCTCATCCTCTCCTGTGGTTTCAATTTCTGCCATCTGCCAGTAACTCCTAATCTCTACCTCAGACTTCTCTCCTGAGTGCCAGACTCGGATATCTACCATGTGCTGGGCATCTCCACATGAGGTCTCTTGGACACCTCAAAACCAAAGCTTTTCTCCCCAACGACACCAAGTCCTTTCCTTGAATCGCCACCACTGTGAATGGCACCACCAGCCACACAGTTGCTTAAGTCAGAAACCTGGGAGTCTCCCTTCTCTTTCTTGCTCGCCTTTTTGTTTTGTTTTGTTTTTTTGAGACGGAGTCTCATTCTGTCGCCTAGGCTGGAGTGCAGTGACGTGATCTCAGCTCACTGCAACCTCCACCTCCCTGGTTCACGCGATTATCTTGCCTCTGGCTCCTGAGTAGCTGGGATTACAGGCATATGCCACCATGCCCAGCTAGTTTTTGTATTTTTAGTAGAGACAGGGTTTCACCATGTTGGCCAGGCTTGTCTCGAACTCCTGACCTCAAGTGATCCACTCGCCTTGGCCTCCCAAAGTGCTGGATTATAGGCATGAGCCACCGTGCCCGGCCCTTCTTCACGTTTGTATCTAACTGTCACTAAGATTCTGTTTCTGGCATCTATCTTAGACCTGTTGATTTCTCTCCTTCCATGACTCCTGGCCCACTCTGGCCCCATGTAATCCATTCTTCATGAGAGGTATTTTAAAAACACAAATCTGATCATGCCACTCTCCAGCCTAAAACTCTTCAGAGGTTTCCTATTGCTTTTCGGATAAAGACCAAAATCTTCAACATGGCCTTTGCCCACTTGTCCAGCCTATTCTCCTGTCACTCAAATGTGCCAGCCTCCCTCTGCCTGCTGCTCCCTCTGCTTGCATGTCACCCCATTACCCCATGTCCTCTGCTTGCCTGGCTAACTTGTGGGAGATAGCATAGTATAGTGACCAGAAGCACAAAGTCAAATCAGACTGCTTGGGGTCAGGTTTGAATTCTTTTTTCTTTCTTTTTTTTTTTTTTTGAGATGAGATGAGGTCTCACTCTGTTATCCAGGCTGGAGTGCAATGGTGTGATCTTGGCTCACTGCAACCTCTGCCTCCCAGGCTCAAGTGATCCTCCCACCTCAGCTTTCCAAGTAGCTGGGATTACAGACATGTGCCACCACACCCGGCTAATTTTTGTATTTTTTGTAGAGATGGGGTTTTGCCATGTTGCCCAGGCTGGTCTCCAATTCCTGAGCTCAAGCAATCCACCTACCTCAGCCTCCCGAAGTGCTGGGATTACAGGCGTGAGCCACTGTACTCAGCCAGGTTTGAATTCTGGTCCAGTTTCTTAATAGCTGAATAAGTTTGAGCAATTTACTTACACTCCCTGGGCTTCAGAGAGGTCCCTCATGGGGATAATAATAATGGCACCTTTCTCATAAGAATGCTGTGACAGTAGATGACATCATGCATAGAAGTATTTAGATCAGTGTCTGGCACACAGTAAATACTTAATACATCTTAGCTGTGATGATTAACTTTTGTTCTTTCTTCAGATATCAGTTCAGTCATCCGATCTTCCTTGGGGAAATACCCATTACCGTCCTGAACCCTTGTCATCCACTACTTGGCTATAAGCTCCAGAAGTGACAAGACACTTCACATCTTAAATATGTTTCCTAGTTTATAATTCATTTGGGCAGTAAATGTTTGTTGAGCACTTACTCTGTGCCAGGCTCTGTGTTTGAGTCATCCTTACCAAATGTACATAGCCACAGCCACTCAGATACAAACATATACGTACACATGGCAGTAAATGGCAAAGAGGACAGTCTGCGTAGCTAGACCCACACTCATATGAGTCACTTACCTGTATCCCTGCTGCTCTCACAGCCTCGATTTCCTCTCTCTATGTCCTGTATCAGTGCTGTCCTGGGACAGAAGATCAGGTTTTATGAACAAGGGGAACTGGGTTTCAGTTTCCCAGTGAAAGGGTAGATAGGTCTGTTACTAATAACTAGCCCCTGCACTCCCCCAGTAGCTATCAGGCCTTCCTCCTCCACTCAGACCACATGTGACTGTCACCCCCCACCACTTCCCACCTGCTTCCCTGGGACCTGTTGGCTATGGTGGTGGCTGCTGCGCAGGCATGGGTGCCAGGGTCCCAGCCACAGTAGGGGTCTCGGGCCAAGATGCAGTCATAGCAGGATCGGTAGCGGGAGCAGCTGGAGAGTGGTAGCTGGATGACTCCGCTAGGAGCCCCCACATAGAGGCTGTGCTGGGAGCCAGATAGGACAGTTGGTCGGCAGCGTCCCCACTCATACAGATACACAGCCTCTGCCCAACCTCCCCACTCCCTCTTCCTATTTCAGCAAGGCTATATTAAGGGTCACAGAGAAGGGCTACCTGCAATAGAGAGATGACTAGATTTTCCACAGACTGGGACTCCCTGAACACTTGTGTCTCTTCAATAATGTGCATCCCAGAGCCCAGGACTACGGCCTTGTGGATCCAGCCATCAGCTGGTATGGAAAGAGCAGAGAGTTAGACCCCAACTATGGGATCTGCTCTCAGCACCCTGCAAGAGGCCTAATACGAACAGCTCAGGAGTCCTGAGGTCCAGAACAAGGACTCAGCCAGGAGCAGTGGACCCTCAGGACACTGGGAACTCCAGACTAGTCATGGCAGGAATTAATGGATTCAGAAGCATTAGTGATCAGGGCCAACAGGGATCAGGGATTGGGATCAGAAGCACCTGTGCCCAGAAAGAGCAGGTCATAGGTAGGTCCAGCAGGCGTGGTGACAGGTGTCCCTGTAAGGTGTGTGTAGCGTATGTTGCGCTTGAGCAGCAGGGGCCGTCCACGTGTGGGCACAACGGGCCGAGCCATCAGTGGGTGCAACTTTACAAAGTCCAGGACCAGGGATGGCAAGTCTTGGGATGAATTGTAGCCTTGGCTGCGCAATGAATCTGTGATACACTGGCGTGGGGGACGAAGGTGGTGAACCTCGGGACTCCACCACCTGCCTGCCCTCTCCACAAGGCCAGACCCTTTGACCCTTCCCTGGGCTCTGTCTACTCAGCACTGGCCCCAGGCCTGGGCACTCACCGAGCCAGGCCGGGGCTCAGGCACCCCACCCTCATAGCGACCCCAGCGCCGGGAACCATCCTGGTATTCCATATAGGGTCCTGCAAAGACAGCCTGGATCTCTGCCAGGTCATAGCGGCAGATGGCTGAGGCCTCCAGGGTCTTCCTAGAATGGGACATAGGGCAAGGGGGGTGAGTTACATGGAGTCAAGCCTGCCCCCCAACTCGTGCTCAGCCTGAAGCTCACTGTTACCCTGGCCAACCCCAGCTATAGTCCCACAGGGCCTCTCCTGTGAGTCAGTGGACCACTGCATTCATTCTCTGGCTCTAGCCTAGCTTGATGTGCTTAAAATTCTCACTTTGCCAGCACTTTGAGAGGCCGAGGCGAGCAGATCACGAGGTCAAGAGATCGAGACCATCCTGGGCAACACAGTGAAACCCCATCTCTATTAAAAATACAAAAATTAGCCAGGCGTGGTGGCACACGCCTATAGTCCCAGCTACTCGGGAGGCCGAGGCAGGATAATCACTTGAACCCGGGAGGCGGAGATTGCAGTGAGCCGAGATCGCGCCACTGCACTCCAGCCTGGCAACAGAGCAAGACTCCCTCTTAAAAAAAAAAAAAAATTCTCACTTTGCAGCCAGACCTCCCCACAGTGGATCCTATCTCATCCTCATTGACCTCTGCTCCAGCCCCTATGCTGTCCGCAGTTTCTTGCCTCCCGATTGTCCCTGCACTGACCACTGTGTGCTCAGCGTGAAGGCTGCATAGAAGTGTGTACGGCTTGAGGTTTCAGCATCCAGGCTGCAGACCCCACGCAGTGTCTCATACAGTGGAATGTGGCAGATGAGACGGGCTTTCAGGAAGGAAGTCCACTTCTTCTGCAGGATCTTCTTCCCTCCCAGGTCTCCCTGGGGAGGTAGAGGCACGGGATAAGGGGCCAGGGTCAGAGGTCCAGCCTCTATACCCGTGCCCCAACGTCAGCCCAATCCACCTTGCAGACACGAGCCACACGGGCCACACGGTGACTGCTGCGGCTCTGAGTGAAGCTGCCAGAGCCCTCCTCAGTGGCACGCTCCGTGAAGAAGTAGTACACCTTGTCATCATCACCCACTGCACTGGCCTTGCTCTCCCGCACGAGGACGGAGAACACAAACTCCGCATCTGTGGGTCAGGCAGTTTGAGAGGCTTTTGAGACAGGCTGGGGATTCCTTTCCCTCACTCTGAGGCTGACCCCTCACTTGACAACACACAGGAATGGAATGGACAGGCTCACCTGGGGATTTGGGGGTGGGGTGGTCAGCTGGCCAAGGGAGTAAAAATGAAGAAATAGTCCCCTACCCCCCATCATCCTGTGCCTCATCCTCCTAACCATTGAGCCAATGCATTGGTGTCTCCTCAGTTCTCAGGGAGTGTGGGTGGCGGCTCCGGCGGATGTCAGGAATGCTCCGGAATTCATACCTAGTGGCTGTGTAGAGGCCTCCATCTGGCGTGGGGATATTCCAGGCATGAGAGACATGTCATATTCAACAGGGCACATGACATATACATGGTGGCAGGTCCTAGAGATGAGATCCACATCCTAAAAATACCATGTCTGTGATAGGGAAGAAGGCCTGCTCACCAATGATGAGGCCTGTGAAGCCACGGGCTGGGTCATAAGGACACTTCTCCTTCCCCTCCTCGAAGCTGGTTGGCAAGGTGAAGGCCTCAGCATCCTAGGGAACAAGGAACCAGCAGTAAGTGGTTCCGAAGACAGGCAGGGACAGTGGCTCAAAGTCAGATCAGTCTGGGGTCAGGGATCAGCGATCAGGGATAGGGGCAGGTTGTATGGCAGATGCACCTGACAGCAATAACTTAAGCATCCCCTGAGAATGACCTTATGGCCTCAAAACAATGTATGTTTGGAGTTCCAAATCTGCAAGTGGCCAACCTAGAGATTCACTCCTTATCTATGAAGAACATCTGAGCCCCTAGCCCATCCTGTGGAACACATGCTGTCCAGGGGATCAAGGCCCTTTGTTTTGGGTTAAATGAAGTTTGCCAGGTGGAGGTGATTAGGGGGAGGATGCTAAGTGAAAATGCTATAAAAACTGCATGGTTTTTACAAAGGGGAATGGTTCTCCAGTGCAGCCCGCCGCCACTGGAGTGCCCTGTATGGAAGTCCCCTTAATAAACCATCCGTCTCCTTCACTGGCTCTGAGTCTCTTCTTTGGCATCTTGAACATGATCCCATCCCTAATGAAGTCAACAGAGATCTGGCACAACACAGGTATACTCACAATGGCTGCACAGAGGGGCTGGAAGGCGTGAGTCCCACATGCATAGAGGTGGGTAGAATTGAGCCGCTGCAGGAACCGCACATGGTTAAAGCACTCCGTCTGTGGGATGAGGTGGAGAGGGCTGTGAGCCCCCTGCCTGACTAGAAGCCTCCTCCATTAGTCTAGCTTTGTAGTTTGGCTCTTGCCCCCACCCACAGGACAAACGGTTCTTTCCAAGATACCTGTGATCCTTCTCACTGCTCCAGAATATTTCCTGGAACTCACTGTCCTTGGCCTCCCAGTAACATGACCCTATTTCTCTCCTCTGTCCCTCAGATTACCTGACACCATTCTGCCAATATCTCCTGTGTCTCTTGCAGTTCCCTCCACCTCTGGTTCAAGAGCTCCCAGGGATTCCACCATCCTGAGGTGCTTCTCCTCTCCCATCCAGCTCCTTCTCAGCACCTCTTTCTATTCTTGGAACTCCTGCCCTCCTCGCTGGGGTGATACAACCAAATCTATCCCTAGATGCCAGCTTGCTCTCCACCCGATATCCCAGGGATGTTTCAAACTCACCTTGTCAGAAGCCAAGTTCATCCCCTCCTCCATAACCTACATCTTTCCTAAACCTGTTTATCCAGTCTTTCCCACCTCACTTCATCCAACCTACGACTCAACCTAGAAGCCAGGGATCATCCTTGCTGCTTCCTACTTCCTCACCCCCACATTCAGTCCCTCTCCACAATTAATTCATTGTCCTAAAAGTCTCTTGACTTGGTCCACTTTGACTCCACCACCAGCACCCAGTCCAAATGACCACCATGACCTCTTCCTTAGACATCTGCAGTTGCTACCTGATAGCTCCTCCCAACCTTCTCTTTTATAAAAACGACTTTATAAAGCTATTTATTCAGTCAATGAATACATGTACATAGTATAAAACTTAGAAAGTACAAAGGGGTATGTTATAAACAGGGAGTCTCCCATTTATCCCTGTCTCCCAGGTTGCCTGCCAAGAAGACTGCTGTTACTATTGTCTGAAGTTTCCTTCCAGAGATATTTTACCAAACAACACACTTTTGCTACTCTCCAACCACTTTCCAAGGGATATTCTAAAAATGTAAACCTAGCCAGGTGTGGTGGCTCACACCTGTAATCCCAGCACTTTGGGAGGCTGAGGTGGGAGGATCACTGGAGCCCAGGAGTCCAAGACCAGCCTGGACAATATAGCAAGACCTCATCTCTATGTGGTGGCATGCACCTGTAGTCCTAGCTACTTGGGAGGCTTAGGCAAGAGAATTGTTTGAGCCCAGGAGGTCGAGGCTGCAGTGAACCACTGCACTCCAGCCTGGGCAACAGAGTGAGACCATGTCTGAAAAAAAGTCAAGTGGATCACACCACTGTATCGGCTCATCAGTGACCTGAATATAGAGTCCCACATGCTCCTAGCCCTGTGTGATGGGACTCTGCCCATTCCTCTGGTCTCACTCACCCTACTCCAGCCACACTGGTCTTCTCTGCCTGTCAAATGCCCTCAGCTGCCAGCCTCTTGACTCCTTTGCCACGTTAATGATTCCTCCTCTTGCCTGTTACCCAGGGTTTAAATCCATACAGGCCTCTTTGTGTCTCCTCCTGCTCCCTCACCTGGTACAAGCCACTACCATCTGTCCCCCGTCTCCATAAGCCTGCTCAGGCCCCTTCCTCTGACCCAAATGATGCCCCCAGCCTCCTCACTGCTTTTCCTGCCTCCAGACTCACCCTATTTTCATCCATCCAGTGCCTGGGGCCAGATAAATATTCCTAAAGTGATGTTTCCCCAAGATGTTTATTTATTTTTTTAATTTTATTTTTTTTGAGACGGAGTCTTGCTCTGCCGCTAGGTTGGAGTGCAGTGCATGATCTCAGCTCACTGCAACCTCCGCCTCCCGGGTTCAAGAGATTCTCCTGCCTCAGCCTCCCGAGTAGCTGGGACTACTACTCTCAACACCATGGTGATGTGACTGGGACTACTACTCGCATGGATGTGCATCACCATGCCGGGCTAATTTTTGTATTTTTAGTAGACACAGGGTTTCACCATGTTGGCCAGGCTGGTCTCGATCTCTTGACCTCATGATCCACCCGCCTCGGCCTCCCAAGGTGCTGGGATTACAGGCCTGAGCCACCGTGCCCAGCGGATGTTTACATTTTTTAAAGGGGGGTAGGGAGGAATTCTCTGGTCAAATAACTTTGGAAACCACAGGTGAAACCTATCTTTACTGGGCTTACTTCCTAGAGCCTGAAGGATGTTGCTGTGCATTGTGGGACTGGGCATGTAGTGTTTCCCAAACTCATTTGACATTTAAACCCCTCCTTTGAAAATTAATGTTCCTCAGAACATGCTTTGGGAACTGTTCTATAAAGCCTTGCTATCCAAAGTGTGGTCTGGGGACCAGCAGCATCAACTTCACTTGGGAGCTTGTTAGAATTGCAGACTCTTGGGCCCTTCCCCAGACCTACTAAGTTTAGCATCTGCATTTATAATATACCTGGGTGATACATTAAAGTTAGAGCCTCTAAAGTATCAAATTCTGAGGGTGTTCACTGTCACAGAATAAAACCCAAACTCCCAGCTGGGCATCTGTGGCCTTCCATGACCTGGTTCCATCTGCCTCCCCAGCCCCATTTTCTACCTGTGCTGCACCAAGAGGCAGCCTTTGATGGAAGCTCTTGGAGATGCCTTTTTAAACGGAGCTGTCCCAACACCACCCCTGGCCCACCTTGGCCCAGTGGATCTTGGGAATTTTTTTTTAATTATTTTTTATTAGAGATAGAGTCTCATTATATTGTCCAGGCTGGCCTCGAACTCCTGGGCTCAAGTGATCCTCCTGCCTTGGCCTCCCAAAGTGTTGAGATTACAAGTGTGACCCACCATGCCCAGCCCAGGGCCGTTTATTTTGTAAAAGCTCTCCAGATGGAGCCATTACCTAGCCAGACATGGGACCCCTGGAGACACCCTATTCTTTAGCTGGAAAGGGCTGATGCTTCATTAATGCCTGTCCATGGAATACTGGGTATTTGACCTATTCCTTGACCAAAGACTCATTTTTCTCATCTGCAAAATGCAGGATAATACTATTTCATAGGGTTATTTTAGAATTAACTGAGATAATAGCTAAATCATCACTTGCTGTAGATAGTTGCTGACTTAACAATGGTTCAATTTATTATGATGGTTTTATTGGTAAGTAACCCATCGTAAGTAAGCATCTGTAGAGGTTACTTACTGTTTTTTGTTGGTTTGTTTTTTTGAGACAGGGTTTTGCTCTGTCATCCAGGCTGGAATGTGTGGCTTAATTATAGCTCACGCAGCCTCAACCTCCCAGGCCCAAGTGATACTCCCACTCAGCTTCCCAAGTAGCTGGGACTACAGGTGCACGCCAGCATACTTGGCTAATTTTTGTATTTTTTTTGTAGACAGATCTCGCTGTGTTGCCAAGGCTGATCTTGAACTCCTGGACTCAAGTTGTCCTCCTACCCTCAGCCTCCCAAAGTGTTGGGATTACAGATGTGAGCCACCGCGTTCAGCCTACTTATTGCCATTTTGATTATTTGGGATCCCAGAGGAGATGAAGATGCCACTGCGGGACAAACTAGTAGGCCACCAGATGGTTGAATTAGAAGTACTGTGCCCAGATGCCGGGGGCAATGGCTTACATCTGTAATCCCAGCACTTTGGGAGGCTAAGGTAGGGGGACTGCTTGAGGCCAGGAGTTCAAGACCAGCCTGGGCAACATAGCAAGACCCTGTTTCTACAAAAAATAAAACACTTAGCTGGGCGTGGCATGTGCCCGTGGTCCTAGCTACTCAGGAGGCTGAAGTGGAAGGATCCCCTGAGCCCAGGAGTTTAAGGCCACAGGGAGCTATGATCATGTCACTGTACTCCAACCTGGATGACAGAGTGAGATCCGACCTCAAAAAAAGAAAAAAAAAAAAATGCTGTGCCCATGGCTTGCCACTCTGGCAATACTTACAATGTTTACTGTGGTTGCTGAGATTGACTGGCAGGTCTGTACCTACCCATCTGTGTCCCCAACAATCCTGGCATCCCTGATTGAGGAAGAAGGGGAGGAAAGGAGCTGGGGACAGGGCAGACCACATACCTGGTTGTTTTTCCCTTTTTGATGACATTTGCTTTGCATCTCTGGGGAGGCTTCCCAGTGGATCTAGTGGAGGCAAAGGGAATAGGCTGATGCACTGACCCCAATACCTATTACTCATAGGACCAGGCAATAGGACCCCACAGAGTTGGGGAAATTGGGGTGGGGATCAATTTCAGGAGGAACACTGAATGCAAGGAACACCTGGGCTGGGAAGGGCAGTGCTGTCTGACCAGGGGGCTATGGAAGGCTGGCAGGGTTTTAAGGAAGTTGAGGTCCCAGGGAGCTGGATAAGCATAGAGACCCTCTGGGTGGTCCAGGTTCCAGGGCCTGACCTCTTTGTGAGCCCCATCTCCTATGTCGTTGGCACTGAGAGAGAACAGGGCACCTCGGGCTCCCACCAGCAGCCTTGCTGAGGCCTCCTCCAGCAGCAGTGTTGAGTAGTTCTGGGCTTGGCCCTTGAAGTGCCGGGTCCCAGAGAGCTCTGGGGAGAGCAGGAACAGTGAGCCCTAGTTCTGGGGTGCCTCCCCACCCCCAGCCCTGGCTTCTGCTGCCTTTTGAGGTTGAGGGTCTAACCTTCATAGGGTATGGTCATCCGAGGGGTGGCATCTAGTTCTCTAGACGGTCTCCGCAGTGAGGGTCCTGGGACTGCAGTTGCTGTGAGGATGCTGAGGAGGAGGGGCCAGAGCCTCCCCCACATCTTCCTGGGGAGGCCCAGACTAACAAGACCCCCAAAGGGAGCCAGAGTCACAGGTTGTGGGGGCGGGGAATGGGAAGCACAGTCACAGGGGTCAAAGTCCAAGGAAGTCACTTGGAAGGTCAGGGGTCATAAGGTCATAGGAGTCAAGGAATCATGGGGCCATGGGGGGTCCTGGAATCGGGGGGACATGGAGTCACAGGGTTGTGTGGCCATGGAATCCCCAGCTAAGAGGTCAGAAGGAGGGAGGGATCACATGCCTTTCTGCATCAAATGCAAACTCCATGGTGAGAGGGAGTTGTGAAGTTCTAGAGGGGTTGTAGGTTACTGATGGGGTCACCCTGCCCCCGACAGTAGAGCTAGTCCTGGTTTTCTGAGGTCCGTTTTCTGAAGAAAAAACGGGGAAAAAAAAGCCCTTTGATCTGTATGTGGGTGGAAGATGGATGGCGTTACCCAGACTTCAGGGGGCACTGAAAGAAGGAGGCCCAGCATCCACAGAACGCCCACGCCAGGATCGACTCACAATCATTCTGTCTATCGCTTTGCTCTGATGCAGGAGGCTGGGGTGGAACTTACCTTCCTTACAAGACCCTAGATGCCCACAACCCGAAACCCAAGGTCATGACCCTCTTCTGGCCAAGTCAGAAGCTCCACTAGGCCCTCAAGTCAAAGGAGCTGGGGTTCTTGGAGAGAATGCCTGCTTCTCCCAACAATGAGATGCAACTCGGTCAGCAGCTGCCCCTGCTGCCTGCGGGGGTGCCTTATGCAGGAGGGCCTAACCAGAGAGGTTTAATGGACCTTTGTTTATTTTGTCCTGCTTTCCCTTTGTTTTTTCTTTTCCCTGGCCTGAGAGCTCCCTCTGGAATTTCTCTTTAATTATAACTTCTTGGTATTCCTCTCCAAGGGGGTGCACATCTCTGCCCACGCCAGTCTGTATTGCACCCTCTGGCTAGGCATCCACACGTGTCCCTATCTGCAAGTAGGCATTCACAGGCATTGGGGTGGGTACCTAGGATCCCCCTGGTTGCACAGGTATAATGTCTGTGCAGAAGGCTGTAGTGTGCAAGGCCAGTTGAGACATAAGCAACGTGAAGAAGGTAAATGATGGGATCCCTGAGCCCTTGGCCCCTCCCGACACATCTTGGACCCTCCCTCAAGCCAACCAGTTGGGGATGGGATGGGGGTGGGTGGCAGGCCTCTCCCAACCCCTGTAACAGGCCTCCTAATCACCAAGGGGTTCCTTGAAGAGTTCCTGGGCTGGGTGAGGTGTGGAGAGACCTAATACATTCCATCTCATCAGCCACCCACAGGCAGGGCCAGAGGGTGCCACTGGTGCCTCCTCTCCCAGGTCAAATATTAACTATCTGGCCTTGGAAAGAGGGGAGGAATCAGGAACTGGCCAGAGGGATAACAGGAGCAATTATTCAAGAGGTAAAGGTCAGCACTGCAGGGGCAGAGCCCTGAGGGGTAGAGTCAAATATGAAAGGGAGAGAAGAGGATTCCCTGACCCTGAAAGGGCATAGGCTCCCTGTTTGGGATCTGGGACAGCAGGAAGCTTCAGGCAAGCCGGCCATGCCCCACCCCTCCCTGTGGAGGCACACCTGTTTACCTTTGGGACCTCCTATTTGCTCAGTGCAAAAGGCATGTGTGTGGGGAGCACTATGGCTAGGAGGAACATGCCCCAGGTTAGAGGAGCCACTCAGTGTGGTGCATGTCACACTTATAGTTTAAGAGTCACATGGGTGACTATTAGGAAGGTGATATACATGCACATGGGTGCACACACACACACACACACATGTTCACAAGGAGGACTGTGAACACGTGGATTCACAGGGGTCATTCACACATATACTCACAGGGAGTTTTGTGCACACATATGCTCATACAGAGGGCCACAGCCACAGGTAATCATACATATTCACATGTGACGTTGAATTTACATGCCCATCCATTCAGCAGGTCACACAGCCTCAGACATTGAGGAGAGATAAACCCACACATGTGGGTTTGTGTCAAGGACTGTGCACCTATTCAACAGGAGGGTCCTATACATACACATGTATGTGTAGGGACATGCACACAAACCCATTGATATAGTGGGCCAGGCAATCATGTTCACAGAAGGGTCAAGTACATGTGTGCTCACACGCAGTTCTTGAACACACAACTACATCCATGCAGAGACAAGCACACATGCATACAGGGGTCCAGTTTTTGCCATAGGCTTGGAGGCTGCCAGTGTCCACTGGGGTGAGATGCAGAGCAGAACCCTGCCTCTGTTCCTGAAAGTCCCAATTCTAAGGCCCAATTTCAAGTGTGTGTTTGTGTGTGGGGGTGGTGAGGGGGTTGTGTGTGTGTGTGTGTGTGGTGATGGGGGAGGCTTCTGACCTTGGATGGGCAGATGGGATGGGTGCATGAGTCAAGGCCGCTCTACAAGGGAGGGAATGGGAAAGTAACTCAGGCAGGAGGAGGCCCCTAGCTTCAGCAAAGATGGAATGGAACGCATAATTTAGTACTCCTCCACCCCTATGTATATTGCGGTTCTAAAGGTGGGAGACGGGCTGGAGCTCTCAGCCCCCACTTAACCTGTGGGAGGGGGCGGGGCTAAGTGGGCGGGGCGGAGCATATCACCCCTCCCTTCAGTGGCGAAGTACGGGTTTAAGGTCTCCAGTCCACGCCCCACACTCCACCCCAAGTTCCACAGTTCGGGTTCTTCCCCAGGGCCAGCCCCCTGAACTCTGATCACCTTTCCTCTATTAGATCTTGGGGTGGAGGGAACTGGGGAGGAGAGACCCTTCAAACAGGATCAATGGAGGATCAGCAGGCTCTCGACCTTCATCCCAGATGTCCACCTGCCTAGTGTAGGCGGTATTTCCCTCTGCCTAGTAGGATGGCGGTCTCTCCTGGCTTGAGAGAGCCCCTCCCCCGGGACCCCCTCCCTCCAACATCCTGGACAGTCCGCGGTCCTCTCCCTTCGTCAGGTCTAACCTCAGTCTCTACTGCTGCAGCTCGAGGACAAGCTCTCCTTCGATCCCGCCGGACGCCGGGAGACGTGACCCAGATCCTGGGGAACACTGTTCGCCACGCGGCCCCCTCCCCGCGCTGGTCCCCGACTCCGTGGTGGCCGGTTTGCACCCCGCGCAGCCCGAGGCCTGGCCCGCGCCCCTCTAGAGCCGTCATGCAGGACCGGGGGACTTGGTGGTGAGAAAGGCCTGGCCCAGCTTGGAGGGTAGAATGGACGTGGGGGAGGCCTTGCCCGACCCCCGGCCCGCAGCCCCAGGCTCACGCCAGGGCGCCGCCCGCACTCCTCGCCTTGCTCACCTTTGCGCTCGGATCCGGGGCCATAGAGACAGCGACGCGCGGCTCCGCGGCCCCACAGCACCAGCTGCGAGAGGAAGGGGCCGCGGCTGGAGGCGGGGCGGGGGGGGGGTGGTGGAGGCGGAGCCGGGGGTGGGGCGGGGTCCTGAAAGGCGGGGCCGACTGGGTGGGGTGAGGGGAAGGTCGCCACTCTCTTCTTTGCGCCCCCTACTCTAGCACAATAGAGGCGGTTTGAGGGCGAGGCTCACACACAGCCTTCGGCCATCGGGCGACCCCCCACCTCTAGGCGCTGCGGCCCTGAAATCGCCCCCTGGTGGTGGCCTCGCCACCCCGTGCACCCTCCACATGCTTATAGCCCGTCCTCTCCTCCGCTGTAACCCTAGGACCCCCCTGACTTGCCTACTGCTGGGGACGTGCAAACCTGTCCTGGCGTTGCGGGGTTGGGGGACCCTCTCGGAGGGCCTTCTGGCCTGTCCTCTAACCTGGACCTCACTCCCTGTGCTCCTGCCACCCGCTTCTGCTCTCGGCCTAGGGTGTGGAGGGAAGGCTACCCTAGGTGGCGACTGGACGTTAGGGAAGCTCTGAACACAAGGTAGGGGCTTGATTCCCAGCTTCAGGGGCTGTTCAGCTTGAGCTATGCGTGGGGGAGATGGGGTCAGGCCTGAAGGGGATAAAGTAACAGCCTGACCTGAAAGGCACACAGAAAATGCTTTTTCTGGATAAATAAGCCACAAGCGTTTGCACCTGTTCACTCACCAAATCTTAACCCTAACCTAGGCTCACCTCAGGGACTGGGTCATTCAAACACTTGCCTTCCCCTCCAGCTCATCTTGGGCACCATTCTTATCCAGAACTTAGAGTGCACCCTTCTAGGCAATCAAGTACCCTATCCTTCCCAGATTCAATCACCTTACCCAGCAGCAATCTAGGAAACCCCTCACAATCAACTCCCCAACTCCTTTAACTCAACTAGGATGGTCCTTCTGTGCAAACTTGGTTCCTGCCTCCTTTAATAGGTCACAGCCTATTAAAGTGAACTTAGCCCCTATAGTCCAAACAAAACCTGCATTCAGGCCCTGACCCAGCCTGGTCCTTCCTCCTCCATCCATGACAGTATTCATGTGGGCTCAAGAGATGGACCAAAATGATAAAGGCCACAGGAACATATGTGATTGACTCTTGCATGTGCCTAGGAGTCAGAACAGGATTCAAGTGGCACATTTAACTAAAGGAAACTTGGGAAAGGCTTCATCCTTCTTTCTGGATTCCCCAAAGCTCACAGTTTGGCACTGAATCATATACAATCTCGTAGTTTGGATGGCTGTGTGTGACTGCAGACTGCTAGACAGCAGGGCCCACATCACAGTTCCACCTCCCCCAACACTCTGCAAATAGGATGTGTGTGGCGGGGAGAGGGAAGGTAGCTGGGGAGAAACACAATAAAAAATGTACACACACTTTTACAAAGAATATCCTGCTTCATTTTTTATTTGTACCCTCATCCCATCCTGAGGAATTTATAGCCCCATTTTATGGATGGGGAAACAGGCTCTAAGACATTAAGTAACTTGCCTTGAAGTTCATTCTTGTGTTTATGGAGAGGACAATCAAGACTGGAAAAGTCTGAGAAGGAGGAAGCAGGGTAAGCCAGAAGGGGAAATACCATTGGCAAAGGTAGAAATGTTCAAGCTTATGCACAGGCTTGTGTTGGGGAACTAAGGAAGGGGCATGAAAGAGGGCAGTGAGTTTGATTTGATGAAATGGCTGGGGGGGGGGGGGGGGCGGGGAGGGGTTCCTAGTGGGAAATAAAAGGGAAAAGTCAGCTAGTAGTTTGAAAAAGACCACAGAAGAAAATCCTGAAAGAGATGATGGACTGAGTAAGGACGTCTGAGGTGGGAAGACCAGTCAAGGCAGGGCTAAGAAAGATAAATCTGCAGTCCTTATCAAAAAGTGGGTTGGTGGTAACAGTGGAGGCAGGGTAGGAAGACTGCTGGTCCTTCAGTAGCAGATAGGAGAGCAATTAAACTGTAGGGGCCCAGGGGGCTAAGAGGCACAGCTTCCCAAATGTTCACAGAACCTGCAGTGCTGACTTCAGATAGCTCTGGAGGTGGCGAGTAGGCCAGTGTGGTAGGCTCAGTATCACTCAACTTCACTTTATGAACCAAGCTTTGCTCCTCTGAGGTGCTGATGGCAAACTCAGACATTGTTAAATGAGCAAAATGTGTGATTTCAATGATCACTGGGCAGTTACTTCAGTACTTTTGATAGCAGACCACAATCCATTTCCTTCTGCTAGCCTCCCAGTAAAATCTCTAAACCTAATGAGAGTATCAGATGTAAAAGCAATTAATGGAGCTGCCCATAGGAAGCCCTTTTGATTGACAGTATGTCTCTCTGCAAATCCAGCTGGTAAAATAAGAACGGGGGAATACTGACAGACAGTGGAAAAGAAAACTGGAAATCAACTAAAGAAATTAACCCTAACCCAGCCATAAATCTGCATCCTGGGACACAGGCAGGTCATTCTTTGAACAGGCTGTCACTCATCCATAAGGTCACTACCCTGGCTGCTTCGCAGGGTGGCTGTGAGAGGATTCCATTTGGAAACCTTCTGGAGAACTTCACACACACAGAAAAGTATGAGTTTTGTTTTTGCTAGTCTATTTTCCCCAACTTTGCTGTAAGAAAGTGGCTGAGGGTAGTGCTGGCCGTCTTCAGCAGTGATTGTCAGCCACTTACACACCAGAGTTTAGCTCCACTTTGCACAGAACAGTTACTTACTGTAGCAGGGATCCTAGGTGAAGGGGGTGGGTATGAATTCCTGAAACTTGAGCAGGTTCCCTGAAGCAAGAGAACTCTGGCCTAGTCAAGTTGTCCTGCTTACTGTTCAATGTGGCAGCATTTCTGTTCCTGCTTTGCCATCTCCATCTCTGGTTTGCCCAGCACTTTCCCTTTAGGTGGTGTGGTCTTTATTTTGGCTATATATACAGCTGAGGTGCTTCTTCTGTAGGGGCTGTCACCAGTGCAACAATGCGGAAGTCTCACTATTCCACTGTGCCTCAGAAGCCTGTTTAGTTTTCCTCCCAGCCAGTCGTCTTGGAGTCAGACCCAAAGCTGGGCCTTCTGGTTTGCCCTCTCTTGACTCCAGCCTAGGGAATGGTTAGTAAGGGAAAGGGAGTGTCAGGACATTCCCACAAATGCTGGAAAACCACCACCCATCACCAATTTCTCAGCTTTAGCATGCTGGCTTTTAAAAAGTGAAAATTTTAATTAAAAAAAATCAGCAGAGATAGCTGGACAGAGAAGCTCCAGCTCCCGGTATCCAAAGAAATAGGGCACACTTACAACTATAATTTTTGGAGATATGGTTTGCTCAGATGTCAGTACACCCTGAGGTGTCTGCTTAAGATCAAATCTGTCATCAGAGAAACGCCTCGTTAGAGCAGCAAGCATTTGCTGAGTTCTTGCTATATGCCAGGCACTGTACTAGGCACTTTTCATGCATTAGCTCGCTTAGTCCTCACAAACCCTGAGGTAGACACCATTATTCAACAGATGAGGAAACAGTGAGTTTAAGTAATTTGGCAAAGATCAAAAGGCTAGTATGATGAATCTGGGATCTGAGGTCAGGCCTTGGGGCAAGGTCAAGGCCCTTAACTTGCATAAAGCTGTGCTGCCTGCCCTCTAGTAAGTACTTACGGCAATGTCTCTGCTTCTTCCTGGGCTGTCATCCCCTCATCCCTCCGCCCCACTGTCAGAGAAAAATGCTCCCATTTAGTCTCTTTCTAGCCAGCCTGTCAGAAGGCAGAAATACTGGCATGGTTTTGGAACTCAAGGCCTCTGACAATGCCAAGGCCTTCTATGAGCTCCAAAGTTCCTCCTATGAGGTTTCAACCTCTGCCTCCCAAGTTGGCATACCCAGATCTCTATCTGCTTGGCAGGTTGGAGGTGATCTCAAGCCCTGCTTCTGCATTGTACAGCTTCTTCTTTCTTGGTCCTGGGCTCAAGAACAAGGGAGTCAGGTTAAGGGTATTTGTTTCTAATTCTCTTTGCCCAAGAACAGAAAGTATTTTAACCTGGATACCAGGAGGTAAGATTCATGAGTTCTCTATGTTGTTCACCATCAAATCCTTACTGAATCCTAAAAAGAGTGCCTAGTATGTAGTTGAGACTCAATTGTTAGAATGAATGGTGGAATGAACATAGTGAATGAGGTAAGAATGAGATTACTGAATTCCTGATTGCAAAGTATACAGCAATTAACTGGGTTATATAAAAGTGAACTGTGTACAATGGTGGCTTTATGTTTTCCAGAAACAGGAGACATCAAGCTAAAAAACTGGACAATCCAAAGCAAGAAGAAATGTTTAAAAGCCAGGGGACTGGGGTGGGCTGAGGGAACAGGGCATTCCAGATAACTTAGCCTCCCCAACTCCCAAACAAATATTACCAAACACATGTTCAAACTGAGAAAAAGCAGTTTTAATAGCACACACACACACACATTCATAGGACTTTAACAAGATGTAGTATAAAATCTTTAAAAAAAAAAAAAAGGAAAGAAAAAAATCTGTATTTACTTCCTAAGAGCTGGTGGATTAACTGGCTGACAGGACTGCCCAGGAAAAACAAATGCACAGATAATGAGGTGCGCCGACACTGTTCATGAGTAAGGAATAACCATGGATCATGCTAACTGCTCTACGTGCCCCGCCGCCTGGACCCTACTGTTGCCTCCTTAGCGACAAACCACCACAGTCATCCCCTAATTCTCCAACTCAGTAGCTTGTTTAATGGGCTACCTCTTAAAATTTTCATTTTTAATTTAAAAATTACTCTTGGCTTAAAGACGCCACACATTATTACTGGCCAGTCCCCACCAATTATATTTGTTTTGATAAAAATAAAAATGCAAATACTCCAACTAAGCCTGGATGATAACACGCCATTTTGTATCTTTTACATTTGAGGAGATTTTTGTGAAGCTGAAAGCAAGCTACTATTTGCGCTTGAAAGCAGAAACAAAATGCAAACCTTCCAAAAGGTGACAAAGGCACCACTGCCATCAGGAGATAGAAAATGTACAAATGCTGTTACTTTACGGCTACATCAATGCATTTTGTGCATGGAGAGCCTCTTAATGTGATAAAACTAGTAGAATTATATTTTCAGTAACAAGAAAAGCAGTTAGAAAAGGCAAACAGTTACACACAAAAGCATAAACACTTACAAGTACCTTAATGTGCAGCTTGCAAGAAGGGTAATAAGTTTGCCATACATATCCATAAAATTAGACAAGGTGATTTTTGGCACAGTAATATTGCCAAACACACCACCACTCAGTGCAAGCTTCGTTTGCCAAGTCCCCAAAGTGGCCTGACATTCTCTGTGCAATGAACATTTCTCCCTCTCTACCATCCCATTCACCGGGCAATAGCAGCAGGAGGGAGACAAAGCATGGGGACTCAAGGGAGAAGTAAAATACTTGATTTGGAAGAAAAACCATGGGCTACTTGTGCTAAAAGAGAGTCACAAAGTTTTCATGAGAACCCAAATGCAAATACTGACTGGACTATGACCTGGAGTCTGAAGACCTCTACCAGAGTCATAAATACAAGGGCCTAAACTGAGGTCTGGCCATTTATTTTAGAGGGACCATGAAGTATTTTTTTTCTAAAGGAGAAATATAATTAAAAATAGAGATTTTTTTCTTATTGGAACTGTTAAATAAAAATGTATCAAAGTGGTTTTAAATTTGATGGACAGTTATCTGTTGAAACTGCAATACAAAAGGGTCATTAAAAAAAAACCTGAATAACCCACTTGTCCCCCCCATCAATGTACACAATTAGAAAATATTTACACACTGTAAATTACAAGCAATATAAGCAGTATTTTATACTTTGAGATTTTGTACACTTTACACAATGCAAAATGAGAAAAATATGAACACGTATAAAATTACACACAAATAATGTATCTACAAAGGATTAAATTACAGAACGAAAGCCCCCATCGTTGGGCAGATAGATGCCAGAGTTTCAAGCTTCTGTCAAATAGAACTCTTTGTATCTATCTCTTTAACCATAAGTGGCATTTTGTAACAATACCCTTGAGAGGTAGTATCAAGATAATAATATTCTTACCAGTAAACAACACAGAATAAAACTTTTGTTGGTCTGACTCTTGGAGCCTCAATCAGTTTAGGTTCTTGGAAACTGGATTTACTTAGTCTTCCCTATAAAATCTCTGACTGCCAATGCTTGATTGACATGAGCTCAAAAGTTACTGATGCTATTTTAAATGATAAATTTAGGACAAAATGCTTTTTACTCCTAAGCCTCAATTTAGAGGTAGAAAGTTATTTTATTTTCTTGCCTCTCAAACCGCAAACATCAAGTCCAGTTTCTGTTCCCCTCCATCATCTTTCCCCCCCACAACTGGAGACACTAGAGCACTCAGGAGAACAGGTCACTCAAGCCAATACTGAAAGAACAACAAAAAAAGTTGGCATTCTTTCAGGAAACAAACCCTCCTAAAAGGGACATCTCGTCAACAAAATAATTTTCTAGTTGGCTAGTAAGAGTTTGTTACTACCCCTGGGCTAAAAACAACGTGTGCACTTCCACTAACCCTCTACCATTTAAACCAAAGGATGGCTCTCCAGTGTTTAAGAATTTACAGCAGCTGTGGTTTTGAAGTGCAACAACTTCAAGATACAAGCGCACACACACACACACACACACACACACATACACAGACACAGTGTCCCAAAGAATTCAGGTGTCTGCCAAAATTATATACTCATGGAAACAAGGTTGTTGGAAACTTGTCCAGATCTTTAGGCTTTTACAATATAGACTTCTGTAATATGGTTACCAAGAGCCAGAATTCTAAGATATAGCCAAGATTCTAAGATTTAACCAGTATTTAAAATACATGCATTTAAAAGAAATCCAGAACAAACAGCATATGAATGTTCTGGCATCAAAACAGGGCCACTACTTTACAGCTTAACCTCTTCCTCTTAAGGGGATCTGACAACATGCCAAACTTTTGTTTCTCAACTGTTTGTTTAGATGTATTTTAAAAACAGATTTATAATCTTGAGTAATGAAGGAAAATGCATGGATTGAAACCTCCCTGTGGTTTATAAAAGTTACAGAAGAGATTTATGCTTTTTATTACTAAACTCAGTTTTAAGCATTCCCTTTGTGTCCGAAAATAACCAAGAGGGAAAATTAAACCCAACTGGAACTTGGTCTTGCTTTCCATGTCCAACTTCTCAAGTTAGTCCAAGCTCTTTTCTTATATATTTCCTGTGATTATCCAAGTGACAAAAATACTATCTAAAAAAGATAACTGGCTTATAATTTAACAAGAGGAGTTAACTGGGGCAGGTTAGACATATGACTATTATTCTGCTTCTACCCCTCCCCTCTTTTAATAAGACTCTGCACTTTTGAAAGGTCAGTTGCCTTAACAATTAAGCAGATCATATTTCATATCTGCTTCAGAAATGGCAATTTCTTCATTACCAGCTTCATACTAGATATTCAAGTGGCACATTTGCTGTACATTTTCTTGGCATTCATTGGATTCTGTAATAATCCTTTCTACTCCTCTATGAAAGGCTCTTATTGAATTTCTCTTGGTTCATATTTTTGCTGCTGCAACTCCTATTAAGAATCTGGTACCCAGAAGTCATGAAGCTGCCCCTAAAAAAGGGAAGGAGAAAAAAGAGGGTAAAGCAAAATTTAATCATATTATGAATTAATCCTTATAAAACTACTAATCATCAGACAATGGGCTTTGATAAGACAAGTAATAAAATCTTTATATTGACTTCTCTGAAAATTTATGGTAATCAGATTCAAATTTCACATTCAGTAGTCAAACAACAAAAAACAGTAAAAAATAAGTGCAGGATGTTTTTCTCACCACTGCACACATGGAGGGGCTTAGTTAAGCAGATTAAATAATGTTAAGCTGATTAGTATAGTTTTGCTATTAAATTATTTTCTGTTTTAATACCACATCAGTACATGACCAGCATTAAAAGAAAATCTATTAAGGTTAGAAACAAATACAAAAACAACAAAACATAAATATAAGATTTCTCAAAGACTTAAAATAGAGAGATTGCTTTATCTACTTAACATTCAGTGTTCCTATTATTTTGATATAAAATATAAGCAACTTCTAGGCCCTGGCTACTCAAAGTTTAGTCCCTGAAGCAGCAGCATTGGCATCAATCTGATAACTTGCTAGAACTACAGAATATCAGCCAGGCGCGGTGGCTCATGCCTGTAATCCCAGCACTCTGGCAGGCCGAGGCGGGCGGATCACGAGGTCAGGAGATCCAGACCATCCTGGCTAACACGGTGAAACCTGTCTCTACTAAAAAATACAAAAAAATTAGCCAGGTGTGGTGGCAGGCGCCTGTAATCCCAGCTACTGAGGAGGCTGAGGCAGGAGAATGGCGTGAACCCAGGAGGCAGAGCTTGCAGTGAGCCGAGATTGCACCACTGCACTCCAGGCTGGGTGACAGAGCAAGACTCCGTCTCAAAAAAAAAAAAAAAAAAAAAAAAAAAAAGAAGTACAGAATATCTCAGTTCTCACTCCAGACCTATGAGTCAGAATCCATATTTCACCAAGTTCCTAGTTGATTCCTATGTACATTAAAATTTGAGAAGCGTCATTTTAGACAATCCTATGCCAGTTACTCTGTAAACAAGCAGGCTGGCACACTTACTAGCAGGTGTTAAAAAAAATGTCCCTCTTAGGCAAAGACTCCTTAGATATAACATCAAAAAAAAGTGTCAAAAATATATACATAATAAATAAAAATAAAGGAAAGGCAACACACAGAATGGAAGAAAATATTTACAAATTATATCTCTAATAAGGGATTTGTATCCAGAACATACAACTCAATAATAAAAAGACAAATAACTATATTCAAAAATAGGCTTTTTGAAATGAAGTATGGGATGAAAAAAATGGGCAAAGGATCTGAATAGACATTTCTGCAAAAAAGCTATACAAATGACCAATAGGCATATGAGAAGATGTTTAACACCATTAATCATTAGGGAAATGCAAACTAAAACCACAATGAGATTCTACTTCCCTACTCCCTACTATGGCTTTAGTAAAAACAAGTGTTGGTGAGAATATGGAGAAATTAGAAACCTCAGACATTCTGGTGGGAATATAAAATGATGCAGTCACTTTGGAAAACAGTCTGGTAGTTTCTTAAAACACTTAACATAGAATTACCATATGGCCCAGCAATTTGACTTCCTTTTCAAATGTTTCATTTGAGAACACATATTCACATAAAAACTTGCATACAAATGTTCATGGAAATATTATTTGTAATAGCCAGAATGTGAAAACAATACAAATGTCTGATAAGTAGATAAATAAATGTGACATATCCATACAGTGGAAAATTATTTGGCAATAGAAGGGATGTACATGCTATAACATGGATTCACTTATTATTATATTAACTGAAAACAGCCAATTACAAAAGATTACATAGTATATCTCATTTACCGATGTCCAGAATAGGGAAATGTATAGGGACAGAAAGTAGATTAGTGTTTGCCTAGGATTTGGGAGGAGTCAGGAGGGGAACCAAGGTAGTAGAGGAAAGGGGAATGAATGACTGCTAATGGGTATGGGATTTCTTTTTGGGGTGATGAAAATGTTCTAAAATTAGACTATGGTGATGTTATTCACTCTGTCAATGTAATAAAAACCACTGTACACGTTAAGTGGGTAAAATCTATGGTATGTGAATTCTATCTCAATAGATCTGTCTTAAAAATGCTCTTAATTGAATAACCTCCATTTGATGCAATGCAATATTTTTAAATGGGCTCAACCACTTCTGGAAATAAATTAATGAATATAAAGCAAACGAAAACTAAAAAAATTACAAACCATGTATTATACTGGCGTTTTCAGTTTATCTTAAGATAACTAGAAGCAAGTGCACTGTTATACCCTATTTTATTTCAAACAGTATGAAGAGTGCCATTCAGCAAAACTATTAAGAATACATGAAATTGTATAACAAAATGACACCTGAGTAGGCCGACAGTTCTGGATTATTTCCTGCCATTTTCCATGTATCCTGGCGACCAAGTCTTTCACCTTAAAAATATCAAAAACAGGAAAAGGGATCAGATTAAAACATTCTCACCTACAATCAGCTTAACACTACACAAAATATCTGACAGCTGCAACAGGCCCACACTCAACAACTCAATTTGATTTCTGTCAACAAAGAGAAAATAAACTACTCATCTTTTGAAGGAGATTTCAAATCATAGAAATTAATAAGACTCCCTTTATCATCATAATCTAAACTATTGAATGCTTATGATTTAATTTTCCTGTTATTGAAGATCATCCCCAAAAACACATTCTCTGCCTTCAAAGGAACTTAACTTTAACTCGCTGGCTTTTGAACAACCAGATAGAGAAGCTGAAGGGTGGTCTGTGTCAACAGGGCCCAAGGCTTTGGCTGTTCTGTGCCTTCCCTTCCCAGCTTCCCTTTGAAAGGATCAAAGCCATAAAAAAAACGTTTATTTGTCCCTCTCCACATTATTAGAAGATCCAAAATTCACTGTTACTCCTCTCCATGCTTGTGCCCAAGTACTACGAATCCCCTTTAAATACCTCGTATTTTCCTACATTTGGAGGTTTAGCAAGTGTCTGTGCACAACTGAAACTGTAACACAAAACCCAAACTCTATCACTCTAGAGATTCTCAATTAGCTATTGAACATAACTGCTTGAGAAACATGTTTTCAACAAGTCAGGAATTTTATAGCAGCTTTAAATTTATAAAGTAAACTACAATCTATGCTTTTTTCTTCATCTACAGTTCAAATTTCTCCAAAACAATCACCAACTTTTCTATAATAGAGGCTTTTGGAGAGGCAGGCAACTCATCTATTTCAGCAGGACCATCCCTTGAAGCAATTTCCACAGACCACTGTGTCGCTTTCCACTTTAAGTAAGAGAAGCACTGGCAACAATCTGTGCCAAGCCCTTGTCTTTAAGAAACATAAAACTTGGGTGGTCCCCTTTTAGCATGGCTGTCAGTAGTAGCCACTACCAAGTTCTACAGGCCAGCAATTCTGGTCAATGAATGCTCAAAAGAATGTGCTTCTGAAACTAGAGTTCTACTCTTGGGGAAAGAGCTATCCCCTACATGTATTTGAAAATCAGAAATCTGATAACTTCATTAGTTGCTTATTTTTGTATTTAACTTAAATTTACTAAAATAAATACATATGTTAAATCTGAATGGGCATTGTTCAAATGACTAACCTTTGCAGCTAATTAATGTAAGATATTAAGTTACAAAGCTGAGGCTTCACATTCAATGACTATCCAAAGACAAGAGGCAAAAAGAATCAGCATTGTATTACATTATCAAAGCTAAAAGATAATCTTGGAATAAAAAAATCTTTAGAAAAAAGTATGTTTATTTTATTTTGTTTTATTTATTATTATTATTTTTTGAGACAGAGTCTTGCTCTGTCGCCCAGGCTGGAGTGCAGTGTCGAGATCTCAGCTCACTGCAAGCTCTGCCTCCTGGGTTCAAGGGATTCTCCTTCCTCAGCCTCCTGAGTAGCTGAGACTACAGGCACGCACCACCACACCTGGCTCATTTTTGTATTTAGAAAAAAGTATTTTAAAAGTGTCTGATTTTATGTTTCAGGAAAAACTGTCAAATCATTCTATTAATACTAACATTATTTTCCTACTCCATACTCATATATTTGGCTTTTCTACTGTCTTTGAGTATATAAAACCTTTAAGAAAAAAAGCTTAGCAAGCTTAGTGCTGAAATCATTTCCACCCTAGAGCTCAGACTAGGTGTTGTACGACCCAAAGATTTGAAGACTCCTGGCTGGGTGTGGTGGCTCACACCTCTAATCCCAGCTCTTTGGGATGCCGAGGCAGGCAGATCACGAGGTCAGGAGTTCGAGACTAGCCTGGACAACACAGTGAAACCCCGTCTCTACTAAAAATACAAAAAAAAAAAAAAATTTGCCGGGCATGGTAGCGGGCGCCTGTAATCCCAGTTACTTGGGAGGGTGAGGCAGGAGAATCGCTTGAACCTGGAAGGCGGGGGTTGCAGTGAGTCGAATTTGTGCCACTGCACTCCAGCCTAGGCAACAAGAGTGAAACTCCATCTCAAAAAAAAAAAAAAAAAAAAAAAAAAAAAAAAAAAAATTGAAGACTCCTTCCTTTAACATATTCTTCAATGAAACATTCAAAGAATAACAGCTAATCTATTTGTACTCTATGAATAAAACAAGTTTTCAACCATCATAAAATTTCAAAGCCACTGTTTCATAACTTACGTATTTATTTAAATAATGCTTCAATCCTTGATGGTAACTTAAGCATGAAGGTTTTAATTTGTGTAATGGGGAAAAATATGTATCATTAGTACTAGAAGTATTTTTCTCCTTGGGTGTCAGGAGTTTCAGAACAGAAAGTAAAGTGAAAAGTGTATTTGCTTTGAGATTTTTTTTCCTTTCACTTTTAATTTAGCTACACTAATTTAGCAGGAGCTGATTTCTGTTATTAAAAGAGAAAGTCCTATTTCTAATCTTACATGTTTCTTTTTGTTTTCGAGACAGAGTCCTACTCTATCTCCCAGGCTGGAGTGCCATGTGTGTTCATAGCTCACTGCAACCTCAAACTCCTAGGCTCCAGTGATCCTCCTGCCTCAGCCTCCCAAGTAGCCAGAACTACAGGTGCATGACACCATGCCTGGCTATTTTTCAAAAATTTTTGTAGAGATGGAGTCTTGCTATGTTGCCCAGGCTGGTCTTGAACTCCTGGCTTCAAGCAATCCTCCTGTCTCAGCCTCCCAAAGTATTGGGATTACAGGCATGAGCCACCATGCCTAGCCTTATATGTTCTTTTTCTGAATATAGGCCTGTATGCTTCTATCCTTAAATATTAACGTAACCAAGATTAAGAAAAAAAAAAAGAAAAAAAGAAAGAACACACTTACCTTAGTTCTGTAAAAAAGTCTTGCATCTTCCCTAATATCACATTTAACATGCTTTTCCAAAGCCCCACAGAGTAGCACAAAGTGTTTCTGTGCAAAACAAATGCAAGGGATGAAAACAATTCTGAAGCATTACAAATTAACAAAGAAATTATGCAGCTAGAACAACTAAATCATTTAAAAATCTATTATTCCTGTTAGCAATGACTGATATTAACTATTCAACGTAACAGTAGTTGTATCAGTGAAAGCTGCTTCCATGACAATAAGATTACTAGTTTAAAAAATACACACTGTAACAAAAGTTGTTTTGCTATGCATTAACTCGCATTAATGAAAATTAACCCCAGAGCTCTAACTGGGTAATATAGTACTCAGAAATTTAAAGAGTCCTTCCTTTAACATACTCGCTAACAAAATATTCAGACAACGGCTAGCCTTTTAAAAAAAAAAAAAGAAAAAAATTTTTTAAAGAAATGGGGTCTGGCTCTGGTGCCAGGCTGGAGTGCAGTGGCACAATTATAGCTCACTGCACCCTTGAACTCCCCAGCTCAAGTGCTCCTCCAGTCTCAGCCTCCTGATTAGCTAGGATTACAGGCATGCACCACCGTGCCCAGTTCTTTTTTTTTTTTTTTGAGACAGAGTCTTGCTCTGTCACCCAGGTTGAAGTGCAGTGGTGCGATCTCAGCTCACTACAACCTCTGGCTCCCAGGTTCAGGCGATTCTCTGCCTCAGCCTCTTGAGTAGCTGGGATTACAAGTGTGCACCACCATGCCCAGCTAATTTTTATATTTTTAGTAGAGACAGGTTTTGCCACGTTGGCCAGGCTAGTCTCAAACTCCTAACCTCAGGTGATCCACCTGCCTCAGCCTCCCAAAGTGCTGGGATTACAGGTGTGAGCCACCGCGCCCAGCCAATATTTTTTTAATTTTTAAATTTTTTTTGTGGAGACAGGGTCTCACTTTGTTGCCAAGGCTAGTGTCAAATGCATGGCTTCAAGTGATCCTCCCACTTCAGACTCCCAATGTGTTGAGATACAAGCATGAGCCACTGCGACTCGCTAGCACAACACTGGCCCATTTGATATTTGGTGATGTTGGTATCTTATGAATGTATTATACTGCTGCCAAGGTATAATGGTTAAATTCCACTCCAACAAACAGAGCTAACATTTGTTGACAAATAATGTTTTCAATATGACATGATTACAAGACCACTATCATGCCCCTCTTTCTGGTATATATGGGAATTCTTATAGCAAAATCAGTTTGTGACTTTTTTTTTTTTTAAGAGATAGGGTCAGCCGGGCGAGGTAGCTCACACCTGTAATTCCAACACTTTGGGAGGCCGAGGCGGGCAGATCACAAGGTCAGGAGATCAAGACCATCCTCACTAACATGGTGAAAACCCGTCTCTACTAAAAATACAAAAAAATTAGCCGGGCGTGGTGGCGGGTACCTGTAGTCCCAGCTACTCGGGAGGCTGGGGCAGGAGAATGGCGTGTACCCGGGAGGCAGAGCTTTCAGTGAGCCGAGACTGTGCCACTGCACTCCAGCCTGGGTGACAGAGTGAGACTTCATCTCAAAAAAAAAAAAAAAAGAGAGTCTTGCCTTGTTATCCAGGCTGGAGTGCAATGGTGGGATCATAGCTCACTGCACCTTTGAACTCATAGGCTCAAGTAATCTTCACATCTCAGTCAGTCTTCTGGGTAGCTGGGACTACAGGTACGTGCCACCACACTTAGCTAGTTTTTGTTTTTTTGTAGAGACAGCATCTTGCTATGTTGCCTAAGCTGGTTTTAAACTCCTAGGCTCAAGCAATCCTCCTGTCTCTGCTTCCCCAAGTGTTGGATTACAGGCATGAGCCACCACACCTGGCCTATTTTTTTTTCTATAGGAACAAGATAACCTTTCATTAATAGAGGTTCATACTTAATTCTTTGAAAAATTATGCATCTTAAATTTTAGAAATGTATAGACCTAAGCAGTTCTCTCACATATACTTGGTGAGAACGTAAATGAACACTTTCTGGGATGAAAATGTGATAATAGCGATTTAAAATAATTAAAATTTGAAATATTTATAAACTTTGATCTAACAATTCTACTTCTAGGAATTTACCTTATAGCTATGCTTGCAGAAGTGGGCAAAGATATATGAATAAGCATGTTCATATTAACACTATGTGCAATCACAAAAAACATACTGTTTATCAATAAAGGTTTCAAAATACTATAGTTATTAGATAGAAGTACAAATATTTGATTTTTTATATATTTTTTTGAGACAAGGTCTCACTCTGTCACCCAGGCTGGAGGGCAGTGGCATGACCACAGTGCATGGCAGCCTCAACCTCCTCAGGCTCAGGTGTTCCTCCTGCCTCAGCCTCCCAAGTAGTTGGGACTACAGGCATGCATCACCATGCCCGGTTAATTTTTTTTTTTTTTGTAAAGATGGCATGCTGCTCTGTTGCCTAGGCTGGACTTGAACTCCTGGGCTCAAGCGATCTGCATGCCTCGGCCTACCAAAGTGCTAGTATTACAGTTGTGAGCCACTGCGCCCAGCCAAGTGCTAATGTCTTAAAGAGGAGGCCGGGCACAGTGGCTCACGCCTGTAATACCAGCACTTTGGGAGGCTGAGGCGGGTGGATCACTTGAGGTCAGGAGTTCGAGACCAGCCTGGCCAACATGATGAAACCCCGTCTCTACCAAAAATACAAAAATTGGCCAGCATCATGGCACATGCCTCTAGTCCCAGCTACTCGGGAGGCTGAGGCAGGAGAATCACTTGAACCCAAGAGACGGAGGTTGCAGTGAGCTGAGATCGTGCCACTGCACTTCAGCCTGGGTGACAGAGCAAGACTGTCTCAAAAAGAAAAAAAAATTTTTTTTTAAAGAGGAAAAAAAGGAAGTTGCAAATGATACTATGATTACATTTTTGTTAAAATAATTGTTAGTATATTATATGTAATATATTAGTAAATTGTGAAGAAATTTACAGGAGGGCACTGGATTGTAGGAGTCTTTCAGGTTTTACTTTATATAAGTTTTACAATAATCACTAAATTTTTTTTTTTTTTAAACAGAGATGGCATTGCCCAGGCTGCTCTTGAACTCCTGGGCTCAAGTGATCCTCCTGACTCAGCCTCCCAAAGTGCTGGGATTACAGGCATGAGCCACCATGCCCAGTCACTGACTTTTTTAATCATAAAAAGTAATTTATAGCCGGCATGGTGGATCAGGCCTGTAATCCCAGCACTTTGGGAGGCCGAGGTGGGCGGATCACAAGGTCAGGAGTTCGAGAGCAACATGATCAACATGGTGAAACCCCATCTCTACTAAAAATACAAAAATTAGCTGGGTGTGGATGTGGTGGCAGGCGCCTGTGATCCCAGCTACTTGGGAGGCTGAGGCAGGAGAATCGCTTGAACCTGGGAGGCAGAGGTTGCAGTGAGCCAAGATTGTGCTAGTGCACTCTAGCCTGGGTGACAGAGCAAGACTCCGTCTCGAAAAAAAAAATGTATAAAATATAAAAACCATGTAAGAACATTACAGATGACTATATTAGCTTCTAATCAGAAGAGCAAACACTTTTTGTTTTTGAGACAGAATTTTGCTCCTGTTGCCCAGGCTGGTGTGCAATGGCGTGATCTCAGCTCACTGCAACCTTCGCCTCCTGGGTTCAAGCAATTCTCCTGCCTCAGGCTCCCCAGTAGCTGGGATTACAGGTGCCCACCATCACGCCCGGCTAATTTTTGTATTTTTAGTAGAGACAGGGTTTCACCATGTTGGTCAGGCTGGTCTCGAACTCCTGATCTCAGGTGATCCACCCGCCTCAGCCTCCCAAAGTGCTGGGATTACATGTGTGAGCCACTGTGCCCAACCGCAAACACAGTTTTATATACAACAGCATTTATAAAAACATAAGAATTAGTCTTGTGTCTTTTCTATCATGTCTAGGAGATACTATGTATTTTTTTCTTTTTTTTTTTTTTGAGGTGGAGTCTCCCTCTGTTGCCCAGGCTGGAGTATAGTGGTGTGATCTCAGCTCACTGCAACCTCCACCTCCTGGGTTCAGGCAGTTCTCCTGCTTCAGCCTCCAGAGTAGCTGGGATTACAGGTGTCTGCCACCATGCCCAGCTAATTTTTTTTTTGTATTTTTAGTAGAGACAGGGTTTCATCATGTTGGCCAGGCTGGTCTCGAACTTCTGACCTCAAGTGATCCGCCCGCCTTGGCCTCCCAAAGTGCTGGGATTACAGGCATGAGCCACCACGTCCAGCCTAAGGTTTTTTTTTTTGAGATGAAGTCTCGCTCTGTTGCCCAGGCTGGAGTGCAATGGCACGATCTTGCCTCACTGCAACCTCCGCCTCCTGGGTTCAAGCGATTCTCCTGTCTCAGCCTCCCGAGTGGCTGGGATTACATGCACGCACCAACACGCCCGGCTAACTTTTTGTATTTCTGTAGAGACGGGGTTTCACCATGCTGGCCAGGCTGGTCTTGAACTTCTGACCTCAAGTGATCCACCCACCGCACCCTCCCAAAGTGCTGGGATTACAGGGGTGTGCCACCGTGCCCGGCATGTCCGACCTAAGTTTTAAAACAGGAATTGGAATAGTTAAGATATGAAATAAAAGGAATTAAGCAAGATCTTTCCCCAGGAGTATGGGAAGAATAATTCAAAATGAAAATCTGAATATTAGAAATGCATTTCCAAAGCAGCCTGCCTTACCATCAGTTTAATTTTGAAGGCAAATGTTATTTCTAAAGGAACAAAAGGGGAATGGCAAAGAAATGGGAAGAAACGAGCTAAAAGCTGGCTGTATGGCAGATGCATCTGACAGCAATAACTAAAGCATACTCTGAAAATGAACCTATGGTCTAAGAAGAATGTGTAACTGGAGTCCCAAGCCAAATAATCTGGGAGTGGCCAACATGGAGTTTCACTCCTTACCTATGAAGGACATCTGAACCCCCGGCTCATCCCTTGTAAGGCCATACGGGATGCAGGCCCTTTGTTCTTGGTTACATGGAGGTTGCTAGGTAAAGGGTGCTAAGTGAAAATGCTATGTAAACTGCATGGTCTCTACAGATGGTAGCAGTTCTCCTGTGTAGCCTGCTGCCACCTGACTGCCATTTCTACTGGAGTCAATATGGGTCCAGCACAACACCAGCCCATTTGGTATTTGGTGATGTTGGTATCTTATGAATATATTATACTGCTGCCAAAGTATAATGGTTAAGTTCCACTCCAACAAACAGAATTAACATTTGCTGACAATTCTTTTCTTCTTTTTTCTGAGATGGAGTTTCACTCTTGTTGCCCAGGCTGGAGTGCAGTGGCGCAATCTCGGCTCACTGCAACCTCCACCTCCCGGGTTCAAGCGATTCTCCTGCCTCAGCCTCCCGAACAGCTGGGATTACAGGCACCTGCCACAACGCCTGGCTAATTTTTTTGTATTTTTAGTAGAGATGGGGTTTCACCATGTTGGCCAGGCTGGTCTTGAACTCCTGACCTCAAGTGATCCACGCACCTTGGCCTCCCAAAGTGTTGGGATTACAGGCGTGAGCCATGGCGCCTGGCCAACAATTCTTTTCAATACGATATAGTTACAAGACCATTATCATGCCCCTCTTTCTGGTATACATGGGAATTCTTATAGCAAAATCAATTAGCTTTTATATTAAGAAAAGTTTACATAGTTTTCTCCTATATAAAGCATGCTCACTCATTCCATCATCAGTAACACCTATTTAAAAACAGCAGCAACAACACTAAACACTACCTACCCGTTGTCCAGAAGAAAAAGAATGAGAACAACTAACTTCACCGACTAAATGAAGAAGAATGTAGGTCAGGTAATATGCCTGTTAGAGAAATGAATAAAATTAACACCTATGAATTAGCTAGCATAGATGTCATTCCAATTTACACATTAGGAAAATTGCCCAGGAAGGATAAAGGATACGGTCAAGTTAACCCAGCTGGTCAGTAAGTAAAAGCGAAGCATCTAAACTAGGCTTTCTCATTTCTAACTCAAGTGCATTCTTTTTACCATGATTCATGACCTCACGACTGCCCTAATAAAGGGCTACAAAAAATACTCTTGGGAGCAAATTACCAACAATCATCCTTTTACCTAAATTTTCAACTCTCAAATTTATGGAAGAATTTCATGACAGTGATAAATTAAAAATATTATTCGCTTTAAAATTATGTTTGCTAGAATGTGTCTAGTGTCCAAATCCAGAAATGCCTACATATCAGTCTATGGTTAGTAAGCTGATAACAGTTATGCTTCTATGTACTCTTTGAGACCTTCTAGCACTGGATACCTGCTTTTCAAGTTCTAAATGAAGACTGTCATCAATAATGCCATCTGGTTGTTCAGCCTTTTTCTTCAAGACCATTTTCTTTAACAAATCAGAAGGCTTCATCTGCACAAGATAGCGATGTAGGACTGATACCTATCAAAAGAAAGAGGAGACATTGAACAAAGCTAAATAATATAGTTGTTCTTTCTTAGGCTATTTTTTTCCAGTGTGTACTCTTTCATTTTGTCCTTTTATTATAGCTTTCTTTACACTTAACAATATCCATTTTCCCTTTATGTAAAACCCTGAATTGCTTAAAAAGGGATTTTAAGTGGTCGGGCACGGTGGCTCACACCTGTAATCCCAACACTTTCAGAGGCCAAGGGAGGTGAATCACCTGAGGTTAGAGGTTCAAGACCAGCCTGGCCAACGTGGAGAAACCCCGCCTCTACTAAAAATACAAAAATTAGCTGGGCATGGTGGCACATGCCTGTAGTCCTAGCTACTCGGGAGGCTGAGGCACGAGAATCACTTGAATATGCGGGGTGGAGGTTGCAGTGAGCCGAGATTGTGCCACTGCATTCCAGCCTGGGTGACAGAGCAATACTACATCTCTCAAAAAAAAAAAAAGGGATTTTAAGTTAAAGATTTAGTACTTGTAACTTAGGATAAATGCTTAGGAGACCAAACGATATTATCATAGAGGCCACAGGGAATGCTTTCTCTGTTAAATTATTTGAAAGTCAACAAAGTTGACTCTGTGGTTAGAAGTCATTGAATTCTGAGAAGAACTACAAGAAGTTGTGGTAAAAATCACAACTAGATTGTTACTTGAATATCAGTTAGTGAGTTTGAGGGTTAATTATTCATGTAATTATTCAGCTAATTATTCTATTTTACATGGGCAAAAAAGGAAAAAGTAACAGAACAACAAAAGTTAGGAGAAATGGTAGAAATCCTATCCCCGGATCTCTTTTGAAGGCAGTAAATATCAATGAAAGGAATGAGAACTATCTGCTAATTATCCTGGTAGCTCCAGCATGATCCCCATATATCTGGAATCAAATCTACCTCAATTCTACTAAAGCAGAAACCAGCTGTGCCCATCAGTCTCTCCATCCCACAGCATCTCGTGCATGCTTCGATTACTGTTCTTACCACACTAACCCATAAGAGTTGGTTAATTTTGTTTCAACCATTAGATTATGTTTTCAAGGGCAGAGTCTCTAATCTAAATCTTTGTTTGTTTTAATTCCTAGGATCTGGTGGCATACCTTGTACCAAATTGCAATTCAAACAAGAACAAAGGGACATCCAGATCAGGTTCTATGGGGCTTTTTTTTGAGACAGAGTCTCGCTCTGTTGCCCAGGCTGGAGTGCGGTGGCGTGATCTCGGCTCACTGCAAGCTCCACCTCCTGGGTTCATGTCATTCTCCTGCCTCAGCCTCCCGAGTAGCTGGGACTACACGTGTCCGCCACCATGCCCGGGTAATTTTTTTGTATTTTTTTTAGTAGAGACGGGGTTTCACCGTGTTGGCTAGGATGGTCTTGATCTCCTGACTTCGTGATCCACCTGCCCCGGCCTCCTAAAGTGCTGGGATTACAGGCGTGAGCCACTGTGCCCATCCTATGGTGAGTTTTCAAATCCAAGCAAGGGCAGCCCCATTAGTGCTATCAATGTTTATAAAAAGCCTTCAGAATTTTACTCAGAGTGGGACTTCCATTGGACATTTTTTTTAATTAAAAACATTCATATATATATTAAAGACAAGGTCTCCCTATGTTGCTTAGGTTGGACTTGAACTCCTGGATTCAAAGGATCCTCTGGCCTCAGCCTCCCAAGTAGCTGGGACGATAGGTGTGTGCCACCAGTACCCAGCAACAGCTGGACATGTTTATCCACACTCTCATATATACATGATATATTCTTACTGAACAAGTACTAGAGGGCAACTACATTTAAGCTCTATGATCTAAAAAGACTCATTTTAAAACAGGTTAAAGATGCAATCAATGTACAAGGGTTTTGCAATTTCTAATCTTGTGATAAAATTGCTAACTTGGAAAAGCTGAACTAATTCAATAAATGAAATCATATTCATATAATTGCACATTATGATTTTCCCAGTAGTTTCTTTATACATTAATTCACATCTGATTGTCCACAACCACCCTAAGTGGTGGAGGGTGCAATATTATCTCCATTTCACAGATGAAAAAATTGGATCTTGTTAGTTAAGTGTGCTAGAGATTACATGAACAGTATCAAGCTTAAGAGCTGAGCTCTGACCCCAGGACCTTTGACTTAGGGTTCATCAATTTTCCTTACACCTCTCATTACCTCTCCCATTTATTAAAAATAAAAATGTATTTATTTATACCTGCAGATTACTGGCATTAGGAACATCTTCGTGTTTCTCATCCAAAAGCTTTGAAATAATCACTAGACTGAGGCACTGTCTCAGTTGCCTAGAATTAGAAGTTAAAAGTATTTAGAATGTATTTTAATTAATACTGCTTGAAAAGCAAATGAATGAGCCAAGAGGAGCTCTAGTTCTAATTGGAAATATAGGCAATGTTTCAAGAGAAGTCTGTACAGGAACATATAAGCTGTTATAGAACAGTAAAATTTTCATGTAAAATATCTGTACATAAAACTTGAGTTATCTGAAGCTCAATAAATCATTTAACGGCCTTATCTTTGACCCTGATGATTTACTGACAGAAAACCTATTTTTTTACTGATGAAATTTATTTTTACTAAAGCAAAAAAAAGCTAATTCATTTATTTTTGTGGAATATGTCATCTGTATTAAGGTAACAGATAAACTAAAATTAAAAATAAAAAAATATTCAGCTTGGGTGACAGAGTGAGACTCTTGTCTCAAAAAAAAAAAAATTACATAATGACCTGAGTTAAGAATTAGAATAAGGCAGAATCAGGCTATCAATGCCTTTTCTCGCAACTGAATATGAAATAAACATATCTGATCTAACATTCAAAGAATGATGAATGGAAATAAACAACCCAAGGCATTTCATTAATGTAAAATTATAAAATTTCTTAATGTTTAATTTTCACTTTTTAATACCTTCCACGTGATGTCCAATTAGGGACCAGCTGTACCAACCACAGGAGGTTGTGGGGATGACTGGAGAGTTCATTTATGCCCAGACAGAGTTCAGGCACCTGAAAAAAAAGAACATGTAAGATTTCTTTTCAAACAGAACAGTAGAATAAAACACCCAACAGATCATCTACAACCCTTCTTGACATAATGGAAGCACTAGTACAAAACAGAGCACATTTTTAGAAATAGCATGGAGTCTAGAATCTGCTAAAATGTACACAATACACAGATTCAGTTTTACTTATACTATCTTAAATGGACTGAACAGATACATTTAGCAGAATTTCACTTGGCTTTCACGTTTTGTACTACATCATATCTCCCATTGATATTTAAACAGTCCTTCTTGGAAAGATAAACTGATCTAAATACAAATGTGTATGAGAGCTGTACAAGACCATATATGTTCCTGATTTGGGATTTCTTGCACTTTAGGGATCCTATTCCAGTATTTTTAAAAGCCTAACACCTGGCCAGGTGTGGTGGCTCAAGCCTGTAATCCCAGCACTTTGGGAGGCCGAGGGAGGTGAATCACTTGAGGCCAGGAGTTTGAGACCAGCCTGGCCAAAATGGTAAAACCCTGTCTCTACTAAATACACAGAAATTAGCTGGGCGGAGTGGCATGTATCTATAGTCTCATCTACTCGGGAGGTTGAGGAATGAGAATCGCCTGAATCCGGAAGGCAGAGGCTGCACTGAGACAAGACTGCGCCACTGCACTCCTGCCTGGGTGACAGGAGATGCTGTCTTACAGAAAAAAAAAAAAAAAAAAGCCTAACACCCCCAAAATATGTATTACCATTGTGTATCAATTTTTAAAAAAGCGTAACAGTTGCTTCAAAATAATCTGATGAGCAGGGAAAGGAAATATAGGGTCGGTTTTACATTAGGCAAGATTATGTCTCAATTATTGAAGCAAAGTGATACTTAGGAATTTATTATACTCTTTGCCTTACTTTTGCATATTTTAATTTTTCCACCAAAAAAGACTGAAAAATATAATTTTTAAAAAGGCCTAACAAAAATTATACATGTTCATCCTCCATATGGTTGCAGAAGTTCAACTCAAATTCTGGTTGTAGGTATGACTCACTCCATCATTTCATTTAGGTCTCTGCTCCAAGGTTATTTTGGAAAGGCCTTTCCCTGCCAGCCTTATATGAAATAGCATAGCATCTGGTCTTGCTGTACTCATGTCCTGCTTTATTTTCATTTGTAGTACTTAACTACTACCTGACATGATAATATAATCAACATTTACTTGTTTATCTAACCCTTTGACTAGGACAAAAGCCCCATGAAGGCAAAGGCTTTGTCTCTTTCACAGCTCAATCTCTAGCACCTACATTAATGCTTAGTCCATAGGAAATCCCCAATAAACACATTTTTGTTGGATAAAGAGTTGAAGTTTTAGAAAAAATTCAATTATCACGAATTTAAATAATACAGCTCCAGCAAACATTCCCTTCCTCAGTTCATTTTTAATCCGCCAAAGATCTTGAGTTTAGAAACAGTATTAATTCCATATGCACTATGAGTCAAATTGTAATGCTATATAAAAAATGAATAATGAAGTTTTAAGTAACATTACCTTTGTGTTCCAATCTCTGATGTTTTTCATCAGGTTTATCAGGAGGCTTTGAAAGTCTACTAAAGGAATCTGTTTCAGCTGTTTTTCCAAACTCATTTTAAATAACATTAAAATCAGCAACATTATTTCACGATCCTGGTAACCTTCTGGATGTATAGATGTACACAAGCCTAGAAACTGTTTAACATAAATGCACAGACAAAAATATTTTAGGAGGTATATTTTACTTTTAGAGTTTTAATTATAAACTCTTTTTGACAAAAGATGCAAAAAAGAACTATAAAGAAAACAAACATCCGATGTCTAGAGAAAAGAAGGCAAGAACTACTCAATGTTAATAGTTGAATTAAGTGGCATTTTCTTCTCCATTTTCCATTTTTGAGATTTTCTTAATGGTTCTGTATCACTGATTCAATTCAGCAACTAAAAATGTTTCACACTGTCATTAACTCTTTTTTTTTTTATCTTCTTTTTTTTGAGACGGAGTCTCACTCTGTCGCCCAGGCTGGAGTACAGTGGTGTGATCTCGGCTTACTGCAACCTCCACCTCCCGGGTTCAAGTGATTCTCCCGCCTCAGCCTCCCCAGTAGCTGGGATAACAGGCACCTGCCACCACGCCTGACTAATTTTTTTTTTGTATTTTTAGTAGAGATGGGGTTTCACCATGTTGGCCAAGCTGGTCTTGAGCTCCTGACCTCAGGTGATCCACCCGTCTTGGCCTCCCAAAGTGCTGGGATTACAGGCATGAGCCACCGCGCCCGGCCTCTGCCATTAACTCTTGATTACTAAGTTGTATTGTAAGTCTTTTTTCTTCATACATCCTACTTATAAAAAACTATTGGTTTCAAAACTATTTAATGATGTAACTGACTTAAAGTTCTGTTCATCACTAATATTAAAACAAAATAAAAACAGCAAAAACAATTTTTAATACAAAGATTATTGCTAAGAAATTTCAGAGACTGGAAATCACCTGGTAAGAAACTAGAGAGTTTTTTTTTTTTTTTTTTTTGAGACAGAGTCTTGCTCTGTTGCCCAGGCTAGAGTGCAGTGGCACGATCCCGGCTCACTGCAAGCTCCGCCTCCTGGGTTCACGCCATTCTCCTGCCTCAGCCTCCTGAATAGCTGGGACTACAGGTACCCGCTGCCATGCCTGGCTAATTTTTTGTATTTTTAGTAGAGACGGGTTTTCACCGTGTTAGCCAGGATGGTCTCGATCTCCTGACCTTGTGATCTGCCCGCCCTGGCCTCCCAAAGTGCTGGGATTACAGGCGTGAGCCACCGCGCCCGGCCGAGACTTTTTTTTTTTTAAAAACCATTAACCACAGACTAAATGGTTCTAGCTCTGAGCAGAAGACACATAAAAGTTCTTTCCTACCTTAACCACATTTAAAATGTTGGTTTCAGGAAGTGTTGAAAAAATTGGCTTATAAGATGAATCTTCACTTTCTTTCCCCCTTGATGTTGTCTGTGTTTCAGAACTATTGAGAAGTGAGTAAAGCAATGTGAAGTTAGGCACAAAATATATAACTCACTTTAAGAAATTCTGGGCTACTTTTTAAAAACTATGTTTTATCGAGGTATAATTTACATACAATAAAAGGAATGTACCCATTTTAAGTTTTGATAATCATATATACTAATGTAACCACCATCCAAATCAAGAAATAGAACATTTCCATTCCCCTCAAAAGTCTCTTTATGCCAAATCCAAGTCAATCTGCTATCCCTGACTCAAGGCAAACACTAATGATTTCTATCATTATGCATCAGTTTTCTCTTGAACAAGCTACTTTTTATATGGTACTATCCTCATTGCTGTTGGTGTTAGAGAGCTATGTAGAAGATGGCTCTGACTAAAAAGAATTCATAATAGGTAAAAGACTCATAAATGGCCTAAAGAAACTGCTATAGCAATATACAGAAACAATTCAAAGCACTCTAGTTATCAGAGGTTATCAGTGAAGATTCATGAAAAAGGAGATGCATGAACTTAGCTTTCAAAAGATAGATAACATTTTTAATTTTTTGAAAAAATAATACTTTTATATGGTTTTAAAAAATCAAAATATATTAAGGTACAGTATGCTGTGATAAACTGCCCTCCTAGCTCCGTTCTTTATAACCACTCGTTTCCTTCCTAAGATAATTACTACAAGTTTTAGTCCTTCCTTCCATTGGCATTTTATGTATAAACAAACAAATATGAATATATGTCCCACTGTGGTATAAGAAGAAATACATTTGATCTTTGTCCCCAATTCCTGGCACAGAGCTCCTAAAACCTCTGGAATGTCTGATAAGGTAGAAGGAGCCTCTTTTGTTATTTATAATAAGCCCTTTTCAACCATACCTAAATTTATGCTAATAATATTGTGACTCCTAGAGGATGGGGGCTGGTTGCCAGAGTTATCAATCATGTGACTAGAAGGCTGAAACTTTCAGTCCCACCCAGAGGGGTTAAAGATTAAAATGGCTAATGCTTTAATCAACCAGGCCCGTGTAATGGGCCCTCCATAAATACCCTAAAGTTCAGAGAGCTTCTGGATTGGCTAAGGCATCAAATGATGAGAGAGTGGGTGGGGTGGGGTGGGCTCACACCTGAATCCCAGCACTTTGATAGGCTGAGGCAGGCGGATAGCCTGAGCCCAGGAGATCAAGACTAGCCTGGGCAATACGGCAAAATTTGGCTGGGCATGGTGGCTCACGCTTGTAATCCCAGCACTTTGGGAGGCTGAGGCAGGCAGATCACCCGAGGTCAGGAGTTCGAGACCAGCCTGGCCAACATGGTGAAACCCCATCTCTGCTAGAAATAGAAAAATTAGGCTGGCGTGGTGGCGGGTGCCTGTAATCCCAGCTACTCGGGAGGCTGAGGCAGGAGAATCACTTGAACCTGGGAGGTGGAGGTTGCAGTGAGCTGAGATCACACCACTGCACTCCAGCCTGGGCGACAGCAAGACTTCAAAGGCAAAACTCTTGTCTTCTCTATTAAGGAAGAAAGAAAAAAAAATGATGGGAAGGTGGAGTACCTGGAGAGGCCAGGGAAGTTCTATGCACTCCCATCCCCATACCTTGCGCAACGTATCTCTTCCATTTGGCTGTTCTTGAGTTGTACCCTTTACAGCAAACCAATAATAGTAAGTAAACTGCTTTCCTGAGTTCTGTGAGCCATTCTAGCATATTATTGAACATAAATGGGAGGAGGACTGTAGGAACTCCTGATTTATAGCTAGTTGTTTAGAAGAAAAGGAAGCCCAGACTTGTGATTCCATATGAAGTGGTGGCAGTCTTGTGGGATTGAGTCCTTAACCTGTGGGCTCTGTGCTAACTCTGGGTAATTAGAACTAGAATTGCATTAAACTGCAGGACATCTAGTTGGTGTCTACAGGGAACTGGAGAAATGACAATGTGTAGAAAACCTATATATTTGATGCCAGAAGTGTTGTAAATGTAGAGGAAACATTTTTTTACCCTTTATCACTCCCCCTCCACCTTTAATACAAATGTTAGTATATTACATACCTTTGCAGCTTCCTTTTCTCACTTAGCAATGTATCTTGGAGATACTTCCACAGCTACATGTGAAGAACTTGTTTTTCAAAATAGCTGCTTAGTACTTCTTTGCGCCCCTTCCTAGTTGTATAACCTTGGGCAAGTTACTTAACCTCTCCGTGCTGACCTTACTTGTAAAATGGAAATGAAAATCTTACTAGTATTTGTAGTAACTACTAAGTGAGGTACTATGTGAAGCCCTTAGAACAGAGTCTGGCACACAGCAAACACTATATAAGGGCTAGTCATTATGGTGTGGAGGGACAGCAGGCAGATCAATTTGATTAGAAAGCCGACAACAAAACAGAAAACAGGTCAGGGTAAAATCGTAAAGTCTTAAATATAGGGTATAAAGGTTTGAGAATAGTAGAGAGCGAGTTCCTGCAACAGTGAAAATAATACCTTGCAGGTGGAAAGGCCCTGGAAGAAAGATTTTTTTGCCAGGCTAGGCATGAAAAGAGAATCTGAATTAGACTGACTCAGGAAATGAAAAGGAATGAATAGATATGACATAGGTGGAGGAAAAGGAACATAGGGATGTGAGAATTGAAGGGATACAGAATTGAAGGAGGTTAGAATGTATTTAGACTTAAATTTTAAGTCTATGTATCTAGCAGAATAATGGTCAAGAAAAGAATTGTACTAGTATCCCTTAATATCTGAATTTTCTCTATCTAAATATTTACTCTGACAATCTGCAAACATTTTCACTCTACATCTACTATTTGTATAGAGAACTTGCCATGATGAATATGCATATACACACCAGCAAAAATGGGTAAGCTGTGAGTCCTGGTTAAAAAAAGAAAAGTGATGGCCAGGTGCAGTGGCTCATGCCTGTAATCCCAGCACTTTGGGAGGCCAAGGTGTGAGGATTGCTTGAGCCCAGGATTTTGAGACCAGCCTGGGCAACATAGCCAGATCCACTCTCTATAAAAAGATTTAAAAACATTGGCCAGGCATGGTGGCGTGTGTCTGTAATCCCAGGGTACTCAGGAAGCTGAGGCAGGAGGGCCACTTGAACTCAGGAGTTCGAGGCTGCAGTGACCCATAACCGTGCCACTGCACTCCAGCCTCAGTGACAGACCAAGACCTCATCTCATGGAAGGAAGGAAGGAAGGAAGGAAGGAAGGAGAAGGGGCAGGGGCAGGGGGAGGGGCAGGGGCAGGAGCAGGGGCAGGGGAAGGGGGAGAAGTGGGGGAAGATGGGGAAGGGAGGGAAGGGAGGGAAGGAGGGGAAGGAAGAGAAGAAAAGAAAGAGAACAGTGAGTGGGGTTGTATCTTAACAAGTTCAAGCCAGGCACAGTGACTCACGCCTGTAATCCCAGCAGTTTGGGAAGCTGAGGCCGGCGGATCGCCTGAGCTCAGGGGTTCGAGACCAGCCTGGGCAACATGGCAAAACTTCGTCTCCACAAAAAATAAAAAAATATTAGCTGGGCGTGGTGGTGAGTACCTGTGGTCTCAGCTACTCAGGAGGCTGAGGTGGGAAGATCACTTGAGGCTGGGAGGTGGAGGTTGCTGTGAGCTGAGATTGTGTCACTGCACTCCAGCCTGCGCAACAAAGCAAGACCCTGTCTCAAACAAACACACACACACACATTTCCAGACTCATGCTCATGTTGTTTAAACAGGCATTTTGTTACACAGCACTCATTCCTTCACCAGATCACTTTTGTTAAGCTTGTGCCCATCTTTACTCACCAGTATACAACAATAGTGACTATAGCCACTACCAGTTTATTTCCACTACTGTACATGCTCACTAAAGTAAGAAAAATTCAAATTGTTGTATACAACATACAAAATTACTACACACTACTGAGTTCACTAAATGTTAAATAATAAAGTAGGAGGTATGTTAAATGTTTATATTATGCAGAAACTTGTGGTAACTTTTAAAATGTAAGTGTTTAAGAACATTCTTGTAATATTTAGGGGAAATAGTTGGGATTTTTGGATGGGCTGGGTAAACTATTTTTCCTATTTAAAGTGATGAAACATAGTCTCTAGCTGAAATGTTGCTATCCAACATATTTTCAGATACAGATTACATCTGAGTAACCAGGGATCCTATATGGAGTAGAAAGAGAATTTTCATAATGTTTAAGTGAAAACATTCAACTTTTTCCTCTTTTATTTCCTTTACCTTTCCATTTTTACTTCCTTTTCTGTGATCAGTCTATTCATTTCCTCTGCCCATTTTTCTAATAGGTATTGATCTTTTTCTTATTGACTTGAAATTAATACTTTGTCTGTAACCAGTTTCCTTTTTTTTTTTTAGATGGAGTCTCACTCTGTCACCCAGGCTGGAGTGCAGTGGTGTGATCTCGGCTCACTGTAACCTCCGCCACCCGGGTTCAAGTGATTCTCCTGCCTCAGCCTCCCAAGTAGCTGGGACTACAGGTGCGTGCCACTACACCTGGCTAACGTTTTTGTATTTTTAGTAGAGACAGGGTTTCACCATGTTGGTCACTGGTCTCAAACTCCTGACCTCAAGTGATCCGCCCGCCTTGGCCTCCCAAAGTGCTGGGATTACAGGCGTGAGCCACCATGCCTGGCCCCCACCTTTTTTTTTTTAAAGACAAGGTCTCACTCTGTCACCCAGGCTGCAGTACTGTGGTGAACTCGCTGCAACTTCCAATTCCCGGCCTCAAGTGATTCTCCTGCCTTGGCCTCCCCAAGTGTTGGGATTACAGGTGTAAGCCACCACACCCAGCCCAGTGTATCTTTTAACTAGTTACACTTCAGATATTTGAAGGTTATTGATTTCTCTTTACTAATTTTATACCCAGACACCCACACCAAATTTTCTTAGTTATTTGTCATAGTTTTTCACCTGAGTCTTAGGCTTCTATGTCTAGATTAACTCACATCTACAAATAATCTTTCAGCAACTCCTTTCCAATTTTTGTATCTCTTGTTTTTTTTCTCTTGTCTAATTACTTTGGCCAATACTTCCACCAAAACAATGTTAAATAACAAAGGAAAGTCTTTTAAAAAAGAAAACAAAACTTTTATGAGAATATTTCTATTATTTGCCTGCTAAACATGATGATGGCTTTTAGATTAAGACATGTTAAAAATGTATCTAATTCAAGATTGATCTCAACTTTGAGAGATCTTTTTAAAAATCAGAAATAAATATTAAACTTTAGCTATAATTATATATAAGTCGTACGAAATGATATTTTTGGCGTTAATTATGATGAGAAAACTTACACTAGATAGTCTTCATTAAAGTCTGGCTGAAGATTCTCCAGGGGAAACAAAGATCTAAAATCAATCCCCATATTGAAAAACACAGCTGCTACATCAGACAATGATGGGATCCATGGCCAAACTGGTGAGTCACTGAAGGTATCTAATTAACAGAAGAAAACATTTCATTCTAAATCTGTGGTCTACAAACCCACATTTGCAAGGTGACAGTCTGCAGGTGAAACATGAATAATTACAATGGTTTTATAGAAATGACAGCTGCTAATTTTATGCTAACAATACAGTTATAGGATGATCATAGGAATTACAGATTCCCAAATAAAATAAGAAAATGACATAAAGAAAATATCTGAGAGTGATGGATAAAAGGGTGTAACTCAGAAGGAAGTAACACATTTTAAAATGGCTGGAAATACCACTGATAAAATCCCAACTATCAATAACACAGGAAGACTTTTTATCATCTTCATTGCCTTTATAGTCCCAATCCCCAGGACAGATGAAACAGGTAAACCACTATGCTTGTTTTATTATAAGGGCTCTCAAAGATGAGAAAGCAAATGTTACACTTTTACAGTGGATGCTTTCAATATGCCTTACTGTATTATCAGTATAATACTGTTGCTTACCAATAAGCCAATTAAACTTAATTGGCTAAGTAAGTTTGGAACCATTTCCACTTATCAAGCAAAGTAAGCCATGATTTGGTAAACAGTAAGTGAGGGTTTCCACTTGCAAGATCTTATATTCTTTTTCTCAATGCAAGTAAGAAAATTCAGATACTCGTTGTTTAACTGAAGTTCCATTTCATTATTAAAGACTTTTGAGGTCGGGTGAGGTGGCTCATGCCTGTAATCCTAGCACTGTGGGAGGCCAAGATGGGTAAATTGCCCGAGCTCAGGAGTTCCAGACCAGCCTGGGCAGCAAGGTGAAACCCTGTCTCTACTAAAATACAAAACAATTAGCTGGGTATAGCGGTGTGTGCCTGTAGGCCCAGCTACTTGGGAGGCTGAGGCACGAGAATTGCTTGAACCAGGGAGGTGGAAGTTGCAGTGAGCTGAGATTGTGTCACTGCACTTCAGCCCGGGCGACAGCAAGATTCTGTCTCAAAAAAAAAACCAAAAAAAACGACTTTTGATTAGAAAAATAATTTTGTATTGTATATTTCCAAATATACTAACATTTAGCAATGTGAAAGATACCATGTAAATAGCAACCAATAATACACACGGTAAATCTTAATAAGTTGATATACTTACCATTTCTAATTGTTATTTCCATCAATGTACTTAAAATCTGCACTGACACAATACAGTCTGTATGAACTGACATCATCTGTCAAAAGCAGAGAAATGACAGGATATTAAGAAGAAAGAAAACACAAACATTCATTATTTGCTAGGCACATATAAAGTTGTTTTATGTAGGCCAGGCGCAGCAGTTCATGCCTGTAATCCTAGCACTTTGTGAGGCTAAGGCGGGCGGATACCTTGAGCTTAGGAGTTTGAGACCAGCCTGTGCAAGACGGCAAAACCCAATCTCTACAAAAAATACAAAAATTAGCCAGGTGTGGTGGCGCACACCTGTAGTGGAGGACTGGTTGAGACCAGGAGGTGGAGGTTGCAGTGAGCCATGATTGTACCACAAAAATAAAAATAAAATACAATAAGATAAAATAAAAATAAAGGCATTTTATGTGCATTTAATACTAATGATAACCTTATGAAGTAGTACTCATTACACATATGAGCAAATAGGTTCAGAGAGATTAAATATTCTACCCAACTAATATATATGATACGTGGAGAAGGTGGAATTTAATTCTAAAGTCAGAGCTCTTTACATTCTAACATGCTGCTTTTTTTTTTTTTACAACTTTCATTTATAATTAGACAAATATAACATTTGAAACTATCAAAAAATGTCTTTTTAGTATACAGCATGACATGAAACCAAAAAACCACAAAGGAAAAGGCTGCATGCAAAAATCAAACCACAAATTAATAAGATACAAATATACAAAATAATATACCAACATAGTTTTTCAAAGATGCTCAATATCACTAGATCAAAGAGATGTAATAAAAACAGTAAGATATCACTGGCTGGACGCGGTGGCTCAGCCTGTAATCCCAGCACTTTGGGAGGCCGAGGCAGGCGGATCACGAGGTCAGGAGATCGAGACCATCCTGGCTAACATGGTGAAACCCTGTCTCTACTAAAAATACAAAAAGAATTAGCCAGGCGTGGTGGCGGGTTCCTGTAGTCCCAGCTACTCGGGAGGCTGAGGCAGGGGAATGGTGTGAACCCGGGAGGCAGAGCTTGCAGTGAGCTGAGATCGTGCCACTGCACTCCAGCCTGGGCAACTGAGCAAGACTCCATCTCAAAACAAAACAAAACAAAACAAAACAAAACAAAAAAAGATATCACTGATTGACTTCAAAATTGGCAATGATCAAGAATATCGATAATACCCTAGTATTATCGATTTTCTAGTATTCATAAGAATACTAGAAAAGAGGAAAGCAGTCTTAATGCCTCAGGTGAGTGTAATTTGGTTAAAACTTTTACACTAGGGCCAGGCGCAGTGTCTCACACCTGTAATCTCAGCACTTTGGGAGGCTGCAGTGGGAGGATCATTTGAGCCCAGGGGTTCAAGACTGGCCTGAGCAACATGGCAAGATCCCGCCTCTACAAAAAATTTTTAAAAATTAGCTGGGTGTGGTGGGGCATGCCTATAGTCCCAGCTACTTGGGGGGCTGAGGGGGGAGGATCACTTGAACCTGGGAGGTTGAGGCTGCAGTGAGCAGTGATCGCACCACTGCACTCCAGCCTGGGTGACAGAGCAAGACCCTGTCTCAAAAAAAAAAAAAAAAAGAAAAAAAAAAAAACCCAAAAAATCCAAAACAACTAATTGGTAATATTTATGCCAAGTTATTATTTTATACTTTCATCTAGTTAGTCTTTGTACATACAGGAATTCAGATGCAAATAATATGCCTGTAATGCCTTTTTACATACAGGAATTTAGAAACAAATAATATACCTTTTTTTTTTGAGACAGAGTCTCACTCTGTTGCCCAGGCTGGAGTGCAGTGGTGCAACCTTGGCTGACTGCAACCTCTGCCTCCCAGGTTCAAGCGATTCTCGTGCCTCATCCTCCCAAGTAGTTGGGCCTATAGGCCTGCGCCACCATTAGGCTAGAGACGGGTTTCTCCATGTTAATCAGGCTGGTCTTGAACTTCTGGCCTGAAGTGATCCACCCATCTCATTCTCCCAAAGTGCTGCGATTACAGGCTTAAGCCACTGCACCTAACCTCTGATATAACTTTTTTTTTTTTTGGGACAGAATCTCGCACTGTCACCCAGGCTGGAGTGCAGTGGTGTGATCTTGGCTCACTGCGACCTCCGCCTCCCAGGTTCAAGCGATTCTCCTGCCTCAGCCTCCCCAGTAGCTGGGATTACAGGCACCCACCACCATGCCCGGATAATTTTTTGTATTTTTAGTAAAGACTGGGTTTCACTATGTTGGCTAGGGTGGTCTCAAACTCCTGACCTCGTGATCCACCTGCCTTGGCCTTCCAAAGTGCTGGGATTACAGGCATGAGCCATCACGCCCCGCCTGACATAACTTTTTACAAGACAATTTTTTGGGAACAAAAATCTCAAGTTTAAAAAAAATTTTTTTAAATCATTTAACAAAGTAATTTTATAGTGGATTTGTAGAGGAACACATATTGTATTTCTATTATTATCTTTTTCATTTGCTTAGAAGCCATAGATTGTAATACATTTAAATTTAAAATGTAAAGGGTTGCCGAGCACAGTGGCTCACACCTGTAATCCCAGCACTTTGGGAGGCCGAGGCAGGCAGATCACTCGAGGTCAGGAGTTCGAGAGCAGCCTGGCCATCATGGTGAAACCCCATCTCTAATAAAAATACAAAAAAAAAAAAAATTAGCTGGGCGTGGTGGTGGGTGCCTGTAATCCCAGCTACTTAAGAGGCTGAGGCATGAGAATCGCTTGAATTCGGGATGTGGAGGTTGCAGTGAGAAGAGATCGTGCCACTGCACTCCAGCCTGAGAGACCAAGAGAGACTCTGTCTCAAAATAAATAAAATAAAATAAGATAAAATAAAATAAAATAAAAATGTAAGGAGGAGTAACCTGAACTCTACTTTCAAACAGTCATATGGCTTGTGTCATTTTGAACACAATCTATGTGAAAAAAAAACTTCTGCTATGATGTTTGTGCTGTTAAGCTCTGCCACTAGGAGGCAACACCATTCACAGACATGTTACACATAGGACAAGGTTTCTAACAATCTTTTTGCGGTGGGTGAAAAATTCCACGGTGGGAAATACAGTGATTTCAGATAATTAAGTAAATGTGTAAAGGAGTATATACAGCAATCTAATGTCTATCAGTTGAGATTGGGTTAAATAAATCATGGTATAGCCTAACAAAGGAATACTATGAAGCCACTGAAAAGGATAACGTATCAACACTCTGAGATGAAATGCTCAATAATTTACTGCTATCTGAAATAAACAAGTTATAAGACACATTCACATGTTCTGTTTATGTTAAGTTACATGGCAATTTTTGAATGCAGAGAATACTCTAGAAAACACTGACCAAAATGTAACAGCTCCAGAAATTAGGACTTGGGAGTTCAGCCTTCTTATTTTAATTAAAAAAATTTAAACTGTTCACTCAAACAGATTCTGACAGAAACTTCTTTTTAAAAATATTTTAGGCTGGGTGCAGTGGCTCACGCCTGTAGTCCCAGAACTTTGGGAGGCCGAGGTGGGTGGATCACTTAAGGCCAGGAGTTCGAGGCCAGCCTGACCAACATGGTAAAACCCCATCTCTACTAAAAATAGAAAAATTAGCCAGGTGTGGTGGCACAGGCCTGTAATCCCAGCTACTTGAGAGGCTGAGCAGGAGAATTGCTTGAACCTAGGAGGCGGAGGTTGTAGTGAGCAGAGATCACGCCACTGCACTCCAGCCTGGGTGACCAAGTGAGACTCTCTCTCAAAAATAAACAAACAAACAAATAAATAAATAAATTTTAATCTCCTTTCCATTTTACTTGAACTTTTCATAATCAAACCTGAATTCCTTTTGAAAATTGTTAAAAAAAAAAAGTACTAACCTTTTTCTGGTCTACTACATTTAGACACTCATGATAAAATCACAAAAATGCAAGGATTTTAATTACATTTTAACATTAAACTTACAAAATACTGGTTAGGAGTATAGCATTAAAATGAATTGACATAATTTCTAAAAACTACTTACAAGTTGGTAAAGCCTCCCACGATGAAAACGGACTTGGAATCAAAAAAGGAGAAATGAGACAGTGTCTTACACAGGGAAAGTGTTTAATGAATGATTAGTCTGGTTTTCAGAAAATAAATATGAAATGTATTAAAAAACTGCTTAAATGAAGGTATGCTTGTATGTCATAATTAGGGTTTGAATGGCTATAACAATGGGCCCACATCAACAAGAGGCAAATTAACATAGATAAATGCAAAGTCTTACTTGGAGGTTTAAGAAATGATATACACAATTAGAGAATAATGAAGCCCTGGCATAACAGTAAAGGAAATTTTTTGTTTGTTTTTTTGATATGGGGTCTTTCTCTGTTCCCCAGGCTGGAGTACAGTGGCATGATTAGTTTTGAACTATAATAAGTAGAAATTTGTAGGTTTCTTCAGATGGGCAAGAGTCTCACTGAAAACTGCTGGTAAGACAGACCTTATCTGGAGCATGTGTCCACGTATCTTTAGTGGAGGCAGTGAGGGAACACTTTAGGAGTGACATTGACAAGCTACTCCTTTACTTGGATCTTACCTTAACCGCAAGACCTTCAACTACTTTACACTTTAAAAAAGCAAACTTTCTCTCTCACCCCGGTACTCTCTGTATCTACCTTACCCTACGTTTTCTTCATAGCACTTATCATCTGACACAATACATTTACAAATGTGCGCGCGCGCGCGCGCGCACACACACACACACACACACACACACACTTATTGTTTGTCTCCTCTACATTAGCATGTGGGCTTCATGAGATCAGAGACACTGATTTTTTCATTGCTGTTCTCTCCAGTGCCTGGCACAGCTGGCACTCAAAATGCCAACTATATAAAACAATGAACGAAAGTCTGTACTGGAATATCTCTCCAGTTCTCACCAAATACGAGATTTCTTGAAATGCTATCATAAAACCCAGAGTAGAAACTCCATGTTTTTCCCACTTTTCACTTTATATATAATAGCTGTAGTTCTCTGACACCATTGATACTTTTTTCCTTTTTGTTATAGGATTTCTGGGGCCAATACTCACATATTATAAAGGACTCTTTTATACTACGATTCCTTTTTCCTGAATGTATATTTTTCACACATTTAGGATTTTATTAAAGTGGAACACTCAGTAACCTGAGAATAATTTTTTTTTTTTTAAACAGATGTGGTCTTGCTATGTTGCCCAGGCTGATCTCAAACTCCTGGTCTCAAGTAATCCTCCTGCCTTGGTATCCCAAAGTGCTAGAATTACAGGCATGAGCCACTGCGAAGAATAACTTGTCATTCATAATCGTTCTCGTCTTTGAAAGAAGCATAATTCCAATCTAACTGAGTAGTTACTATAGTACTTGTTGATACAGAAGCTTTTATACTGGAAAAAGCCCCATCCATGCCCTCCCATATAAATGTCTTTTTTTTTTTTGAGACAGAGTCTCACTCTGTCCCCCAGGCTGCAGTACAATGGAGCAATCTTGGCTCACTGTAAACTCCACCTCCTGGGTTCAAGCAATTCTCCAGCCTCAGCCTCCTGAGTAGCTGGGATTACAAGTGCCCACCACCACACCTGGCTAATTTTTGTATTTTTAGTAGAGACAGGGTTTCACCATGTTGGCTAGGCTGATCTCCAGCTCCTGACCTCATGATCCACCTGCCTCGGCCTCCCAAAGTGCTGGGATTGCAGGCATGAGCCACCACTCCTGGCTGATACAAATGTCAAGAGTAAGAAACTTCTACATTTATCTGCATGAAGGTCCGAAGTATCTAGAGTAACACCAGAACTCCATACATAAGCATCAATGATACCACTGATATTTAAAAAGTTACCAATTGAGTTAACTTTCTGGAATTATCATATCTTAAATTTAAGATAATTATTTAAGTGGATTTAAGCGTTAAATATGAATGGGGAAAAGAAACACTTGGTTGGATTTGCATCCAAAAAAAAAACCATATATACGAATGGGGAAATATTAGCATACAATTAAAATTCTGAAAATGTATATAGGTACCACCATAAACATGAAAAAAGGTTAAAAAGAAATTTAGGTATGTAAGCATTAGAAGATCCCTTCTAAAACTAACTATAATAGTGATTTATCACTGTGGTGAAGGGTTCAGGCACAACTAACACTGACTGTCCTGTACAACTATCTACATTATCCCTTTCTTCATAATCTCTTTATATTGACTCTTTTTGCTACATTCTAAGCCACTGACATCATGGATGTGCTACATTAATTTTTTCTGCAGTAATGTGCAAATAAAATTATGTTTAAAAGCTTTTGACTTAGAAATATAGTAGGAGGCAACTATAACCCTCTAAACATTCCTCTTACCCGAAACAGCCACTTTAACACAGGGACAGGACACTGGACATAGTGATAAGCAGACGTAAGGAAACCTTGTGTTGTCAAAAAAATCTGATCTGTTTTTCCCGATCTGAAAAAATAAAGTAAAATCAACATGGCTATTAACTTCATGGCAAAATACTTCTACTATCACCACCAACACATCTGACATAATCAGAGAAATGAGCAAGCAAACTGTCTTCAGTCCATAGAGGTGGACTCTATACCAATATGGATGAGTTACTCATAAAATAAATTTAATTGATGGCCTAAAGCTGATCCAATCTGTTGGCTAGGCTCCACATTTAACTGGCAGACAAAGCTACATTTGCTGGTAGTGTTGAGAAAGAGCCTATCAAGTCTCAGACTGGGGAAGTACTTTAAAAAATTGGCAGCAGAACTGATGTGATCTCTCTAGAGCTGAGATATCATGCACTGAGAGAAATTAGATCAGTTTGGGCACTGTGGTGGAGATTACTAGTTGCACATCCCAGCATCTATTTTTGCCTTTCTTCTTGGTAACTGAACCCTGATCTGTAGCTGCAAACACTGGCTGCCTGAAATAAACATCACTCTCTGGCTTCCCTTGTGGCCAAGTGTGGTCATATTGACTAAGTTTTCTATTCAACTAACTTAGTGTGTGGGAATGCTGTGTGGAATTTCTGGGAATTTGAACTAAAGGCTGGAGCTAGAACAGCACCCGAAGCTAGGTGCTAAGAATGGTGGAGAAGAAAGATTATATGGTAAAACTGGCACTCCAGCCCTGGACTTCCTGCTTTTATACTTCTTTCAAATATACTTCTTGTTTAAACCACTATTATTTTGACAATCACTGTTATTATACACTGATCTTAATCATAATTAATAAAGGCATGAGATGTGTCAAACAACTATCCTACACTGCTTCCTATAATTAAAGAAGAAAACATAAAGATCAATAGTAATAAGAGGATTAGGAAACTTAATAGGTCATAATAGAAATTAACCTTTTAGAAGATTACGTGAGTCAGAAGTGTTTTAGAGTAATTTTTTATACATATAAAAGTAAAATGTCTATTTTTCTACTTACTTAAGAATAAGTTTTTCTACAGCACTTTGTCCAATAAAACCAGAGTCTCTTAAATCCAAGGTATACTGATTGAAAATTTTTCCAGAATTGAGGAAATTAAATATTTCTTCACCTGGATGATGATCAGGAATAGCATCAATTGTAACTGAAAATTTCTTTAGAAATTCCCTGAAACATAAAAAAAGTCAATCAATACCAAATTGTTACACTACATATAGTTTTGTATTTAAAAGCTGGGTGCAAAGAAAACCATTTTTTAAGCCAATGTTAATCCCAAATTAGAAGACTAGCATGAGAAAAGTATGCTTTGCTTCTTCCACTTTTTGTAGTTGTTAGTCAAAAGCCACTAAATGTGTCTATGTGAAAAGAAACAATAACCAGGAGAAAAGATAAAAGATGAAACCTGGCCCTAACATTTGCCTTTCAAACCCATTACAGACAGAAACCTATCATAAATTATTCACTAACAGCCATCAATGGCCCATTTATTTTACAAAAACAAAACTAAAAAATGTAAAAACTTTAATAAGGTAAAATACATTATGAAAAATGCTATACTTGTGCTCTTCTAAGAGGCCATCCTCATCATCTGTACTGTCTTCTTCTCCAATTCTGATTGGGGATTTAATGCCTCGGCCTTGCCTTATGTCTTCTTGTAGTTGCTTCTGCAGTTCATCTAGCCTGAGAATTGGAAAGAATGTTATAACAGTTTACTCTAAAAATATTTTTAAAAAGTCTTTAGTTTATATCTAAAAGCAGCACAAAGAAAACCCTTATTAAGTACCCTGGTATATAACAAATTTTGTTATACTATCGGTCAAATTATGTCTCCCAAATACATCACGACGTACAATTTTCATGAAAACAGATATATTTCAGGTGCTAGGCTTTTACCCAGTTACCAGTGTGGCATTAGAATAGTGTTCCACTGCATAAAAGACTTGAGGATTTCCATAAAGCTAGAACTTCAAGAATGATCTGTCCAAACCACTCACAGAATGGGAAAGGAAAAATGGCAAAGAATAAACATCACTAATTTGATTATCCTCTCTACTCTTTAAAGTTCACTGGGTTCTAGATGCCCAACAACCTGATAAGTTAACTAGGCTTTCTAGCAGCAGTAGTTGTCACTGTCATCATCATCACAACACCTAACATTTACCGAGCACTTAATATGTGACAGGCACTGCACTAAGGGCTTTATATATTAACTCTTTTAACCCTTACAACAACTCCATGTAGTAGTTTATAACGCATTTTATAGATAAGAAAACCAACATTAGAAAAGCAAAGTAACTTGCAAGAGCTTGTAATGCAAGGATGTGGGATTCATAGCGAGAGAGTCTAGCTCTAGAGTCCTTGCTTATACTGCCTCTCCAAGATTAAGTTATTTTAAACAAGGTCCTTACCCCAGCCACAAACAGTGGATAAGTACAGCTGAGGAGTAAATAACTAGTAAATGTACTGTTCTATCATTATAGAAAAGGGTCAATCATTCAATTAAACTAGTACTACTGTCTTTCATTTGTGAAGTGCTCAATTTTAAAGGAGGAACTTCAGATTTCATATCACAGATCACAAGAATTCATGAAATATTTAAAGAATTTTAAATACAGACAAGTTCTCTAATTAAATTCAGAAAGGGGGAAGCTTTTGAACTACTAATCATCTGAAAAATTCCTAAAGTTAGCTACTTGGTTATCAAGTTTGAGATATGTAGCACATACCAACTTCCATGTAATCAAGTCAGCTGAGCTGTTAGTGAAGTTCTCCAGGCTAGGTTCAAGGACACTCCTTGAATTAACAAGGAATATATTTTTCCCCTCTTATTAGCAAAACCTGTCCATAATTAGTCACATAAATTTCATTAAGATCATTATGATCCTCAACTTTTCTCTCTCTCTCTCTCTCTCTCTCTGTCTCTCTCTCGTGTGTGTGTGTGTGTGTGTGTGGGGGGGGGGGGGGGTGTTCATCATAATTCTAAACTTTTTCCTCAAAAGAGTAACTTGATAGAAATATTTCAGAAAATTCTACCTGTGTGAACCGCCCCACCCACCAAACAAGCCAATTAAAAACAGGCAAAGAATCTGAAAAGACATTTCTCCATTTGTATAACAAATGGCCAATAAGCACATGAAAATATGTTAACATCATTAGTCATTAGGGAAGGCAAACCAAACAATAAGGAGATACCACTTTACTGTTAGGATGGCTATTATCAAAACAAACAAAAAACAAAGATAAAATAATGTGTTGGCAAAGATGTGGAGAAACTGGAACCCTTATTAATTGTTGGTGCAAATGTGCAATGGTGCAGCCATTGTGGAAAACAGTGTGGCGGTTCCTCAAAAAATTAAACGGAATTACCATATAATCCAGTAAGTCCACTTACGTGTATATGCCCAACAGAATCTAAAGGAGAGACTTGAAGAGATATTTGTATACCCATGTTCATAGCAGCATTATTCACAGTAGCCAAAAAGTGGAAGCAATCCAAAGGTCCACTGACAGATGACTAAAGAAAATGTGTTATATACATAATACAATGGAATAATCAGCTTTATAAAGAACGGAAATTCTGACACATGCTACTATATGAATGAACTCTGAAGACACTGCCCTGAATGAAATAAACAGTCGTAAAAGGACAAATATAATACCACTTACATGAGATAACTAAAACACAGTCAATTTCATAGAGACAAAGTAGAAGGGTAGTTGCTGAGGGTGGGAGGAAGAGGAAAATGGGGAGTTATTGTTTAAAGGGTATGGAGTTTCAGTTTGGAAAGATGAAAAAGTTCTGTAGCTAGATGGTGATAATGGTTGCACAACATATAAATTTACTTAATGCCACTGAACTGTACATGTAAAAATGGTTAAAATGGTAAATTTTATATGTATTTTCCATTAAAAAAACACAAAAAATTCTACCCATGCTTTCGATCTAGAATTTCAGCTATCAGATACTAGTTGTAATAAACAGAAAGGAATTTATATTATTAGTTAGTGCAGTATACTATAAAAACCTGGATCTTTTGATCCAGTCTATGAACAAGAGAACCCATCTTATTCCCTTTTTTTTTTTTTTGAGATGGAGTCTTGCTCTGTTGCCCAGGCTAGAGTGCAGTGGCGCAATCTCGGCTCACTGCCACCTCCGACTTCCGGGTTCACGCCATTCTCCTGCCTCAGCCTCCCCAGGAGCTGGGACTACAAGCGCCCGCCACGACACCCAGCTAATTTTTTTTTTTATTTTTTAGTAGAGATGGGGTTTCACCATGTTAGCCAGCATGGTCTCGATCTCCTGACCTCATGATCCACCTGCCTCGGCCTCCCAAAGTGCTGGGATTACAGGCGTGAGCCACTGCGCCTGGCCCCCCACTTTTTTTTTTTTTGAGACGGGGTCTTATTCTGTCACCCAGATTGGAGTGCAGTGGCTCAATCACAGCTCACTACAGCCTTGACCTCCTTGGGCTCAGGTGATCCTCCCAACCTCAGCCTGTTGAGTAGCTGGGACCATAGGTATGTGGCACCATGACTGGCTAATTTTTGTATTTTTTGTAGAGATGGGGTTTCACCATGTTGCCCAGGCTAGTCTCAAACTCCTGGGCTCAAGAGATTTGCCTGCTTTGGCCTCCTAAAGTACTGGATTACAGGCATGAGCCATCACACCTGGCCTCTTTTTTTCATTTGAGACTGGGTCTCACTCTGCCACCCAGGCTGCAGTGAAGTGGCGCCATCACGACTCACCGCAGCCTTGAACTCCTGGGCTCAAGTAATCTTGCCTGGGTCTCCCAAAGTGTTGTGATTACAGGCATGAGCCACTGCGTCCGGCCAACATATCTTATTCTAACACAGTTGACAACAGAGTCCAAAATGCACGCTAATTTCTCATGATTTTTTAAAAAAGGTAAATTAAAAGTAAGCCACACAAACAAGCAAAATGTTAAATTTAGCAAATTAATCTTTATGCTAACAAACCTTTGTGTGTCTTCCATTTCCTTCACTAGACGTTCTAAGGTATTTGTGTAAGTTCCAGGATGAACATGTCCCTAAAACAAGAACATTTAGAAATACTTTACCACATGTCTTAGTAGAAGAACTGGGATGTTTTAAGTAATTAAGGGTACGAAAGACTATTTTCTATTTCAATAATCTGGGCCAGGATAACACCTTTCTTAAAGGATAATTTTCACCATCATGCTTTAAATCTAGTATTTTGCACTGCAGACAATTTGATTTTACTACCTATTAGGAAAGGCAGTACTTATAAAACCCTGCTAACTTTGAGATGTGACTGCAAACACTCAAGGACTCTGTGGCTACCCTGTCTTTACTTTTAAATTCTATTTTAGTAGAATCAAACTACTAATTTTTAGGTGTTACCATGGAATATTAACACCTTCCCCACCAAATTTTACAGACATCTTAGAATTTAATTCAGCTTATTCCCAAGATAGAATGAAGCACTTTATAAATAAAATTGCACACCACAATCAACAACATTTCTACACTCTACCTTCATTTACAGATGTGGTCTCCAAAGCAGGGGGTGTGCAAGGTGATCCATTGGGGTGCAGGAAGAAAATAATAGAACTTCTATTTATATGGAACTTCTATAGAGACTCCAGTAGAACTTAGTCTATAGTAACTTCTACGTCACTTCTACAGGAAAATACTTATTTTTCTCTTCTTCTTCCTTTTAAATTCTGTTTTTGCATATGCTTTAGAAAGTACACAGTATTACAGTGGTACATATATATAATCTAAAGGTATACATATATGTTGGGGTACATGCTCAAAAATTGTTAAGTGTGTGTGATCAAAAGAGTTTGGAGACCACTGACTTACAGTAATAAAACTAAAGATATGGAAACTCATTTACCAAACAAGAATTATTCCATTTTCAGTACAAATATGAGTTATAATAAATACTAAATTTTAAAGTAAGTTCCGATAATCCACCCCTTTCACTAATTAATCATCTTTCCCTCTTCAAGTAAAGATAAACGTCACAGAACTACTTACTGTATAGTCTGATGACTGAGATCTAAGCCCCTTGGAAAGAGCAGGAGGCTTTCCTGTAGCTGCAGGAGTCTGATTGAAGTTCAAAGCCATTATTTCTTCCAGTGACTTTAATGTTTCCTCTTCCTCATCACTGTCTAGGTTGTAACCTAAACTTTCTTCATCACTATCAAAATCACCCCTTAGTTTTCTTTTCAGTGCACTGCTACCTGCATTGGAATTTCCTGAACTCTCTCCTTCTGAAGGGGCTTTATCTGAAGGTGCTGCAGGGCTTGGGATACATGGCACAACTTCCAAAGCAGCAGGGGGAGACTTTGTAGGAGTGCCATATTCTGAGCGCAAAGGTCCCCCAGAAATTTTCCCTGAAGATACATTAGAATCGGCCTTATTAGTCTTTGCTTTGTGTTCCTTGTGTTTGGTGGATTCTGTAGAATGCCCAGAACATTCTTTAGATGAGGAACGCTCTTTATCTTTTTTAGAAACTGGAAGAGCACAATTTTTAGCATTTAATGGTACTAGAGAGGAACCAGCACTTGGAACACGGGAAAGTAAAGGTAGTTTTGTCTCCTTCTCCTTTGTCGTGGAGCTAGCGGTTTTATTTTTCTGAAGGTTGCTAGCTTTTTTAATTGCAGACTTTTCCTGAGATAAAGGTAAGTGGGGTTTCTGCATCTTAGTCTCCTTGGTACCTGCCACTTGGATTTGGTCACTATTCCTGGTAGAATGGTGGCCAGAATTGCCAGAATTTGAAGGTGCCAAGCCTGCAGAAGAGCCATCAGTTTCATCACTCGGTTCCTTGGATATATCTTCTAAGCGCAACACATCACCAGGTGTCTTCAGTGCAATATGTTTTATAAATTTTTCTTTCTGATGTGGTCCATCAGGACGCTTCTCAAGGAAGGACTCTCTTGCTTTTGGTATCATAGATTCTCTTGTGCTTTTCAGATCTGAGTCCACAGAGTTCCTTTTTCTTTTTTCAGGGAATTTATTCTGCTTAGAGCCTGCTAAAATTTAATTTTTGTTAGATTAGTGAAAAATATACTTTCCAACTTTAGTAAAGTTTATTCAGTGTCTAGAACACCCTAATGAAAGGTTTAAAATTCTAAGTATTAAGGCTGAGATTAGTCACCATATATGGAATGCAGAAAAAGAGTTACTTATCAACTGGATAAATACTGGTGTCCAAGAAATTTAAAGCTAATGACAAATGCTCATTTTCATTCCAAAGCTATGAAAAGTTTACCACCTTAACAGAATTAAAGATGCCACTCCCTAAAACAAACAACTGCATATTTGTACCAAGTTAAGGATGCCATAGGTACTTCTGGAAATTCTTTTAGACCTAGGACTACCTGGTTGCAGAAATGTAACACTTCTACATTTAAATGTATAGTACCTTAAAACACGTATAGGATAAACACTTGAAGGCAGATAAATGTTAATTTCTCATTAAAAAAAAAAAAATCACGCTGTGTCCCAATGCAGTATGACTGGTGTACTTACAAAAGGTGTCTTTGTCTTTGGAGACAAAGACAGACATGCACAGAGGGAATACAAGGTGAAAATACACAAGGAAAAGATGCTATGTGACTGGAGTGATGCAGCTGTAAGTCAAGAAATGCCAAAGATTGCAGGCAAACACCAGAAGCTAGACGAGGTAAGGAAGTATTCTCCCCTAGAGTTGCCAGAGACATTACGGCCCTATTGATATCCTGATTTCAAACTTCTAGCTTCCAGAACTGTGAAACAATAATTCCTGTTGTTTTAAGCCACCCTGGTTTTGGCACTTTGTTATGGCAGCCCTAGGAAACTAATATAAGCTATATTTATTATAGCCCCATCCAGAAGTACTTTAATAACCACATACATTTGAATGAACCAGTTTTTAAAAATTCATATTGTGGGCTGAGTGCGGTGGGTCACACCTGTAATCCCAGCATTTTGGGAGGCCGGAGTGGGCAGATCACTTGAGGTCAGGAGTTTGAGACCAGCCTGGCCAACATGGTGAAACCCTGTCTCTACTGAAAATACAAAAATTAGCCAGGCATGGTGGTGCGTGCCTGTACTCCCAGCTACTTGGGAGGCCAAGACAGGAGAATCGCTTGAACCTGGGAGGTGGTGGTTGCACTGAGCCAAGACGGCACCACTGCACGCCAGTCTGGGCAACAGAGCAAGACTCCGTTTCAAAAAAAAAAAAAAAAATTCACTTTAACCTGGTGCAGTGGTGTGTGCCTATATAGTCCCAGCTACTCAGGAGGCTGAGGTGGGAAGATAACTTGAGCCCAGGAGTTCAAGACCAGCCTAGGTACCAAAGCAAGACTTCAACTCAAAAAAACAAAACAACAACAAAAAAAAACACAAAAAATTCACTATTTGTGCAATCAGTATTCCCCAAACCAGATTTCCCTAAATCAAATTTTCTGCACATGGACAGATGTCTCCATTCCCCAAGAGTTGCTTTAAAAACCTAAAATGGCTGGGCACAGTGGCTCATGCCTGTAATACCACAACTTTGGGAGGCCAAGGTGGGAGTTCGTGAGCTCAGGTGAAACCCTGCCTCTGCGAAAAGTACAACCCCGTCAATCCCTTCTCTAGTTAGAAAATTTCTTATCTTTTGGCCATGTCTAGTGGCTCATGCCTGTAATCCCAGCACTTTGGGAGGATCACTTGGGCTCAGGAGTTTGAGACCAGCCTAGGCAACATGGTGAAATAGTCTCTACAAAAAATACAAAAATTAGCCGGGTGCAGTGGCATGTGCCTGTAGTCCCACCTACTTGGAGGCTCAGGTGGGAGGACTGCTTGAGCCCCGTGAGGCTACAGTGAGCTGTAATTGTGCCATTGCACTCCAGCCTGGGCACCAGAGTAAGACCTTGAATCAAAATGAGTAAATAAAATAAAATAAACCCGCCAAAACCAAACTTGAGAGGCAATTATTATTTGGATAGCTTGATCAATATATAATCTGAAAAATTCAATTTATAAAAATTAAATTAACTAATTAACAAATGCCCTTATCTCTGCTCTTTTACAGATATCTCCCATTACCTGAGGAAATCATTCCATCCTATTCAGTTTTCTGGGGTTAAATGTCTTACAAAAAGGACAGGGGTAACAGGATGAGAAATTAAATGACTAAACAAAAGAGAAGATTTGGCTCATTATCTTACTTTTAAGTATGGGATTACAAAAAATGAGCTACAGAGCTGCCAGTTTGAGTTTTGTTCCATTTTTCTAGAGAAGTCAGATAATTTAAATATAGCTAGAAATGAGGAGAAATTCCTGCTTTGCTCAGGCATTATTCAGGGTTGATCCAGGAGGAGACAAACACTGTTTGTGGAAGATGTTTAGGATAAGTCAGCTTATTAAGGGGTTTCATCATCTAGAATTAGAGAAAAGTGAATTGGTACTGCAGGTAGGATCCCCTTTAGCAAGCTCTTCAGGTCAGGTGATTAATTGCAAAATGTTCATAATTCTTTTTGTATCCTTTGTCAGCCTGTAGAGAATATTTGTTTTACAGTTTTTCAAATATTTCAAATATACTAATACATAAAATATTCATATAAGAGAGAGATTGAGTTTGTAAAAAGAAAAAAAGGAGGCTGGGCATGGTGGCTCACGCCCGTAATCCCAGCACTTTGGGAGGCTGAGGCAGGAGGATTGCTTCAGCCCAGGAGTTCAGTGCTGCAAGTGAGCTACAATCTCACCACTGCACTCCAGCCTAGGAGACAGTGAGACTCCATCTCAAGAAAAAGGAAAAATCCAAAGGCCATTAATAGGTGATTGGTTATTAATCAGTTACGAAATGTACTAGCAATGGATTAAATTTCCCCTCACAATTCAGCCAAAAGACAGGGCTCTAGAAGACCAAAGGGCTAAATGCCTAGTCTAACATTACTTCTGAAATCCCTGAACTTGTATGTGATTAATGATTGCGTGATTATGTACATTACCATGACAATTGATTAAGTGTATTAACAAGATGAACAAGACATATCATTTGGATTTTTATTTTTATTTATTTATTTTTTTCGAGATTGAGTCCTGCTCTGACACCCAGGCTGGAGTGCAGTGGCACCATCTCAGCTCACTGCAACCTCCACCTTCCAGGTTCAAGCAATTTTCCTGCCTTGGCCTCCTGAGTAGCTGGGATTACAGGCTTGGGCACCATGCCCAGCTAATTTTTGTAATTTTAGTAGAGACGAGGTCTCACCATGTTGGCCAGGCTGGTCTCGAACTCCTGACCTCAGGTGATCCATCTGCCTTGGCCTCCCAAAGTGCTGGGATTACAGGCATGAACCACTGCGCCTGGCTTAGATTTTTAATAATTTTGCTATCAGACACAATAAGCATTCTTCATGCTATCTAGATTGAAATATCCCCTTGTCCTTTACATGTTGAAATTCTGTTGATGTTAGTCAATTGAAGTATAAATGTATATTTATTAAGAGTATAATGCTATAATTATTAGTGATTATGAAACACATGCAAAAATATTGGTAATAAAAATATAAGTGACGGCAACCATCATAAGTCAGCCTCTGAAAATATGTAGAAAGCATCTTTTCCAAGCAGTACTCAAAAACTTTGCTAGGTGGGATTATATAAATGAAACTACTTTAGCCACCATGAATGAAATTTGCAAATCCAGGAAATGAAAAGATTTTTTCAAATCTTAAGTCAGAGAAAAAAGAAAAGGAATAATGTGGTAGCCACACCACCAGCAGCAGCCCCTTATATAAAATAATATTTTGTTCTTCCATTAACTTTGGTGCAAGGTGATCATGTATTTAGTATTAAAAATGTGCAATACAGTGAGTGCAGAAGCAATCTCCTGGCTGAGAAATTCCTGTTCTTCTACAATAATGTCAAAATTCACTAAAATTTGGTCATAAAATCAGCAACATTATAAAAATTAAATAAACAAAAAACACACAAAACTTTAGATTTATTCCTGTATCCTAGAAGTTCCTTCTATAATGGTAAAATATGGTTTCAGCCTTGGCTGAAGATTGATTTTACCAGTTGAGAGTTCTTGGTCAAAATGCAATGCACCTCTAAAATATAAATAAAATGAAGTAGATGAAACCTGAAGGAGGAATTAGAACTGACTCTCTGTACTTTGGCTTTTCCATCTCTAAAAGTAAACCACTATCATATAAAGTTATGAGGTTCAAACGAATTAGAAGCACATAAAATGGCATAGCACACAGTAAGTACTCAATGAAAGCCAGCTATTATTATCGTGTCCAATGTATCTTACTGAATGTGGGAATTTGTTTTTCAAAATGTATAGTCACATCAGGAAAAAAATCGGATACACTAGACTATTAACTGTTGTTAGTTGTGGAGACCTTTCATTTCTTGTTGCAAACTTCTGCAGTGTTTGCCTTTTTAATCTTCTATTTTCTAGTTTTAAAAAAAGATAAAATGTACTGAATTAACAGATTTGTTATTTTATATTTTTTTCAATCAATAAATGCTAAAAGTACAAACTAATGTCATGTAGATATCCTTGAAATTTAATATTAAAAAGGGATCCTTGGATTTGAAATATTAGAGAACACTGCTTTTTATCATGGTAACAGTCTCAACCCTATACAAAGCATCTTCAACATAATACCAACAACTCAGTCTACAATTCCAAGATAATAAGATTATGTTTCCTGGGGGCCCGGTGCAGTGGCTCATGCCTGTAATCCCAGCACTTTGGGAGGCCGAGGTGGGCAGATCACGAGGTCAGGAGATCGAGACCATCCTGGCTAACGTGGTGAAACCCCGTCTCCACTAAAAATACAAAAAATTAGTCGGGCATGGTGGTGGGCGCCTGTAGTCCCAGATATTTGGGAGGCTGAGGCAGGAGAATGGTGTGAACCCGGGAGGCGGAGCTTGCAATGAGCCAAATTACACCACTGCACTCCAGCCTGGGCGACAGAGCGAGACTCTGTCTCAAAAAAAAAAAAAAAAAAAAAAAAAAAAAGATTATGTTTCCTGATGTAGCCAAGGATTCAGAAGGAAACACTGAATACCAGTATGAGAAACATACTGTTAGGAACTCCTGAAGAGGGCAGAGATTCAAGACAGATTACAAATTATATGCACTAGGTCAGGTGTGGTGGCTCATGAGCTCAGGAGTTTGAGACCAGCCTGGGCAACGTGGCGAAACCTCGTCTCTACAAAAATACAAGAAATTAACCAGGCATAGTTGCCCACATCTGTAGTCCCAGCTACTCAGGAAGCTGAGGTGGGAGAATCATTCGAGGCCAGGAGGTCAAGGCTTGCAGTTGAGTCGTGATCATGCCACTGCATCCCAGCCTGGGTGACAGAGTAAGACCCTGTCTCAAAAACAAACCCAAATTATAAGTACTAGATTCAGGGACTAGTCTTTTTTAATATGATCTTACCAAACTCTTAATTAATATGAGACACTTAATTCATCCCCAAGAAGGGAACTGCATATTTAAACAAATTTATTTTAAAAAGCAGTGCCATTAAAATGGAAATTTATTTAGAAATCCATAAATTTAATTTTGATTCTACCTGAAGTAGGTTCCCATGAATCAGAAGAGGATCTTTTTCTTGAGAGATGTCCATTTTCCTATGAGCACAATGAGATAAAATTAATTAAGTGTTGGGGACAGTAAAGAATGTGAAGGCATTCTTCCTAACATTTAAACACAGATTTCTAGATTGAATAAGGCAAGCACCCATATTTGGAGGTAAATCCTAATGTCTATAATAAAATATTTAAAGATCTTAAGGTTTTTGTCATAAAAATTAAGGGCATTTGTATCATAAACATGTAAAAATATCATAAAAATGAAGTCAGTTTTCAAAATGCTGATTTACGTTTATATCAATAATTCAAGAATATTATATTAGAACACTGTATTTTTGAGACAAGGTCTCGCTCTGTCACCCAGGCTGGAGTGCAATGGTGTGATCAAACTCACTGCAACCTTGATCTCCTGGGCTCAAGCGAGCCTCCCACCTTAGCCTCCTAAGTAGCTAGGAGAACAGGCACATGCCACCATGACTGGTTATTTATTTATTTATTTATTTGTAGTAGAGCCAAGGTCTCGATATGTGGCTCTGGCTGGTCTCAAACTCCTGAGCTCAAGCAATCCTTCCACCTAGGCCTCCCAAAGTACAGGAAGCAGGAGGATCGCTTGAGGCCAGGGGTTCAAGGCCAGCCTGGGCAGTATAGGGAGACCTGTCTCTACAAAAAAATACAAAAATTAGTCAAATATGGTGGCAGGTACCTGGAGTCTCGACTACTTGGGAAGCTGAGGTGAGAGCATCATTTGAGCCCAGGAGTTTGAGACTGCAATGAGACATGATCACGCCATAGCACTCCAGCATGAGCAACAGAGCAAGACTGTCTACACATAAATAAGTAAGACTATACTTGCCTTAAAAAAAAAGAATGCTTACTTTTCTGACTAAAAAAGATCTTTGTTCCCAGTCTGAAAAAACTAAGGATAAGAAACACTGCTTTACTGAGTTCGATGAAGGGCAACTGGAGGAAATGTAATGAAACCAGCTTCTACACAAACTGTGCATAAGTATTTCCTTCAGGAAAGACGTCAATGTGATGTAACAACTCTTAAATATTTTTAAATTTAGTATTCTAAATATGACATAGCAGTAGCAATGCTAATTCAATAATTCTTACACATACCACATTTGACAGATTATTTTTTCCAGGTATGATGTCATTCTGTTTCCTTTGTTCCTGCCTTGGTTTATATTTTCTTTCTATACTAGATTTTAAGGAAAGACTGCTTGCTTCTGAGAAAGAATTCTCGGAGTTGATTCTCTGCTCCATTTGCTCCTTTCTCAACCTCTTTAGTTCTCGTTCTCTGCAGTAAGAAGCTAGTGACAACTGGAATTTAGCTCCCAGTGGGCTTTCTTCCGGGTGGTGCCTGGACAGGCTGCTCCTGCTGCTAAGGCTTCTGGAGCTGTTATTGAAGATGTCAGCTTCTGCCACTGTGGTCTGCTTTTTGGAGTCTGCATTGGTTTTGCCTCGATCTCTATCATTCTTCTCATTATTTTCATGAATGAATAGTGACTTCCTTCTCTCTGGGGATCGATGTTTTTTCTTTAGTGACTTCATCTCCTTTGGCAAGTGATATGAAGAAGGAACATAGATATTTGTTCCTTTGGCTAAATATTTGGAGGCTAGTGACAGACAAGGCCGACGTGACTCATGTATACCATGATCTTCATGGTGCTCTTTAACACCTTTCATGAAAGCTTCTATAATAGGGCTCTTTTCTGGTGGCACCCTTTTGGGTTTAGATTCTTTTGGTGAGGATAGTTTCCTTTCAAACTGCTCTGTCCCAGTGATAGACAATCTACTTCCTCCATATTTGATGTTTGATTTTTGTGGTGAATCCAACATGTGTCTGTCTAAATAGCCAATTAAAACACATACAAATTGCATGTTAGTAAAATATTTAATATTTATCTAAATTATTAATGTTTAAAATATAAATTAAACTATACTAATGTTACCACAAAAATTTTCAAACCAACAACTTGGATAATGATACACACTTTATTGGGGGGTATAGGAGAAATTAAGAGATGATTTATTTGTTAAAAGCCTTAGTTTCATAAAGCTCTCTTTTGGTACATCATATAACCTCCCTATGGCTCTATAAATTACTGTATTAGAGAATCAAAATAGTATGTATTATGAACATTAAATTTTTTACTAGAATAATATTTTAAATGTAAGAAAACATAACAGCAAAAAGACTTTCATATTTAGAACTTCAGTTTATCCTTGTAAAACAAAATACTGCATCTTCATTTTATTTTCAATTTTGAACACTACGTTTACTAAAACAGTTTAGAGTAGGTTTTAAAGTTGAATCTGTCTCTCTCCTCACCCCCAAAATAGCCCACAAAAAATGCATCAACAGTGTACATACCTTGTTTTGAAGCTGGTTTGAAGAAATCTATAATTGACTGCTTCCTGAAAATAAAAGCATAATATGGCATCATATAAGCAAATATTAAAACCTTCATAACTCAGATTAAATGGAGAAAGATTTATAAAATAAAGGCTGGATTTCACTATTTGGTTTAATAAAGTTCTGACAATGGTAACAATGCTTTGCTAAACTGTTCATTAAAAAAACAGAAAATATAACGTATCACTTCCTATAGGAGTTCATTTATAAAAATACAACTGAGGTTTATATTATTTATAGTACTTAAATAGGTCAGACTGGTGTGTAGACCCAAGGAATTAGTACAGAGTGCTTCTTAAGACTGAAATGTTCACGGCTACATGGTAGAATGCAACATCTTGGGTATCAGCATATGAACCTACTTGTTCTCTGCAGACATTGATACAAAATAATTACTTGGTATCTAAGCACAGCTGCGTTTTAAAATTTAGAATAACAAGCTAAAAAAAAACTCAATAGATGTATGCCAAATGAATAATGGGGATTATAAAAATGGAGTAAAACTTGAACAGACTCTCATAACAAGAGTAGAACAGTAGATGGTAGAATGGCAATACAGGTGATTTGGCTGATCTAGGGAATCAGTTGAAGAGGAGTTTGCTGGACAAGGGCAGAAAAGAAAAATACCAAACTTATGCTACCCTCTTTATACATTAAGATGTTAATCTAAGTAACAGCAGAAATTAGAATGAGTTGTCACAACTAGTTTCAAATTCTTAATTTTTTATCAAAGAATCCTTAAGATAGTTACAAAAATAACACATTGCTTGGGAAAAACACAAGGAGAAAAGGAAGAAAGTTAACAAGAATAACAAAAACCAAATTAATTTTTAAGAATTTCTGTACCGTAAAGACTGGATTTCATTATCTGGCTTAACTAATCAAGTTCTGACATTGGCAATAATGCTAAAGTGAAATAGGAATCCATTACCAGAATTCGTATTCTGATTTGTTCACTGTAGAGTTGTCAGCTGCAAAAAAGGGGATGTTATGATATGCTGAACAAAAAATTAACTTTCTGGTAAATTTTGCTAAAATGTATCATTTTACTGAAAGAGAATAAGCTATAGACTATTGATTTCCCTAAACATTCATCCACTATGAGGTTGGAATGCTCAGTGAAAATTCCAACAATCCAAGTTTCTTGAAGGTTAAGCTTCTTGTACACTTTACTGGTCACATTAGAAGAGCAATGCACATCTTTACTGGTTTACCAAGTCCATCACGCTTGTTTGAGATGCTGGTATAAAAGCTAAGTGCTTATGAGATGAATATGAGTGACGGGCTATGGAAGAATATATGCATTTGTTTACATAAATTATACTAGGCAAATTAACTCCACCAGAGTAAATGTTGGAGGTTCTGCAAAGGGAAGAAGGATGATACCTTGTTATTGATCTTGTTATTGATTGAGGAGAGATGGGAAGGGACCCAGAAGCAGCTCATTTGTTGCACACAAGATAATTCTAAATGCATTTTACTAAATGTAACACTGTATCTCTTCCCTAAAATATTGGACCTCAGACTCCTTTTTGATTAATACACCAGAAAGAGAAAAAATGATTTTGGGTAAAACATACAAGAAACCTGTAAAATAACCATGAATGTAACTTTCAAGAGGTAGGTTCTCTAAGTTCATATGCACACAAAATGTCCACTGCTTATTTAACAACTGGCTTAAAAAAAAACACACACACACACACAATTATAACAGTTTCACAAACCCTTATCTGAACCTTCTGGGGCCAAATGTGTTTTAGAATTCTGAATTTATCAGATTTTAGGAAGGGGATAACTTGGATGTATTATGGAAAGTCCCCAGTGGGGTCTGGTGCTGCAACCTGTAATCAAATCCACTGACATTTCTCCAGCAAAACATGAATATTCACACTTAATGGGATAAAGACCACAAACAGCCTTACATTAGTTTTAGTCAGATCTGGCTGCCCAGTAAGATGTGGTGCCAAACTTACTGAAAACGTTTTGGTTTTCATAGCTTTCTGGCTTTCAGAGTTAAGATAAGGGATTGTGGGCCTGTACCACAGTATTAGTAACATGAATATTGTTAAAACTTAATACAATTTAACTTAAAATAAAAGACAGTACCAAGTTCGTAGGGAATTTAAACATGTTTTATTGTCAGAGGATGTCATTAGATGAAACTCCCCATCTCATTACATAGCTCCCACAAAATCTTTACAAAAAAATTAGCCTCTTGGAGAGGCGTGAAGTTACTGAAAGAGAAAACACGTCACATTCCAAATCTGCAAGTTCTTTTAAGTATGAACTAGCGTGCACGCTGGACTACAAAGTAATTCGTGGAAGGGATTCCCTCATCACAGGTTACATAATTTCACCCACAACATAGAAAAGGTTTATATTACTAAACCACTAGGATCAGTAGAACTGACAACGTACAGAAAACGATCTAAATATGCATTAAGCAGTTAGGGTCCCGGGTCAAACTCTTGCAAAGGAAAAAAATCACTTTCTTTCTACCTAAGGCGGGTTCTCCGTAGCTGTCCAGGCTGGTGGTCACTAGACCAAGAGCAGCTGCCCAACTACAGAGAAGCAAACTCCAACTCCCAGTAGCCCCTGCGCGGAGGCGGGGCGGGGATTTGCCAGGCCCCGAAATGCCAACGCCTGAGCTCGCGGAGGATGGCGGGAACTGGAAGAGCGGCGGTCTGCAGCCCTCCCCTCATACCCTTGCCCCCGCGACCCGGCCCCTTCTCAAGCCCTCTGCACGGTACCTGTCCCCAGGACTCTCTGTTCTCTTTCCCGCTGCAGCATGGGCGGTACTACCGGGTCTCAGATGGCAGCGCGGGGGCGACGACCCCGGGGCTGGGGATGAGGGGAAACCTGGCCTAGCGGGCATGCAGCGCCTTGTCATGTCGGCGCCGCTGGCGACGGCGGCATGAGCCGTGGCTGGAGAAGTTGGGTGCGTGGTTGCCGTCTTGCTGCTGGGACTCCGGGAGGCTGTCGGAGCAGAGGTGGGCGGCACCCCCTTCTCTCTTCATGGCGGTTCTCTCTTCGGAAGTGACTCCGGCGTGAGCGGGAAGGAACCTGGGGACCAGTAAGGGGCGGGTCTTACTTCATGAATCACGTCTTGATTGGCTGGCACGGTGGTCATTTCGGTGGTGGCGCAATAGGAAGCCGCAGCCTCTCTGGAGAAGGCGGGGCTTGGGGACGGGGGAGGAAGAAACCTCCCCCTCCCACCCCGTCACATGCACTGAGGGCGCGCGCCTCTGGTCCCGGCCGCCTCGGCCTTGGCCGGCGCGCGGGGGCGGAAAGGCGCGGGCAGCAGCTGGCGGACAGCTGACGACACCCGCCTGGTTGAAGGCGAGGGGTGAGGGTTTGCTGAAGCAAACCGGAGCCCGGCAGCTGCCTTCGTTGAGGATGGCCAACACTTGGGCTTCCTGTGTCACACAATTGTGCCTCAGAAATCCGCAGCTGTTCATTACATCGTCTCTTTAACAGCTTAGGCCAAAGTGCCATAATACTGTCACAATTTGCTGAGGGATCTGCACAGCGCGATCCGAAGACTTGTCCATTCTACGACGGTTCTTGTTGAGTGTCAGCGGTAGATTATTTTTTTGTCTTTAAGAAGAAGAAAAAACCCCCAAAAAACTCCATTGGAATAAAGACAGTTGTTAATCCACAAAAGCATTTTGTTTCTCATGAGTTACCATGAAGTCTCTGCAGCCGACTTCCTTGGAGATTTTTTAAAGGAACACAAGGTCAGCTTTCAGTTTTCCATGTTAAGCGTGGGCAGCATAGATAAGTAAAAGCTGCCTGCAATCTCCAACCCTCCTTTGTAAAGGGCTTGTGCTCTGGAGGCTGTTAGCCATGGTTTTCCTTATAAACCGAGAGACTGGTCAGTATCTCTGAACCTCAGCCTCCACATCTGTAAAACGGGCATTTTACTCACTTTTCTGGGTAATTGTAAACCATAAAAGGATAAAACAGTGTACACTGCACAGTTCAGATTCTCTCATGTAACAGGTACAGAGCAAATTATAGTTCCCTTTCTTCCCCAGATAGATTCCTACAGCGAATTTTACTTCTTTACAAAATCTTCCAGAGACAGGTCAAATACTGTTGCAATAACTGTTAACAACCAAAATATCAATTTCAAGATGTCCAAGCTTTAATTGACAGAGTTATTTAATCAGTTGGATGGAAAAAAATCTTAAATGATATAAAATAATTTGGACGGGTCTTTCAAGTTTATTGTATAGAAATTGAACTATTGGCCTGATACAGTTGCTCACATCTATAATCCCAGCAGTTTGGGAGGCCAAGGCAGGTGGATAGCTTGAGCCCGGGAGTTGGAGACTAGCCTGGGCAACATAGCAAGACCCTGTCTCAAAAATAAATTAATTAATTAAAATTTAGAAAAAACGAAATTGAACTGTTCTGGTCACTAAGCATGCCTGACTGACTCCAAGTTCACCTCCTTTTCCCTTCCCCTTTAGTCCCCGGGAGGAAGAATTAATAAGGAATAAAGTGGACAAAAAGCTGGCAAAGTAGAGGGTCGAAGGTAAACAGTGAATATACAGGTTTCACATTCACCCCAAAAGCACATATGTACAGCTGTATACTAGCTAATGGTGGCGGAAGAAGGGAAGTGCCAAAATAGAGGGTACTTTTCTGCTCCTAATAGCGGAGAATTTACTATACGTAACATTGTTTTTTACATAAAAAAACATGATACTCAAAATGTGTTGAATGACTTACACATTTGCATTTTACATGTATTATTTCCTATCTCTTAGTGCTTTCTGTTGGATGTTTTTACACTAGGAAGTTTCTGTACTATAACAGAGCACATCTACGAAACATTTAATCCGATTCATTTCCTTGCATGCCTAATCGATAAAGAGTAATGCATAAAAACACGTTCTGCATGATCATTTAGTTGCTTTTCTTGGATTATAGTACTTGAATCATCCAGCCTCCAAAGTATCACTTTAAAGCCTGTACTCAAACTACCAAACAATAGTTTTCTCATTTTCTTAATCTGAGTAACAGATTATGGAGTTAAGTGAGGCAAGAAATCCCTCGATCAATAAATGGAGATGGAGTCATAATGAAAACACAATTTTAAAAATATCTTCTTAACGGGAAGTAGTTATCTAAATCCTCAATAAGCATCAAGACTCTTCTTTGTTTAAGCTGTGTACGAAAGTGGTACAGATTTGGGTTGCAGGGTGAAATATGTTCAACATATTAATAAGAACCCCAGGGGAACTTCTAGGGCCTAGGGCTCTTCTCCACCTCCCACCCCCAAATAGTACTGGACAGTCTATTTTGTGTTTATATCCTTTCTCCTAGTTTAAATGTGTACGTATATACCATGCATGCGTGTGCACGCACACATGTTTATTGTAAGGGTTTTTTACACTTCAATTTGTAGTGGGCTAAAAGGAGATGACCAGGAAACTACACTAGGTAAAAGATTTAAGGAGTTCAGATGCGTGCTTAGGAGGAGCTAATAGGGGAGAGAAAACTAGGATGGCAGGGGGGTTACTGGGGGGAAAGGACATTGAACAATGTAACCAAACCCAGTTAGAGACTTAAGACAAAACTTAGCTGGGATTTGGAAGAAAAGAGAAATTAAGGCTGGATGACCATAAAAGGCTAGTTTGGGAAGATTTCTGGGCATGGGGATGGGATGAGGATGCAAAGATTGAAGAAATGGAGTGGCTTCTTTGCACAAAGCTTCTGTGGGGGTGCAGCTCAGCTCAGTTTAGCACCCTGCCTTGTTAAAGACAACAGGAGGAGGGGGCTCTGGCCTTGATGAGAAGGAATGGGACAGCAGCAGAAACAATGTTACATGAACAACAGATCAAGTTTGCTGGGAAAATCAAGCCCAACGTGGGAGTTCCTGAGAGGAGTGACAGTATAACTCATGCCAGAGATCTTAAGCAGTCACACAGAGAGAAAACAGCTTGGGCAGATTGGTTCACACAGTACCTTAAGCAGGCAGGGACTGAGAACAAAAGGTCAGTAAGTGACAGAGAATGTTACCAAAAAGCAAAGAACTCTAAAAGTAATTTCTGATTGTACCCAGTAATAAATTTTTGCTCTGAAATTGCCACACATTTAATTAACTCCAAGGCTCTTGTTGGAAGGTGTTCTAGGGCAGGCCAAGAGACAAAGACTGATTTTCTGTAGAACTGCTGGGGGGAGGTGAAGGTGAGGGTAGAGGGTGGCCTGGGAAGGGGGATAAGGAACAGACTCAGAAAAACAGGAAATAATTAACTTGAAAGCCTGACAGAGAAAGACAGACCACGTGATGATCTCAAGAAGGGATGGCAAGCTCACAGCATCTCAAGATCCACACAAATCACTGTGCAAAAGGATGCCAAACTCGAAACTGCCCAAGTGCTTGGAAAAAGGACCTCCCAGGTTTAAGCGGCTGCTGGGGAAAAGCCAAATGTAAACTAATATCATGTCATGTAACCTAACGTTCTGGGAGTAATTAGTAGAGCTGCGCAAAAGCAGATCTAATGTGAAGGAACGTCCATTTCTTGTTCTATCATGATAGAATGGTGCCAGATAGTTTCCCACACTTCAGATACATGAGACACGTATTTGTGATTTTCAACATGTCTGAATATTTCCTATGCTGTTTATTAATGTTTTTCCTTAAATTGCTTTTTAAATTTAAGTACATTTATTTTAGGAGAAAACTTTAAATCATTCCCGTAAGTGGAAAATCAGTATCAATTTCCTAAAATGGAAGATAACTAAAAACTAATACTAGTAAAAATATATAACTAGTTTAAAAATATAAATATATCCAAGTTTCTTCTAGAGTTATCTTGTTTACCAGTGGTGGTGGTAGGCATTGATAGGCGTAGATATTACTCGTACATCTGAAATATAAGAAACTCTTGGGGAAATATTGATTTTAGGGATTCTATCCCATATTTAGGTGTTTTTCACACCCGGTTAGCAGCTCCTTAGAGGATTTTGAAATTGATGTAATGGGTTACAGACCATGTTTTTAAAAAAGAAAAAGACAATGGAATAGAGAATGTCTGTTCACTGCACACAACATATGGGCATGTGTTGTTTTGCAACTTTTTACTTCTTCAATTGTATATATATTTTATATGGTAGTGATGTAAAAGGTATTCCTGTGGCCCCTGCTTTGGGCCATGGTCGAAATATTTAAAAGTCATTGCTGTAATCTGTGTTCATATTTCATACTTGTGTGTATTGGTGGCACTGAACAGCCAAGGCTGGAGTGCAGTGGTGCAATCATGGCTCATTATAGTCTCAACCTCCCGGGCTCTGGTGATTCTCCCACCTTAGCCTCTCGAGTAGCTGGGACTACAGGCACATGCCGCCATGTCTGGCTAATTTTAAAAATTTTGTAGAGACGGGGTCTTGCTATATTGCCCAGGCTGATCTTGAATTCCTGGGCTCAAGCCATCCTCCATCCTCGCCTTCCCAAAGTGCTGGGATTACAGGCATGAGCTGCTGCACCCGGCCAAGAGTTGTTTAAAGACACGGAGCAACATTTAAAAACCAAAAGATTTCACACAAAATTCTAGATTTCTGGCTTCAAGTGGTACAAAGAGTGGTCTCGCACTTATGCTTACAGGGGCTAGGTAGGTAACTGAAGTGAGTGAATCAGGTCGATTTTCCTAACTTTTATAAAGCCTTGGGATTAAAGAAATATTTCTTAACAACAGCAATGACAATGGCCAACGCTTACTGAACCTTATTATGGGCCAGAGACTGTTCTAAGCACTTCATGAGTACTGACTCATTTAATCTTCACCACATTCCTACAAATTAGAAAATGATGATCATTGTCTAGTGTCTGCATGGGCATGATAATAAGAGGCACCTACTACTGAGCCTCAGTGAGGAGAGGGGCGGTACTGTAGAACTAGAGAACACATTCCCCACTAAATGGGGGCAGCCTCTCCAGGCTATAGCTTCCATATGGGAATGCAAGCCCCGGGTTGCCTCCTCTCCTCTCAGTGTCAGCCCCTGGGGAGTAGTGGGTGAGACATGACAGACCTGCAGTCAAAGCATGCAGCCTCTAGTGTCTTGACATATACCCTAACATTTGTTTATTTCTATAGCACTATGAGATCATGTTCTCTTAAAGCAAATGTCTCTTGGGGCCAAAGAGGAGAAAATAGTGAATGCTTTTGGTTCCCAGTGCAGTATTACAGAGAGCAGGTAAGAATGTCACTCAGGGCTTCATACTTAAAGAAATTGCTGTACTTTACCTATGAATAATACCTATGGGAATTTAAAAGGACCAATGGCCGATATCTATCAAAAATATCAAATGAACATGTCCTTTGACCCAGCAATTCCCCTTCTAATATATTTTAGATATGTACTTCTATGTTCACAAAGATGGATGTGTAAAAGTACTGATTGCAGCATTATCAGTAGCAAAAGACTGAAAGGGAACTAAATAGTCCAGCAACAGGGGACTGGTTGAATATATGCTCATGCACACAGTAGAATATTAGGCTGCAGTTAGGAAGTCTGAGTTAGAAAGTCTAAGTTAGATACACAGGACGTTTTGTGGTTAAATGTGCAAGGCCTGGGGCTTTACTTCCTGGGTTCAAATTCCAGCCCTGCCACTCAGTAGATCTATGACCTTGAGCAAGTTACCCAACCTCTCTGTGCTACTGTGCTCATATGTAATGGAGAATGATGCTACAGGTAGTATCTGCCTCATAAGTTTTTGTGAATTTTAAGTGAGCTAATACACAGCTAATTGATCACAACCAGTTACAGATTTCTTTGTTCCTTCTCCACTCCCACTACTTCACTTGAGTAACCTTAAATTTTTTTTTTTTTTTTTTTGAGACGGAGTCTTGCCCCGTCGCCCATGCTGGAGTGTAGTGGTGCCATCTCAGCTCACTGCAGCCTCCGTCTCCCAGGTTCAAGCAATTCTCCTGCCTCAGCCTCCCAAGTAGCTGGGATTACAGGCACGTGCCAGCACACCTGGCTAATTTTTTAATTTTTAGTAGAGATGGGGTTTCGCTGTGTTGGCCTGGCAGGTCTCAAACTCCTGACCTCAAGTGACCCACCTGCCTCAGCCTCTCAAAGTGCTGGGATTACAGGAGTGAGCCACTGCGCCTGGCCTAAAAAAATTTTTTTTTAAAAAATGAGTTAGTATACAAGTAGAACAGTGCCTAGCATGTAATAAATATAAGGTTAAGCAATTGTTACTTGTAATATAAGCTGGTGTGGAATAATCTCTAAGATATATTAAGTGAAAAAATTAAGTTGCAGGCCGGGCGTGGTGGCTCACACCTATAATCCAGCACTTTGGGAGGCTGAGGTAGGTGGATCACTTGAGGCCAGGAGTTCGAGACCAGCCTGGCCAACATGGTAAAACCCTGTCTCTATTAAAAATACAAAAATTAGCCAGGCGTGGTGACACACCCCTGTAATCCCAGCTGCTCCAGAGGCTGAGGCATGAGAATCACTTGAACCCAGGAGGCAGAGGTTGCAGTGAGCCAAGATCGTGCCACTGCACTCCAGCCTGGGTGAGAGTGAGATTCCATCTCAAAACAAAACAAAACAAAAAACAAAACAAAAAAATTAAGTTGCAGAACAGTGTATGTTACTATTATACATAAGTTATTTTTCATATAAATAAAAGCAGTTATTTGCATGTATGTGCCAAGACTATCTCTGGAAGGATGCTGTGCTTCCTAAGTGATTTTCTTTTCTTTTTCTTTATTTCTTTTTTTTTTTGAGACAGGGTCACACTTTGTTGCCCAGGCTGGTGTGCAGTGGTGTGGTCACTGCAGCCTCCCAGGCTCCCACCTTAGCCTCCTCAGTAGCTGGGACTACAGGCATGCGCCACTATGCCCAGCAAATTTTTGGTATTTTTTGTAGAGACAAGGTTTCACCATGTTGCCCAGGCTGGTCTCAAACTCGCGGGCTCAAGCCGTTGGGCCACCTCGGCCTCCCAAAGTGCTGGGATTACAGGCATGAGGCACCATGCCTGACGCTAAGTGATTTTCTTTTCTTTTTTTTTCTTGAGATAGGGTCTCCCTCTGTTGCCCAGGCTGGAGTGCAGTGGCACGATCTCGGCTCACTGCAACCTCCGCCTCTTGAGTTCAAGCAATTCTCATCTCTTAGTCTCCTGAGTAGCTGGGACTATGGGTGCGTGCCACCACAGCTGGCTTATTTTTGTATTTTTTGTAGCGACAGAGTTTTGCCATGTTGGCCAGGTTGGTCTCGAACTCCAGACCTCAAGTGATTTGCCTGCCATGGCCTCCCAAAGTGCTAGGATTACAGGTGTGAGCCTCCATGCCCGGCCCTTAAGTGATTTTCTAACTGCAGCCTAGTATTCTACTGTGAATGAGCATTTATTTAACTAGTTCCTGATTGCTGGACTAGTTCCCTTTCAGTCTTTTGTTACTGATAATGCTGCAGTGAATACCTTTATACATCCATCTTTGTGAACATGGAAGTATGTATCTAAGATACATTAAAAGGGAAATTGTCAGGTCAAAGGACATGTGCATTTTATATTTTTGATAGATATAGACCATTGGCTCTTTTAAATGTCCAGCTTGCTCATAGGTAAAGAAGCTCATGACAGTGGTTGCCTCTAGAGAGAGAGGTTTTCCCTTATTTGTAAAATTTACATTTTATCAACTGCATATATAATTTTTCCAAGGAAATATGTGAATATATATCCATGCTTTTTAATGTCTATGTATCTCATTTTAAAAAAAAAAAAGGACCAGTGGTTTTAGATGAAAAGTTATGCAAAGTGCTATGTTAAATGCTTTCAGAGAAGGCCTTGCCAGATGGCCTCTGGTATCTCTGCTAGCCTCTGCTCACGTCTCTGTCTCCCTTTCTCAGGACCTCACCACTGAGAAATCCCCACTCTTACTTTCTCCTTGTGGGCAGTGTGGGAGCCAGCCTGATAGGGGATTTGGTAGCAGAAACATCTGTTGCTGGGTTCTCAAACTCAATGTGTTTGAAACATAACTCTATCTTCCCTCCCCAAACCCCGAATTTGATGCTGTCCCCTCCATTATTCTCATCTCAGTGAATGATTTTATCCTCTCCCCTGACCTGTCACCCAAGCCAGAAATGTGGGAGTCCTACTAATTCCTCCCTCTGTCAGCTTCAGACCCTACCTGTTATCATCACCAAGTCTCATTGATTTTCACACTAAATAGCACTTGTTTCCTTTCTTCTCTCCTACACACACACACTCCTATATGATTCTTTTTAGAAATGTAAAAGGTATAGACAAACACCAATAATAGTATTACAAACCCATATGCACCACTCTGGACTCACAACTGTTAACATTTTATCCAGTTTCTTCTTTGCTGGTCTTTTTGTTTTTATAGTAAAACATTACAGGTCCTTTTTCCACTATCACCCCCAGGTTAATTCTCCTCTCCACCACTATTGTGATTTTAAAGTCCACTAAACATTTTAATATACATATATATTTAATCATACAGAATATATAGGATTATTTTGTATATGTTTAAAAAATATGCATACATGTACATTTTATTTATGTATGCCAGTTAATATGTCACATTTTATTTGTCTGTTACAAACAATGCTGTCATGGACATCTCTGTACATGTTTCTTTGTGTCCATGTGCAAGAATTTCTATGGGTTATATAATCAGAAGGGAAATTACTGGGTCATAGGGTATTTGTATTATCAAGTTTATTGTATACTGCACAATTGCTTTCCATAAATGGCTGAATTAATGTACAATCCCACTAGCAATGTATGAGAGCACTGTTTTCCTTATGTTCGCTCCAATATTTGAAATCATCATCCTTTTTTGTTTTTGCTAACCTGAAGGGTGAAAGTGGTTTCTCATTGTTTTATTTTGCATTCCCTTAATTATTAGCTTGAATATCTCTTTCGACATCTTTGGGGAGCCCATTTAGATTCTTCTTTTGTTAATTGCCTATTTGTAAATTTCACTCATTTTCTACTATATTGCTTATATTTTTCTTTTTTTTGAGACAGAGTCTTGCTCCGTCGCCCAGGCTGGAGTGCAGTGGCACGATTTTGGCTCACTGCAACCTTCGCCTCCTGGGTTCAAATGATTCTCTTGCCTCGGCCTCCTGAGTAGCTGGGACTACAGGTGCGTGCCACCACACCCAGCTAATTTTTTTGTATTTTTAGTAGAGACGGGGTTTCACCGTGTTAGCCAGGATGGTCTTGATCTCCTGACCTCGTGATCGTCCCGCCTCGGCCTCCCAAAGTGCTAGGATTACAGGCGTGAGCCACCATGCCTGGCCTTGTTTATATCTTTCTTATTGGTTTGTACAGTTTTTAAAAAATACATATTTTGAGTACTCTTTTCTATCTCATCTGCTGCACCCCTGTACAGGTCCTGATCGGTCCTTGCAGAGTCTTTTGAAACAGCTTCCAAATTGGTCTCCTGTCCTTCAGTTTTTCCCTTCTTCAATCCATCTTACACATTGCAGCATGAACTATCTTTCTAATAAGCAAATCTGAGCATGCTACTCCCAAACTCATTACCAACAAGCAAATAAAACAAAAACATAATCAACAACAACAACAAAATCAAACAAAACCCCCTAACACATTTTAACGTTTGCCATGCTACATAATCTGTGATCCGGTCCCTCTGTACCTTTGCTGTGAAATCATACTGATCCTCCCCGTGCATCTTACGTTGAGCCATTCAGGACAATGCTACTGGCCATTCTTTGAACACCTCAGCCTCATTCATACTTCGGGCTTTTGTGCAAGCCCCTTGTAGTGTTACTTGTCCTCCTAGTAAAAATCTCCTTGACATCCCTGAAGGGGCCTGGTTGCTCCTGGCTGAACTCTCATATTCACTGTGACTCTAATATTTATGACCTTGAATTAAAATAATTTATTGTATATATGTCTTCTCTCTAGATTGAAAGCTTCAACTAGACAGGGCTCTGTCTGTTCATCTCAAGAGGCTGTACAGGCTGGGTGCGTAATCCATGTAATTACATGCCTGTAATCTCAGCACTTTGGGAGGCTGAGGCAGGAGGGTCACTTGAGCTCAAGAGTTTGAGACCAGCCTGGGCAACATAATGAGACTTTGTCTCTACAAAAAATAACAAAAGCCAGGCATGGTGGTGCGTGCCCGTAGTCCTAGCTACTCGGGTAGCTAAGGTGGGAGGATTGCTTAAGCCCTGCAGGTCAAGGCTATAGTGAGTGATTGCGCTACCGCACTCCAGCCTGGGTGACAGTGAGACGCTGTCTCAAAAAAAAAAAAAAAAAAAAAAAAAAAAGCAATATAGCAGAGTGGTTAGGAGTGGTGGACTCTGAAGCCAGACTGCCTAGGTTTGAATCTTAGTTTTTGCTACAGTTCAGAAAGGTACTTAGCCTCTCTGTGCTTCAGATTCTTCATTTGCAAAATGGAGATAGTAATAGTACCCATCTCAATGGCTTGTATTAAGTCAGTTAGCATATATAAAGTGCTTATATTGGGAGACCAAGATGGGAGGATCGCTTGAAGACCGGAATTTGAGACCAGCGTGGGCAACAAAACGAGACTCCCATCTTTACAAAATAATTTAAAAATTAGCCAGGTGAGGTGGTGTGCGCCTATAGTCCCAGCTGAGGTAGGGGAATCACTTGAGCCCAGGAGTTGGAGGCTGCAGTGAGCTATGATCGCACTGCTGCACTCCAGCCTGGATGACAGAGCAATACTCTGTCTCTTAAAGTGCTTATAATAATGTCTGATATCTAGTAGCTCAATAAAGGTTAATTCCGATTATCCCTATTTATTAAACCCATTATTAAGAACTATTTTATTTATTCATAGTAGGCACTTGGCATGCTTGCATGAAGACCTTGTTGACTTGTCCTGGATGTCTTAATGCCTTTTTTAGAATTAGGACTGAGGATGTTGAAACACCTGTCCACTGAAATTGGGGTGGTACATTCTCCATGGAGGCTAGCTCTTACAACCGAGTTAGTTCCCCCAGCCTGTCTGCTTGCCTAGCCCCAACTTCCTCTGATTTTTTGACACAAGGCCCCTTCCTGAAAAGGTGATTCCTAGGGCAAGAGGATGCAGTTGGTGCAGGGACAGAGCTAGCCTATGTGGCACTTGAACATTCCCAACTGAAGTTCCAGGAGTAATCCCAGTTGTCACTTATTCCTGGTTTGGGCCTTAGTCAATAGTGCCCTCCTTCTTCTTTCTTTCCCCAGCCCCTCCGTCCCAGGCACTTACTTCCCAGCCAGAAACAACTGGAGACATTAGAGAAATGCATTGCATTAGATGAACCTGAGAACATTCTTTGCATTTTAAGGAACTAGGTGAGCCACTCTGTGGGACTTCCACCCCAGTCCTCTCCAGGTCACTCACCAAATCTGTCTTTTTCCTCTTCTGTTTGCTCTTGAAGCAGGCTTTAGTCTGAGGTCCCAACATGTGATAAACCCAAACCATCCGTTCCAAGATTTTCCCAGAATCTCTAGTTTCCCATGTTGGAGTCTCATGTGCTCTTTCTCATAGTGTTCTCTTTCTGAACTCTTCCTAGCACAAAATTCTCACTTTGTGTTCTTATGACCAGAGCAGAAACAAACCTTTCCTGAGTAGTCAGGAGCAGGAAAATGTCCTTTGTTTTTGTTTTGTGGAGCGTGCCTAGAAATGTCGCGTCTGAGTTTCTAGAGGCCCTTAGAGTGCTGCTGGCTTAGATCACAAACGAAAAATTCAGATGTGGACAGGTGTGGAAAGTCAAGGGATCAGCCTAGGGGATTCTGGGTGTCTCCAACTCGGCAGAACAAATGGCAAAACAACAGATGTCCACAGATGTACCGACCCATGAGGCACTCATATTCAAAACTTGCTTTGGTATTACATTTACTCATGAAACCTTCCCCTTCTTTCTGCAGTACCCACCACCCAATCTCTACAGGGCTTGGGAAATTATGCATTCTGCAGACCTTATGTTATAGGTACCAGGAGGTTATGCATGACTTACTCAGGACTGGCTTTAGGACTCAAAAGTTCTGACATTTTCAGACTGTTCGTTAGTCATAGAATGTTGCAGCCTACCTATAGATGTTGCATAATGATTAAAATGTATATGTCGGTTTAAGTAAATGCACAGGGGCAGCCACGACTGACGAGATTGAGACCTGTTGAATTGGGAACCCAGTCTAGGACCCTCAGAGTCATAGAGTGCTCTCTTAAAATAGAAGACATTTGGCTGGGTGAGGTGGCTGTCTCCTGTAATCCCAGCACTTTGGGAGGCTGAGGCGGGCAGATCACCTGAGGTCAGGAGTTCAAGACCAGCCTGGCCAACATGGTGAAACCCTGTCTCTACTA